>NC_000011.10:73479938-73782968 GCF_000001405.40 Homo sapiens
CATTTCAGTGGTTTTTTTCTTAATTCTATCAATACGATATATAAGAAAGCCATTTTTATAGTAGCTGTCTGCTTCTTCATATTGCTTGCCAAATATAATCAGACAACACATTAGCTTTCTACATTTTATAATACTGTATATAATATTTCATCTCAGAAAATGCTTCAATTTAAAAATGAAATGGAGGAGAACCCTGATTTCTAGGAATCTGCCAGAGAATCTCAATATCTGAAAGGCTTCCACAGTTACCAGAAAGATCTTTCATGCAAAAGCTCAACACCCAGCTTTGTGCGTGCCTGTAAATGAGATGCTCATCTGCAAAATGTCACATTTCAACCACCAGAGCATTCAGCCCATTAAAATACCTTTAAGAAAATGGCTTTTTAGCTAATCAAAACCACAACAAAATTATCTCTACAGCAAATGCTTACAAATAATAGAAAATTTCTCTCTCTCTCTTTTTTTTTTTAAGAACAAATTTCAGAGAACACCTGCCTAAAGAACCCAACTATTCATTAAACCACACAAGTACTCGGACCTTACTATGTGCCAATTCTCTGCCCTTAAAAGAACTCATCTTTTAGTGGGGAAATAGTTGTATTTAAGATTGACTGTAATACAAGGTGCTGCATTAGAACAAAGTGCTTGAAACAGAGAGAGGATGTCATTTTTCTTGGTAGAAGGGTCAAGAAGAGCTTTCACAGTATAGCACTTTTATAGCTTATGAAGAGAGTGCAAGAGTTAACAATGACCATTTTACAAAACAAACAAACAAACAAACAAACAACAACAACAACAAAAACAGAAGTTAAGTGATTTGTTCAAGGTCCCATAGATAGTGGGATGCCAGAAACTCAAACCTGGGTCTACAGACACCAAGTCCAGTGTTCTTTCTATGATATCATGCTGTTTCACAATCCAGATGTATTATCTAAAACGGATGTAATTTTGAAATAGCATTTTTCTGCCTTCACACTCTACAATACAGCAGACTTGATATTTTGAGTTCCCTTGAACATGCCATACTCTCTTGTCTCTGAGTCTTTACACATGCTGTTTTGTTTTTAATACCATCGTTCTCCATCATTTCTGGTTTCTCTCACTCATCTTTCCTAGCTCCTTCCCTCTATCCCTCAGTCTGGATAATTCTTCTTCTTCTTTGAAGATGCAGAGTATCACTATATTGCCCAGGTTGGACTCAAACTCCTAGGCTCAAGTGATCCTCCTGCCTCAGCCTCCCACGTAGCTGGGACTACAGGCACGTGCCACCATGCACAGCTTCTGGATAATTCTTACTCTTCTTTTTAGGGTTCAGTTATGTGCAACTTTCTCTGGGATGTTTCTGTAACATTTATCACACTATAATTGTATCCCATCCCTGACTGTAAACCCCATGAGAGCAGTTTTGTCTTGATCAGACTTTCATCCCTAATACCTAGCACAGTCAGGCACAGAGTACCAGGGTTTCACAACCACATCACACAATGGCTTTAAATTATCACATATCTCTGAAGCAGAATTATAATTTGCTAGAAATGGATTGCTGCAGACAGACTTTCTATAACACCCCCACATATTAAAAATTGTGATCAGGGATTTCTAGAGAGACAATAAATCAGCAATCCTCAGAGTCTCTCTTTAACGGTTACTTACAAGAGGTTACATTTGCAATGCAAATATATAAGCTAAATTTTTATCTCCTTAGTCCAATAAAGGCCTGTGATATAGTATAAAAATATTGGGGCTCCTCTTCAAAAGTACAAACTGCCATATTACCTATCACATGTAGTTAGAGAGAGCTAGCTGGAAGAGGTCTGTGGCATGGCATCTGCTATGGTCTAAATATGTCTCCCAAAATTTATGTGTTGGAAACTTAATCCCAAATGCAACAGTGTTGGGAGATAGAGCCTTCTGGGAGGTCTTCAGGTCATAAAGGCTCTGCCGTCATGAATGGATTAACATCCTTATAAAAGGGTTTGATGGAGGAAGTTCATCCTTTCATAGCCTTTCCACCTAGAGCCATGTGAGGACACAGCATTCCTCCTCTCCTCTGGAGGACACAGCATTCAAGGTGCTGTCTTAGAAACAGAGATGGAACTCTTACCAGACAATGAACTTGCCTTGATCTTGGACCTCCCAGCCTCTAGAATTGTAAGAAATAAATTTCTGTTCTTTATAAATTACCCAGTCTCAGGTGTTTTGTTACAGCAGCACAAAATACACAAAGACAACATCCAACAGCCTTTTTTTTTTTTTTTTTTTTTTTTTAAAGGGGGAGAATACTGAGGCATAGAGAAGGGAAGGGACTACCCTAGAAATGCACAGAAAGTCATGGTTGTGGACAGGGCTCTGAGCAAAACCCAAGCCTCCTGACTTTAGATTGGAGGCTTTCTACCATAAATCATCTTGATACTCTTCTCTGGATGGACAGATGAACAACTGGATAGAAAGACCGACAAATAAATATATAAACTATGTGAAAGCATACTTCCAGGAAAGCCCCTCCCCACCTTTTGCTGGTCATAAGTCTTCCTGGGTATTTTAGATCTATCTGTCATGAGACATAGGATACTGAGGGAATGTGAAGAAATACAGGTGTTTGTTGAAGAACCCACAGAGTCAAGGGGTTCTACCAGAATATATTAGTTTTTTGAAGCAAACCTATGAGGCCCACTAGATTATAAATTCTCAACAGCACGTTTATAGCATGCAAAATAATCACCTTCCCTGAGGAAGCAATATGTGTGAAATGTCACCTAGAAATTTCATATAATGGTTAAGAACAAGTTTTTTTTGTGTTGTTTTGTTTTTTTCTTTTGAGACAGAGTCTCGCTCTGTCACCCGGGCTGGAATGCAATGGCGCAATTTCAGCTCACTGCAACCTCCACCTCCTGGGTTCAAGCGATTCTCCTACCTCAGCCTCCCAAGTAGCTGGGATTAAAGGCGTGAGCCACCACGCCCGGCTAATTTTTTGTATTTTTAGTAGAGACGAGGTTTCACCATGTTGGCCAGGCTGGTCTCCAACTCCTGTCCTCAGGTGATCTGCCCACCTCAGCCTCCCAAAGTGCTGGAATTATTTGGCGCACCCAGCCAAGAACAGGTTTTTAAGCCACAGTTAACAGCTGTGAGGCCTTGGATAACTTAATCTCAGTTTCTTCTTCTGTGTAGTGGGAAATACTAGTGGTATCAATATTCCAAGAATGTTGGAAAAATTAAATGAAATAATATATGTTCTGCCTGAGCACATGTAAACACGATAAATTGTGGTTTTTATCATTATTTTGCCTAGAGGAACATCCTCATCACATGCAACTGTCAACAACCAAGACCTACAGTGTCCATAGGGACCCAAGGCACTGGACTGTCCCTTTCCCAGGTCTAGGGCTTTAGAAGGGTAATTACTGAGCCTAAAACGAGTAAGGAAAGTGTTCATTTCACCTTGAGGCTATCTGCCACAGGAAGACAATTACCTCCTCTATAAAACAGAAATACTACCACTTAATATAAAGAATTGCTATGAAGATGCTATGGAGGATAAAAGTAACAAAGTAATATAATCATATCTGTGTTCTAGAATAATATTTCATGGGAAGATGAAGGATGGGTTAGCAAAGGAGAAACAGAAAGTCTTAAAGCAGCTATCCAGGTTAAGGAAATGAAGATCTGAACTAGAAAGGAAAGCTAAAACGGAAAAGAAGGAAAGAATATAGGAAAATATTTTGCAGTCGGAACTGACAGAATTTGAAAATTCTCTGTATGCAGGGCTTGAAGAGGGGAAAGTCAGAGGTTTCTGAGGTAAGCATTCAAAGATGGTGTTCATTTGGAAGAAGTAGAGACAAAGATGTCCAACAGACAACTGGGAATCTGGAAATACTGATTTGGGAGATGATGGTTGCTGTGAACTAATTACCCACCAACCATTATTTTTATTAGCTTAGAGGTTAGCAGAAGAGTCCAGCAAGAGTATAAAGGCAGTAAGGAATGAAGATTGTATGGGGGAAGTATAATAGCACAAGAGAATATTGTCAGATGTAATAATTCAGAGCCAAACAGGGCTCTCAGAAAGAATGTCTTTTGAACCTTCTCAGTCGTTAAAGAAGCAAGCCTGCTTGGTTCCCAATGTACTTTCTTGCTGCTTCCTTCCTCCCTCCTTATCTTCAGTCAATAAACCTTTACTGGGTCTTTATCTTATGCCACTTCCAGCATCAGCGCTGAGGATACAGAGTACGTTATATACCATAACTGTTAACATCTTTAATTTTAACAGATGTTTAATGTTAACATCTTTAATTTTCACAGTAACTTTATTTATTATCCCCGTTTTAAGGATGTATAAGCTGAATAGCCCAGCCTATGAGGAACACTCTCCTCTGAGCTTTCATAGTCCTTACAAATTTTATATCACATAGTACTCTGTATCATCAGGTTTTCTTAAATAACCATAATTTATTCATATCCTTTTCTTCCCCAGGGTACAGCACAGGACCAACTACACACTACAGGTATTCAGTATTTGATGATTGTATTATTCTGGGTTCTCTAGAGGGGCAGAACTAAGAGGAGAGAGAGATATATATAGATATATATATCTATATATCTATATATCTATCTATATCTATATATCTATATATCTATATATCGATATCTATCTATATATCGATATCTATATCGATATATATCTATATATAGATATCTATATCGATATCTATCTATCTATATATAGATAGATATAGATATGTATCGCTATAGATATATAGATATAGATATATATAGATATATATATAGATATATATCGATATATAGATATATAGATATATAGGAATTTATTAAGTAGTATTAACCTACAGGATCCTAAGATCCTACAATAGGCCATCTGCAAGCTGAGGAGCAAGGAAGCCAGTCCAAGTCCCAAGCTGAAGAACCTGGAGTCCGATGTTCAAGGACAGGAAGCATCCAGCAAGGGAGAAAGATGTAGCCGGGGTAAGTCAGTCTGGCCTTTTCACATTTTTCTGCCTGCTTTATATTCAACGGTAGCTGATTAGATGGTGCCCACCCAGATTAAGGGTGGGTCTGCCTTCCCCAGCCCACTGACTAAAATATTAATCTCCTTTGGCAACATCTTCACAGACATACCCAAGATCAATACTTTGCATCCTTCAATCCAATCAAGTTGACACTCAGTATTAACCATCACTTTTATTTTAACAACCATCATGTTGTTAAATATACATAACACATCTAAAGGACTGTTTTAAAGTCATTCCATTGACCAAGTTTTTACATGAGATCCTAAAAAGTAGTAATTTCTTACTAATTCATTCAGCAAATCCCTAAGTACTAGATCTGAGCTAATCACTGGTACTGGATCTAGGAGAAACAAATCACACACAGACCCTGCCATCAGGTTTATTGTGGCATCCACTAATGTCACCTATTGTTTATAATGAGTTCTACTTCCTTCAGACATTAGAACCAGAGATACACGTGTCTTTTGAATATTCAAACACTTAATAGGAATAAACTATCAGCTGAAAGAATACGTGAATGAATGATAGACAATCTGAACCTTGGACCAGGCCTTGGTCTGGTCACCGGAAAGCTGAGCGTTCTTAGCAATGAGCAAAAACTTCTAGTACTAAATTTACCCCAGCTTTTTTACTAAATTTACTATATTATCCTATTTCCCCTTCACTGATAATCTGTTTGTTTTTCGTCCTATTTTATTACGTGTATTTTAAAAATTCATTCCCTTTAGGAAAAAACCATAGGTATACAGAATGTAATCAATCAACCTGAAGATGGTATAATGAGTCTCCTACTTTGTCCAGATGCCCTGCTGAAGGTTTGGAGTCAAACCAGGCCCAATGTGCAAGTCAGCAGCAAAGTCAGTAGCTACTACTACCTAAGTTTAATAAAAAGGGTCTCTGGTGGAGGAACTGTGTTGCTTCAGAGCAGCCAGGGAACTCTATTCTTCAAAGCCCACCCTCTTCAAGTTTTCAGCCCCCGCATTTATAAATAGGGAAGTTCTGGAACTAGACCATGGAGGACTACATGTGTATCTCTATCCCTGATCTACCAATACCTTAGAATCAGCTTCCTTATTTATTCTTATCTACCTACTATACAAATGTAAAGTTTGGGGGAAAACGGCCCATTATTGGTAATACAATATGGGTATGGTTGACTTAGTTTAGACAAGCAGTCCTGTAAGCACTGAATACTCACAACACTGGAGGGTTTTGCTTGTTTTGTTGTTACAATATACATAACACAAAATTGACTACTTTAATCATTTTAAAGTGTACAGTTTTGAGGCATTAAACACATTCACATTGTCATGCAACCATCACCACCATCCATCTCCAGAACTTTTCATCTTCATGAACTAAACTGGACTCTTCATACCCATTAAACACTAACTCCCCATTCTCCTCTTCCTACCCAGTCCCTGATACCACCATTCTATATTCTGTCTCTAAATTTAACTAAGAACCTAATTTAAGATGAATTATACAATATTTGTCCTTTTCTGACTGGCTTATTTCATTTAGCATAACTTCTTCAAGGTTCATCCATGTTAAAGCATGAAAATGCTGGTTTTCAATAACATTCCAGACTTCCCATTTCGGATAAAGATAATCACAAACTGTAAGTCTGACCATCATTTATTAGCTTTTAGAGATAAAATTAAAAGCTCACTGTAGAATTTTTCCCCTCCTGTGCCACTGAGATTTCCAGATTGATTTATAATCTGGAACAAGTATTTCCAAATAGATCATTTAGATGGAGCATCCTGCTACTTGAAAAATAAGTTCTAACACATTCATCAGGAAGCAAAATGGCCCTCAATAGAAAAGACAATGTGGTATCAATGTTTGAATAAAGATTAATGCTTAGCATAAGCTACTCATCTGTTTTGGTATCCCTAAACATATTTTCTTGCAGGAGAACAAGTGTGCATCTGTCTGGTTTTCAGAATATATGTACAAATATTTCTTATTACAAGTAGTATGTTTTCAGTATTAATAAATTTATATCATCCACATTGATGAGCCATGGATTATTTTTTAACCAGCAAGACCAATGTGAATAAAATACGAATGATCTTACTAAAAACAAACAGAAAAGACCTCTTCCTTCTCAGCTGGGGATATTATTTTTTTGTTTGCTTTTTTCCTTTTTTCCAACTCTCATCTTCCAGACTTTAATCCTATGTGGCTCTGTACATTCCATGCTCCAACTCTCATCACTCTCCCCACTTCATCTCCTGATCTTTTTCCACTGTATTCTCTGGAACTCAAGGTTAGCAAAATCCTCTACAACTTCAACCTCTCCTATGAATGTCCCCTGCTCTAAGTGAAATCTGGCTGTCTCATATAATAATGCTTTCCTGTGCAGCACTTTCAAGCAGGGGCTGATTTTCTCTCACTTCTCACCTTCCCCTAGGCCTTGAACCACTTACAGACCCTTCTCCATAAAAACATTCAGTTCTGAATCTCACATCATCAGATTCAACATCATCCCTCTTTGTAGCCATTTACTGCTTCCAAGTAACTTTCCTCTTATGCCTTAAAGATTGTGGCTCCTAGCTCACTGTCATTCTCTCTAATATATTCTTATCATAATTCCTGGTAATTTTAATAACTATATAAGTAATGATTATAATGCATTGCCCTCTCAGTTATCTGATCTCTCCTCCACTGATCTTGACATTTCCACCCAACCTCAGCCTCTCATTTCCATGGTTATAATCCTTGACCGTGTTATTACTAATAACTGAAACCTTTTTTCTCTAATCTTAATTTCAAATATCTCATTCGCCAAACACCATCTCTTAACTTTCTAGTTTGCTCTCTATAGTACACCAATTCTAACAATCCCTCAACCTATCAGGACATTCAATCTACTAATTCTACCTATATTTCATTGTCCATCACCCTCCTCGTACCCTCACCTCTCTCCTAACCCTGGCTATCCTAAATTCCTTGGTCAATTTTTTAATAATCATTCCCTTGCCCCTCTATCACTTGTATTGACACTAGTTTGGTTAAACCACAACCCTGGTTAAATTCAGTCACCGTCTACTCTCTGCCAACACTGGTATAGGTCTTGGGAGTAGGAAAACACACAATTATGTTTACTAAAGTTAAAATTTAACTTTAAACTCATGATCACTATTTTCATGTGGGGCCTTTTTTTTTTTTTCTTTTTAGACGAAGTCTCACTCTATTGCCCAGGCTGGAGTGTCATGGCACGATCTTGGCTCACCACAACCTCTGCCTCCTGGGTTCAAGCAATTCTCCTGTCTCAGCCTCCCAAGTAGCTGGGATTACAGGCGCCTGCCACCGTACTTGGCTAATGTTTGTATTTTTAGTAGAGACAGGGTTTCACCACACTGGCCAGGCTGGTCTTGAACTCCTGACCTCAGGCGATTTGCCCACCTCAGCCTCCCAAAGTGCTGGGATTACAGGTGAGAGCCACTGTGCCCAGCCTCATGTCGGTTCTAAATGAAATCTGACAATCATTCTATATTTGCCTCGTCCATCCTATACTGTTTCATGCTTTCTTTGCTCCTAATCTCACTCTCAACTAGTGATTTTGCTTATTTGTCTAAAGAAAATTAATCATCGAAAAGAGAGTTTTCAAGAGCTCCCACCACATTTACCTACCAAACTGCACCTGTACCCACAGACTCTTAACTTCTCTCCTATCACCGTGGATGAACAGTCCACGTTCCAACCTTCCAGTGGTACACTAGATTCCATTCCCTTACCAAACAAAGGACACTACTTCAAGTCATTTCACCCCTCTTTCTTGAGCATTATTAGGACTTCCCTTCTCTGCAGGATTATTCATATTAACATACTGTTACTTGTCTCACATAAAATAAATACATAAAATAAACAAAAAGTTCTGTCTTGATTCCATCTAACATACTAGCTACCATTTCTTTCTTTGTTTTTTTCTTGAGACGGAGTCTTGCTTTGTCACCTGGGCTGGAGTGCAGTGGTGCGATCTCAGCTCACTGCAACCTCCGCCTCCCAGGTTCAAGCAATTCTCCAGCCTCAGCCTCCCGAGTAGCTGGGACTGTAAGTGTATGCCCGTCTAATTTTTGTATTTTTAGTAGAGACAAGCTTTCACTATGTTGGCCAGGCTGGTCTTGAACTCCTGACCTCTTGATCTGCCCGCCTTGGCCTCCAAAAGTGCTGGGATTACATAGGTGTGAGCCACCGCACCAGGCCCCAGCTACCATTTCATGTCTCCTTCCCTTCATAGCAAAATTCCTATAAAGAGTTGGGTTATTTTCTTCTTTTAACCCTCCTGTATTGAGAATTCTAGAAAGAGCTGTTTTATACTGTACTTGCTTTCTCTCATCTTTCTTCCTATTCTTTTGAACCCACTCCAATCAGATTTCCATTCCCACCACTCTACCACCATGTTCTAATCAAAGTCACCAGTGACCTCCACTATGCTAAAACTAGTGGTCAATTTTCAACCCTCATCTTACTTGACATGTCAGCAGCAGCATTTAACATAATTGATCATTCTCTCCCCCACACCCCATCCCCCACTTTTTTTTTTTTTTTGGATATCGGGTCTTTTGCTCTTTTGCCCAGGCTCAAGTGCAGTGGCACAACCACGGCTCACTGTATCCTCAACTTCCTAGGCTCAAGCGATCTTCCCATCTCAGCCTCCCGAGTAGCTGGGACTAAAGGCACATGCCACCACTCCTGGCTAATTTTGTTTTTGTTTTTGTTTTCATAGAGATGCTGTGTTGCCTGGGCTGGTCTTGAATCCCTGGGCTCAAGTAATCTGCCCGCCTCAGCTTCGCAAAGTGTTGAATTACAGGCATGAGCCATGGTATCCGGCATCTCCCCTCTTTTCAATACTTTCATCACTTGGCTTTTGGACACTATACTCACCTGGGTTTTGATATGTTTGTTTTATTTTTCTCCCTATCATTCTGGCAGCTCTTTCTCAATTTCTAAACTTTGTGGTGACCTAGGCCCCTTCTCTTTTCTAAAGTCTCCATACACTCTCAAAGCCCCCTTATCTAATTGCATAACCAAATACCATCTACATTTTTATATTTACCACCTCCCACTCTCCTAAAATCTGTTTCTCCTGAAGTCCTCCCCAGTTCACTGAATTGCAACTCCATGCTTTTAATTGCACAGATAAAAATTTTGGTGTTGTTCTTGACTTCTCTTTTTCTCATACCTTAACAACTAGTCCATCAGCAAATCACTTTCAGCTCTGTCTCTAAAATATATTCAGAATTCAATCAATTCTCACTACCCTCACTTCTACCATCTTAATCTAAATCACTATCATCTCTCACAAGTATTACTGCCCCCCCTGTTTTTGCATTTACTCCTTCTTTTGTCTATTCTCAACACAGCAGCCAGAGTGGCTCTCTGAAAACATAAGTTAAATCAGGTCACTCATCTAATCCTCAGTGACTTCCTACCTCACGCAGTGGAAAAGCTAAGTCTTTACTAGGATCTAGAAAACCAAACAAGAAATGAATTTATAATGCCACACATTATAAATTACCTTCTCAACCTTTTGACTCCTGTTACTCTCCTCAACTTCAGGCACTTCACTTCAGCCATCCTGTTCCCTGTTCCCCTGCTATTCCTTAAAACATACCAGGACTGGCCTCAGGGCTTTGGCATCTATTCTCTCTGCCTGAAATGTTCTTCCTCCAGTTCATTCTCTCACTTACTTCAGGTCTTAATTTAAAATCACCTTCTCTGTGAGACTTTCCTTGGCTCCCTACCTAAAAGTGCAAACCTTTAACAAACTCAACATTATAGTTATCTTCCTTGCTTTATTTTTCCTCTTTCCCACATATCTATTGTACTTAATATTTTATTTTTTATCTTGTTGTATGTCTTCTCCCCCCTTCACCCAAAATGTAAGCTCCATGGTGATTCAGATTTTAATCTGTTTAGTCTACTGTTGCATCCCCAGTGCTAGAACAGCATCCAGAATATTGATCACTCTTCTCCACACTTTTGAGGGAATAATTTGAGAGGTGCCCCTGTTCTATGACTCAGATGATACACAGATTATACATAATGAAAGCTCCCATTAGTCAGTGCCTACTGACAAATACTAATTTCAGTTGGCCTCACTGAAATTATTATATTTATTCCTCATAATAATCCTGAGCCTTCCAGGACCAGCTGTTGACAAAACACACATATATACACATACTCCCCAGACAGCTGGCCAGAGAGGCAGGTTAGGAGCTGATGGGAGATGAGAAAAGAGCCCATGGAGAGGGGAAGACCACAAACAGAAAGGAGACATGATGGGAAGTTACTTATGGTAATACCACTCCAGCGGGAAGGAGACTTAATGTTTGGTCATCCATGGTGGAAGCCTGCATGTCTGCATAATACTAACAACCAAAAGACGCTCTTACAAGGCATAATTCTTCTCTCTGGACTGAGAGTTCCTAGAAGACTCTCCTTTCACTTCTGAAACTTCAGAATCCAGCTAGCACAGAGAAGACTCCCATAAATGTTTGTTAAATTGAACTGAATAATTATTGAGGTATTTATTCTGTTTTTACTCAAGACAAAACTGAGTTTTCAACAGTATTATGTAACATATTCAAGGAGGATGCATAGTTTCTAAGTAACAGACCGGGGACTTGAACTCAAGTTCCCTATTCTTTCTCCTGCACCACACTGTTGTTGTATAAAAACGATAATCTCTAGTAGAACACTGACTCTCATCTCATACGTGGGATGCAGACCTGTTAACCCAGCTATAGTCTAAGATGTCATAGAAAGAATCTTCACAAAGCAAGCCAGATCTCCAAACTGAACCACATAAGCTTGCAAGTCCAACATTCATAATCCCCAATTCTTTTCCCCATCTACCTCCTTTGTTCACTCCCTTGTTTCTTTGTGTTCATAACTGCCTGACCAATAAGGTGTGTAAAGTCCTTGGAATACAAAGGCCAAGTATGATTCTTCTTTCCATTCCTCCAGCACAGGGCTAATTATATCAAAGGTACTTTGTGAATGTTAGTTAAATTTAAAATGCTAAAAACCAAAGAAATAAAAAGATAGCTTTATGATTTCCATAGTCTCCATGGAGAGTCAGGGCTGGTATTAGCATCTACTTTACAAATGAGAAAAGCCTAAAAGGAGAGAAGCAACTTGCCCAGACTTTACCCTGACTCCTCACACGCCAAGCCCAATGTTCCTCCCATCATGTCATAAGGTTCACCGTATTTCTTAGAGCCAAGAAGATGGCTGAGGCAAGAACGAAAGATCAAGATAGACAAAAAAGAATGCCACACATTATAAATTAATCACTTAACAACATAACCAGCACATCCTGAAAAAATAAGCAAATATGACATTCATATCAGAGCAAAAGACTTGGTTTAAAATAAACAAACTCAGCCTGGCATGGTGGTTTATGCCTATAATCTCAGCACTTTGGGAGGCTGAGGCAGTGGATCCCTTGAATCCAGGAGTTCAAGACCAGCATGGTGAAACCCCATCTCTACAAAAAAAATTTCAAAAAAATTAGCCGGGCACGGTGGCGTGCACCTGTAGTCCCAGCTACACGGGGGGCTGAGGCAGGAGGATTGCTTAAGCCTGGAGGTCAAGGCTGCGGTAAGCCGAGATCGCACCTCTGCACTCCAGCCTGGTGACAGAGCAAAACCTGTCTCAATAAAATAAAATAAAATAAACCATATTTAATGATACTCTGCTCTGGATTATTCATTATGTAAATCACTTAGAGGTGGCACAGATGATAAGAGAATAAGATACGGTTTGCCCTTAGAAGCAGATAGTCTAATAGCAAAAATGTGACTCAAATACTCAGAGTTCAAAATCCTGGTGGCAATGGAACACAATGCAGCCATAAAAAGGAACAAAATCCTGTCCTTTGCACCAACATGGATGCAGGTGGAGGCCATTATCCTCTATTCATTCTTGCAAATGAATGCAGAAACAGAAAATCAAATACCACATGTTCTCACTTATAAGCAGGAACTAAACATTGGGTAAGCATGGACAAAAAGATGGCAACAACAGACCTTGGGCTCTACCAAGAGTGTGGAGAAGGATGGACTGAAAAACTACCTATTGGGTACTACGCTCACTACCTGGGTGACAGGATCATTCATACACCAAACTTCAGCAACATGCAATGTATCCATGTAACAAACCTGAACATGTACCCTCAAACCTAAAATGAAAGTAGGAAAAAAAAAATCACAAAGTGAAAAAAAAAGTCCTGGTGGCAGACAAAATGAGAGAAGTAGCTTGAACTCATAGTTCCAAATAATAAAAGAAAGGCAAGATAACAAGTGCTAAACGAACTTTACAGGTAGCCCGTAGACCATACGTATACAGTTATTGCAGGGGTTCAGAGAAAGGAGGAAAGGCTCACTGTGTCTGTGTATGTATCTTTAGTTTTTAGGGTCTTTTTAAAGGTTGTTTTGTTTTGTGTTTTTGAGACTGGGTCTCACTCTCTCACCCAAGCTGGACAGCAGTGGTGCAATCTCAGCTCACCGCAACCTCTGCCTCCTGGGCTCAAGTGATCCTCCCAAGGCCTCAGCCTCCTAAGTAGCTGGGTCTACCGACGTGTGCCACCATGCTAGGCTAATTTTTGTATTTGTTTTGTAGAGACAGGGTTTCACCATGTTGCCCAGGCGGTCTCAAACTCCTGGGCTCAAGCAATCCACCTGCTTCTGCCTCCCAAAGTACTGGGATTACAGGCATGAGCCACCATGCGCAGCCTTGTTTTATTTTTATTTAAGGAGGAACATAACTTATCCTGAAAACTGTCCCAGAGTTTAAAAAAAGACCAGGTTTGGGAATTCACACGGAGATGGAGAGAGGAAAGAACAACAGAACAGAGGTGAAGACAAGACCAAAGACTCAAACGCTGTCTCCTACATGAAGCTTCACAGACCCTTCCAACTAAAACTAATCACTATCCTCTATCCCAAAAATACATGGTGACAGTGCCATTCTAGAAACACTTCATGTTAGAAGATTTAGTTGTTTATGCAACTGCTTCCCTCCTGGACTATGAGCTCTGAAAGCAGAGTCTATTTTATTAACCTATGGAGTGCCCCACTGGCTAATAAAGAGCCAAGAACACCAAGACATGTACATTATGTACAGTATGGACATGTACATTATGTACAGTATGTACATATACATGTACATGTATGATTAACAGAATTGAACCAAAGAGTGTTAGAGCTTGGTAGGACCTCAAAGATCATTTAATTTAAGCCCTTCATTTTGCAACTGGGAAAACAAAGACTAAGTGACTCACTCAAAGTCACAGAGCAGGTCACAAATCCAGAACAGGACCTCAGGCCCCTAGAGTCCCAGCCAAAAGAGTGGCAGTGAGGCTGCTCTTCTACTCAAAGGACAAGAGATCTCCTGTGCTTATTGGTTAGTTCAAAGACACTGAGCCATTGCAGTGGGAGGTCTAAGGCTCTGAATCAGGAACTGTTACATTCCAAGCGGTTGACACTCTGAATACCAGGCCAAGTCCTTTGTCTCAGGACAGAAGGGCTCAGAAAAACCTGGCAGAACCACCCTTGTTTGATGCAGAGGCCCCAGAACATTTTAGGCTGCAGCCTTGGGCAAAGAGCCAGGAAGAGTTTTATTGTGATGAAGACGTAGAAAAATTGGGGAAAAAATGGAGGATGGGCACAATGAAGAGGTAGATTCCTAGCAGCACCAACGCCAGGAAAGCACTCTTGATGGAAAAGGAAGTACACTTTTAGAAGAAGTTAGGTCATGCCTGTAATCCAGCACTTTGGGAGGCCGAGGAGGGCGGATTACTTGAAGTCAGGAGTTCAAGACCAGCCTGGCCAACATGGCGAAACCCCATCTCTACTAAAAATACAAAAATTAGCCAGGTGTGGGGGCCCATGCCTGTAATCCCAGCTACTACTTGGGAGGCTGAGGCATGAGAATCACTTGAACCCAGGAGGCAGAGGCTGCAGCAGTGAGCCAAGATCATGCCAATGAACTCCAGCCTGGGTGATGGAGTGAGACTGTCTCAAAAAAAAAAGAAGAAAAAAAAGAAGCTAAAGGCTCAGAAAATGGAAGAGAGGGTAATTTCAGGACTCAGTAAAGACTCCCCAGGGAATTGCCTGTCTAATTTGAGGCTTAATGGTATAGACGTAAAAAAAAAAAAAAAATCAAACTGATCCCGTCTCTGCTGAAAATACAAAAAATTAGCCAGGCATGGTGGCAGGCACCTGTAGTCCCAGCTACTCGGGAGGCTGAGGCAGGAGAATGGCGTGAACCCAGGAGGCAGAGCTTGCAGTGAGCCGAGATCGTGCCACTGCACTCCAGCCTGGGCGACAGAGCGAGACTCCGTCTCAAAATTAAATAAATAAATAAATAAATAAAATCAAACTGAAGAGTGTGTGATGTCAAGAATAACCCAATCAAGAACAATGCAGTTTGAGCAACCAAGCCTCCTCAATCTCCATCACCACTCCATCACCACTGCTGGCCCACTCACCACCAATCTCCATTGAAATCACTGGGGTGCTCTTCCAGCCTCCTTGAGTGACATCTCCAGGCATGGGAGCGAATCAGATGGATAGGGGTACTATTTAAGACATAGAGTTTTACAACTAATACAATTTAAAAATGGATAAAGAACTTGAACAGGCATTTCTCCAAAGATATACAAATGACCAACAAGCGTATGAAGGTATGTTCAACATCATCAGTTATCAGAGAAACACAACTTAAAACTACACCAAGATACCACCTCACACCCATTAAGATGACTATTATCAAAAAAACAGAAAATAGCAAATGTTGATGAGGATGTAGAGAAATTGGAACCCTTATTTAAAATTTGGTGGTAATATAAAATGGTGTAGCCACTATGGAAAACAATACAGAGGTTCCTCAAAAAATTAAAAATATAATAACCATATGATCCAGCAATTTCACTTCTGCATATACATTCAAAAGAATTTAAAACAGGATCTCAAAGAGATATTTGCACACCCATGTTCATTGCAATACTATGGACAACAGCCAAAGAGTGGAAGCAACCTAAATGTCCACTGATGAATGAATGGATAAAGAAAATGTTGTATACACACATGCATACACACAACCCGCATACACACAACCTGCACCCACACACGCATGATGGAATATTACTCACTCTTAAAAAAGAAAATCCTGCTGTATACTACAATATGCATGAATCTTGAGGACGTTATGCTAAGTAAAGTAAGCTACTCACAAAACGACAAATACTGCATGATTCCACTTATATGACGTATCCAAAGAAGTTAAACTCTTAGAAACAGAAAGTAAAATGGTGGTTACCAAGGTGGAAGGTGAAAAGGGAAGTTGTTGTTCAACGGATATATTAGGTTGGTGCAAAAGTAATTGCGGCTTTGACCATACTTTCAATGGCGAAAACTACAATTACCTTTGCACCAACCTTTAGTTTCAGTTTTGCAAGATGAAAAAGTTCTAGAGATCTATCACACAATGAAGTGCATATAGTTAACACTACTGTAGTGTATACTTAAAAATAGTTAAGATGGTAAATTTTATGTTATTTTTTGTTTGTTTGTTTGGTTGGTTGGTTGGTTTTTTGAGACGGAGTCTCACTCTGTCGCCCAGGCTGGAGTGCAGTGGCGCGATCTCGGCTTGCTGCAAGCTCCGCCTCCCGCGTTCACGCCATTCTCCTGCCTCAGCCTCCCGAGTAGCTGGGACTACAGGCGCCCACCACCATGCCCGGCTAATTTTTTGTATTTTTAGTAGAGACGGGGTTTCACCGTGTTAGCCAGGATGGTCTTGATCTCCTGACCTCGTGATCCACCCACCTCGGCCTCCCAAAGTGCTGGGATTACAGGCGTGAGCCACTGCACCCAGCCCTGTATGTTCTTATCACACACACACACACACACACACACACACACACGCACACACACGCACACACACACACAGTTTTAGGTCTAACACCAAAACTACTAAATCAGGACACCTGGGAATCAGAATTTTACACAAATTCCCCACGTATTTTTGAAAAATGGCCGAATTCAGAAAACACTCGCTTCAAAATAAAGTCCAAATTTGATTTCTGCATCGAAAGCCCTGCGTGATCCCATCCCTTTTTATCTTTCATTCTCACCACTTGCTCTTGCCTCAGGCCTCACTCTGTTTTGGCCTCTGGCCTGCGTACCAGGAGGAACTACTGTCGGCCAGGCACGGTGGCTCATACCTGTAATCCCAGCACTTTGGGAGGCCCAGACAGGCAGATCACGAGGTCAGGAGATCCAGACCATCCTGGCCAACATGGTGAAACCCCGTCTCTACTAAAAATACAAAAATTAGCCAGGTGTGGTGGCGCGCGCCTGTAGTCTCAGCTACTTGGGAGGCTGAGGCAGGAGAATCACTTGAACCTGGGAGGCGGAGGTTGCACCACTGCACTCCAGCCTGGCGACAGAGAGTGACTCCATACCCCCCCTCAAAAAAAAAAAAGACATACTGTCCAGCTGAACTTTCTATAATGATGGAAATATTCTAGTATATCTGTGCTGTCCAATATAGTAGCTATTAGCCACATGTAGCTACTAAGTACTTGATATGTGGCTATTGAACAGCACAGGACTAGAGCAATAACTAGGTCTCTAGAAGAAAAAGAGAGGGCATGGTTAAAACTCAAAACAGAAAACCAAACACCACACGTTCTCACTCATAGGTGGGAACTGAACAATGAGAACACTTGGACACAGAGCAGGGAACATCACACACTGGGGCCTGTCGTTGGGTGGGGGGATGGGGAAGGGATAGCATTAGGAGAAATACCTAATGTAAATGACAAGTTAATGGGTACAGCAAACCAACATGGCACATGTATACATATGTAACAAACCTGCACGTTAGGCACATGTACCCTAGAACTTAAAGCATAATAAAAATAAATAAAACTCAAAACAACTCCATTTAATTTTTTTCTCACATATTATTGATATGCATTCATTCATTTAACAAATGTTTATTGCTTACTACATGCCAGGCACTACTCTAGATACTGGTGAAATAGCCATGAACAAAACAAACACCCCTGCCCTCAAAAAGCTTATGCTCTAATGAGGCCGACTAGTACAGCAGCTAAGAGCAGTGACTCTGGGGGCCAAGATGGCCAACTAGAAGCAGTGGCGTTTGGAGGCTCCCATCGAAAAAAAACATAATAAGTATGTGAATCCTTCGCCGGCCACCAAGGATCTAGGTTCTCTCATCAAAATTGACTAGAAGGCTGGCGTGACCCATGGAGAAAAGGAAGAGCAGTGCGGTACAGCAGCCCACTCAAGAGCTGCACAGGGAAGGGGACCCCCCCTTCCCCCCAGCCAAGGGAGGCAGTGAATGAGCACGCTACCCAGCCAGGGAGAGTGTGCTTTTTCCACTCAACTTTGCAACCCACGGATCAGAAGATCCCACTAGCAAACCCATGCCACTGGGACACACAGATTCTTACAGCCTCTTAGCTGGAATCTGCTTAAGCCTACTGAACTCCCTGGGGGAGGGGCGACCAGCACTGGGTTGCAGTGGCCCACTGTCTAAGCCGTTTGAGCTCCTTGGGGAGGGGCAGCAACCAGCATTGGAACTCGCAACTGCCTGACATGCTAAGCTCCCTGGGCAGGGTAAGGGCAGCACCCATTTCTATAGCTCCAGGCTGTGTTTTTCCCCTGCTGGAGCCCGGGAGGCTGAATGGCTTGGTCCCAAGACTTGTCCCACAGCCCAACACACAGGCTGTGGCAGTCTGTGGGCAGAGTGCCAGTTCAGGTCTAACCCTGACCCATCCTTCTTCAGTGAGAGGGGCTTCCCTGCAGGATCTCCAATAACTCCAGCCAGAGGCTCAGGGATGGAATTTGGATCTCCCTGGACCTGAGCCCCTAGCGGGGACGGGTAGCCATAGTTTCTTTGGACCAGCAGGCTTAGCCTCTCCTGGTAGTTCTGAGGAATCTGGGCAGCCCAGATGAGTGGGTATCCCCCCAGCGGAACACACCCTCTCCACCAAGGGACAAAGTGCTTCATTAAACAGGTGCTGCTCCCCGTGCCACCCAAGACCCTTCGACAGGGTTGTCAAACACCCTATACAGGAGCAATCCTACTGGCATCAGGCTGGTGCCCCTCAAGGTCAGAGGTCCCAGAAGAAGGAGCAGGAACCCATCTTGGCTGCTCTTCCAGCCTCCTTCAGTGACATCTCCAGGCATGGGAGTGAATCAGATGAACAAGACCTGAAGTGAACCCCCGGCAAACTGCAGCAGCCCTACCTACAGAAGAGGGACCTGATTATTGAAAGAAAAACAAACAAGCAGAAAGCAACAACAACAGCATCAACGACAACAAAAAAAGGCTCCCACAAAAACCCCATCCAAGAGTCAGCAGCCTCAAAGACTGAACTAGACAAACTCACAAAGATGAGAAGAAATCAATGAAAAAATGCTGAAAACCCAAAAGACCAGAGTGCCTCTTCTCCTCCAAATGATTGCAACGTCTCTCCATCAAGGGCACAGGACTGGACAGAGGATCAGATGGACGAATTGAGAGAAGTAGGCTTCAGAAGATGGGTAATAAAAAACTATGATGATCAAAAGGAACATGTTCTAACCCAATGCAAAGAAGCTAAGAACCTTGATAAAAGGTTGGAAGAATTGCTAACTAGGATAACCAGTTTAGAGAGGAACATAAACCACCTGATGGAGCTGAAAAACACAGCACAAGAACTTCATGAGGCACACCCAAGTATCAACAGCCGAATCAGCCAAGCGGAAGAAAGGTTATCAGAGTTTGAAGACCACTTTACTGAAATAAGACATGCAGACAAAAATAGAGAAAAAAGAATGAAAAGGAAAGAACAAAGCCTCCAACAAATATGGGACTTCATAAAAAGACCAAACCTACGGTTGACTGGAGTACCAGGAGATGGAGAGAATGGAAACAAGCTGGAAAACACACTCCAGGATATTATCCAGGAGAACTTCCCCAAACTAGCAAGAGAGGCCAACATGCAAATTCAGGAAATACAGAGAACACCATTAAGATATTCCACAAGAAGATCAACCCCAAGACACATCATCATCAGATTCTCCAAGGTCACAATGAAGGAAAAACTGTTAGGGCAGCCAGAGAGAAAGGCCAGGTCACCTACAAAGGGAAGCCCATCAGTCTAACAGTGGACCTCTCAGCAGAAACTCTTCAAGCCAGAAGAGATTGGGGGCCAATATTCAACATTCTTAAAGACAAGAGTTTACAACCCAGAATTCCTTTTTTTTTTTTTTTTTTTTGAGACAGAGTCTTGCTCTGTCACCCAGGCTAGAGTACAGTGGCATGATCCCAGCTCACTGCAACCTCTGCCTCCAGGGTTCAAGGGATTCTCCTGCCTCAGCCTCCCAAGTAACTGGGACTACAGGTGCCTACCAGCATGCCCAGCTAATTTTTGTATTTTTAGTAGAAGACAGGGTTTCACCATGTTATCCAGGCTGGTCTCGAACTCCTGACCACATGATCCACCCACCTTGGCCTCCCAAAGTGCTGGGATTACAGGCATGAGCCACTGCACCCAGCCTCAACCCAGAATTTCATATCCAGCCAAACTAAGCTTCATAAGCTAAGGAGAAATAAAATCCTTTCCAGACAAGCAAATGCTGAGGGATTTCATTACCACCAGGCCTGCCCTGCAAGAGCTGCTGAAAGAAGCACTAAATATGGAAAGGAAAAACCAGTACCAGCCACTGTAAAAACACACCAAAATATAAAGACAAATGACACTATGAAGAAACTGCATCAACTAGTATGCAAAATAACCAAACAGCATCATGATGACAGGATCAAATTCACACATAACAATATTAACCTTAAATGTAAATGGGCTAAATGCCCCAATTAAAAGACACAGACTGGCCAATTGGGTAAGGAGTCAAGACCCATTGGTGTGCTGTATTCAGGAGACCCATCTTATGTGCAAAGACACACACAGCCTCAAAATAAAGGGATGGAAGAAAATTTACCAAGCAAATGGAAAGCAAAAAAAAAAAAAGCAGGGGTTGCAATCCTAGTCTCTGACAAAACAGGCTTTAAACCAACAAAGATCAAAAAAGACAAAAAAGGGCATTACATAATGGCAAAGGGAACAATTCAACAGGAAGTGCTAACTATTCTGAATATATATGCATCCAATACAGGAGCACCCAAATTCATAAAACAAGTTCTTAGAGACCTACAAAGATACTTAGACTACCACACAATAATAGTGGGAGACTTTAACACCCCACTGTCAGTATCAGACAGATCAATGAGACAGAAAATTAACAAGGATATTCGGGACTTGAACTTAGCTCTGGATCAAGTGGACCTGGTAGACGTCTACAGAACTCTACCCTAAATCAACAGAATATACATTCCTCTCAGTGCCACATGGCACTTATTCTAAAATCAACCACTAATTGGAAGCAAAACACTTCTCAGCAAAAGCAAAAGAACTGAAATCATAACAAACAGTCTCTCAGACCACAATACAATCAAATAGAACTTAGGATTAAGAAACTCGCTCAAAACCACACAATTTCATGGAAATTGAACAACCTGCTCCTGAATGACTCCTGGGTAAATAATGAAATTAAGGCAGAATCAAGAAGTTCTTTGAAACCAATGAGAACAAAGAGACAACGTACCAGAATCTCTGGGACATAGCTAAAGCAGTATTAAGAGGGAAATTTACAGCACTAAATGCCCACATCAGAAAGCTAGAAAGATCTCAAATCGACACCCTAACATCACAATTAAAAGAGCTAGAGAGGCAACAGCAAACTAATCCAAAAGCTAGCAGAAGGCCGGGCGCGGTGGCTCAAGCCTGTAATCCCAGCACTTTGGGAGGCCAAGGCGGGCAGATCACAAGGTCAGGAGATCAAGACCATCCTGGCTAACACGGTGAAACCCCGCCTCTATTAAAAGTACAAAAAATTAGCCAGGTGTGGTGGCGGGCGCCTGTAGTCCCAGCTACTCAGGAGGCTGAGGCAGGAGAACGGCATGAACCCCGGAGGCGGAGCTTGCAGTGAGCTGAGATTGCACCACTGCACTCCAGCTTGGGCGACAGATCAAAGCTTTGTCTCGAAAAAAAAAAAAAAAAAGGCTAGCAGAAGACAAGAAATAACTAAGATCAGAGAAGAACTGCAGGAGCTAGAGACACAAAAAACCCTCAAAAAAAAAATCAACAAATCCAGGAGCTGGTTTTCTGAAAAAATTAACAAAATAGATAGACTGCTAGCTAGACTAATGAAGAGAGAAGAATCAAATAGACAAAATAAAAAATGACAAAGGGGATATCACCACTGATCCCACAGAAATACAAACTACCATCAGAGAGTACTATAAACACCTCTACACAAATAAACTAGAAAATCTAGAAGAAATGGATAAATTCCTGGACACATATACCCTCCCAAGACTAAACCAGGAAGAACTCAGATCCCTGAATAGACTGATAAGAAGTCTGAAATTGAGGCAGTAATTAATAGCCTATCAACCAAAAAAAGTCCAGGACCACACGGATTTACAGCCGAATTCTACCAGAAGTACAAAGAGGAGCTGGTACTGTTCCTCCTGAAACTATTCTAAACAACTGAAAAGGAGGGACTCATTTTATGAGGCCTCATTTTATGAAGCCATCATCATCCTGATACCAAAACTGGGAAGAGACACAACAAAAAAAAGAAAACTTCAGGCCAAATATCCCTGATGAACATCAATGCAAAAATCTTCAATAAAATACTGGCAAACTGAATCCAGCAGCACATCACAAAACTTATCCACCACGATCAAGTCGGTTTCATCCCTGGGATGCAAGGCTGGTTCAACATATGCAAATCAACAAACATAATCCATCACATAAACAGATCCAAAGACAAAAACCACATGATTATCTCAATAGATGCAGAAAAGGCCTTTGATAAAATTCAACATGGCTTCATGTTAAAAACTCTCAGTAAACTAGGTATTGATGGAACATATCTCAAAATAATAAGAACTATTTATGACAAACCCACAGCCAATATCATACTCAACAGGCAAAAGCTGGAAGCATTCCCTTTAAAAACCAGTACAGGACAAGGATGCCCTCTCTCACCACTCCTATTCAACATAGTATTGGAAGTTCTGGCCAGGGCAATCAGACAAGATAAAGAAATAAAGCATATTCAAATAGGAAGAGAGGAAGTCAAGTTGTCTCTGTTTGAAGACAACATGATTTTATATTTAGAAAACCCCATCATCTCAGCCCAAAAACTTCTTGAACTGATAAGCAACTTCAGCAAAGTCTCAGGATATAAAATCAATGTGCAAAAATCACAAGCATTCCTTTACACCAACAATAGGCAAGCAGAAAGCCAAATCATGAATTAACTCCCATTCACAATCACTACAAAGAGAATAAAATACCTAGGAATACAGCTAACAAGGGATGTAAAGGACCTCTTCAAGGATAGCTACAAACCACTGCTCAAGGAAATAAGAGAGGACACAAACAAATGGAAAAACATTCCATGCTCATGGATAGGAAGAATCAATATAATGAAAATGGCCACACTGTCAAAATAATTTATAGATTCAATGCTATTCCCAAACAATTCACTGACATTCTTCACAGAATTAGAAAAAAACTATTTTAAATTTCATATGGAATCAAAGAAGACCCTGGATAGCCAAGACAATCCTAAGCAAAAAGAACAAAGCTGGAGGCATCATGCTACTATACTACAAGGCTTCAAACTATACTACAAGGCTACAGTAACCAAAACAGCATGGTACTGCTACCAAAACATAGAGACCAATGGAGCAGAACAGAGACCTCAGAAATAACACCACACATCTACAAACATCTGATCTTCAACAAAGTTAACAAAAACAAGCACTGGGGAAAGGATCTCCTATTCAGTAAATGGTGCCGGGAAAACTGGCTGGCCATATGCAGAAAACTGAAACTGGACCTCTTCCTTACATCTCATACAAAAATTAACTCAAGACGGATTAAAGACTTAAATGTAAAACCCAAAATAATAAAAACCCTAGAAGAAAACCTAGGCAATACCATTCAGGACATAGGCATGGGCAAAGACTTCATGACAAAAATGGCAAAAGCAATTGCAACAAAAGCCAAAATTGACAAATGGGATCTAATTAAACTAAAGAGCTTCTGCACAGCAAAAGAAACTATCATCGAAGTGAACAAGCAACCTACAGAATGGGAGAAAAGTTTTGCAATCTACCGATCTGATAAAGGTCTAATAGCCAGAATTTACAAGGAACTTAAACGTATTTACAAGAAAAAAACAAGCAACTCCATCAAAAAGTGGGCAAAGGATATGAACAGATGCTTCTCAAAAGAAGACATTTACGTGGCCAACAAACATGAAAAAAAGCTCAACATCACTGATCATCAGAGAAATGCAAATGAAAACCACAATGAGATACCACCTCATGCCAGTCAGAATGGCAGTTATTAAAAAGTCAGGAAACAACAGATGCTGGCGAGGCTGTGGAGAAATAAGAACGCTTTTACACTGTTGGTGGGAATGTAAATTAGTTCAACCATCGTAGAAGACAGTATGGTGATTCTTCAAGGATCTAGAACCAGAAATACCATTTGACCCAGTAATCCCATTACTGGGTATATACCCAAAGGAATATAAATCATTCTACTATAAAGACACATGCACATATATGTTTACTGCAGCACTACTGTTACAATAGCAAAGACATGGAACCAATCTAAATGCCATCAATGATAGACTGGATAAAGAAAATGTGGTACATACATACCATGGAATACTACGCAGCCATAAAAAGAAATGAGATCATTTCCTTTGCAGAGACATGGATGAACCTGGGAGACATCATCCTCAGCAAACTAACACAGGAACAGAAAACCAAACACTGCATGTTCTCACTCATAAGTGGGAGCGGAACACTGAGAACACATGGACACAGAGAGGGGAACAACACACACCAGGGCCTGTTGCAGGGTGAGGGGTGAGGGAAGGGAACTAAGAGTACGGGTCACTAGGTACAGCAAACCACCATGGCACACGTATACCTATGTAACAAACCTGCACGTTCTGCACATGTATCCCATTTTTTTTTTAGAAGAAATCTTTTAAAAAGAAATATTATGCATACACATAATATGGCCATTTTGCCAATAACATTCTGATTAGTTCAAAAGTGAAAATTAAAAGTCATGGAGTTTTGCAAAAAGGAAAAAAAAAAAAAAGAGCAAGGACTTTGGAGACAGAGAGCTCAGGTTCAGATTCTGGCTCCACTGCTAACCTTCTTGTGTTCTTTGAAAATCACTAAACTTCTCTATAACTCAGTTTCTCACCTGTAAAATGACCATAATAATAGTACTATCTAACAGGGTTTTTATGAGGATTAAATAAGAGCTAACATATGTAAAGTGTTTAGAACAATGCCCAACATATAAAAACTAGCTATTATCATTATCATTTTATTTTGTTGTTATTATTATGAATGGAGAGGAACACAATTAGCAAATAGCAAAAAGTAAGGACTATTAGTGATATAGGAGAAAAATAAAAGAAGGGCAAAGGGAAGAGAGTACCAGGACAGAAGTTACAATTTTTAAGAGGACAGTCAAGGAAAGTCTCACTGAGAAGGTGCTACCTAAGAAAAGACCTAAAGGAGGAAAGAGAACAAGCCAGCAGGTATGTGGAGAAGAACGTAACCCCTTTGTGAAGTACTTGGTGTACTTCACCATTTTATAGATGGGAGAACTGAGTCTCAGACTAAGGAAACTGTTACATGGCTGATAAATGACTGACCTGGAGTTGAATTCAGGACCACCTGATTCCAATCCCTTCTCCCTTGAGACACTGACTTCCATTCTTTTCTGGACCAAATCAAGATCAAAGGACCCTTTTCACATCAGCTTCTGCTATTGGAACTGAGATTTATAAATTCAATATGACTATACAAGCTCTCTAGGTTAATGGATTAACCAAATAAGTTAAAGGCATAGGCTGTTAACCCACTTGCCCACTCTCACACGCACTCTCTCTCACCCACCACTTCCTAAGAAGTTCCACACCAGGACCTCCATGTTAACTGCAGGCAGGGCACAGAAAACAGGCATTTATCAAAACCAACAAGCCTCAAATACCAAGAAGAAGAGGTAAATTATACATCAGAAACAAAGGCCACTTCTTCTAACCAGGCCTTTGAGGGGAAAAGCTCTGCTAGATGTGGGCTGTGAAGAAACTTGGATCAAAAGTGAGGTTCAACCTACTGAATCTGATCTAATCTAACCTTGGTATACAAGATCTATAGAAATAAGAAGAAAGGAGCTCCAGTGGCGCAATCAGTTAGCACATGGTACTTATGTGAAATAAGGAGAAAAAAAAAAACCCTCCATATCTCACCTTAGCTTTAAAGAAGGCAGTGATTCAAAATACTTTCAACAATATTTTCTCTGTATGTTTTGCCTGTGCTCATGAAATCCCTGTGAAAATATTAGAAATCTATTACAGGAAATCATTAGTGCTTCCAGGAGCAGTAGATTCTGGTCCTCCTCTACAACTTACTAGAAAAGTCACTTCAACTTCTGGGCCTCAGTTCCCCCATCCATTAGAAGCAGAGAATAGACAAGATATTCTTTAAAGGTCCTCCATCTTTAACCCTCTATAGCATACTATGTTAATATGATAATGTATAACACATTTAATATACTATATATCACATACATAATAATGAAACAGTATTCTGCACCTTCAGACTCAGACCCAAAATTCACTGATTCAATAAACATTAAGTACTAATAGTAAATCAGGCATTGAAAACACAGATATGCTAAATGACAAATTCATAAAAAGCTTCATTCACATATATTGCTTTCCCCACTCACATATATAATCATTTCAGAGTTAAGTTCCTACTAAAACAAACAAATAAAAAAACTTGACTCTAAGATTCTGTAGGTTTTTAAAAAATCACACTTAAGAGTGTTGCAAATCTTTTATTATCATATATTATACTTAACGACCCTTGAAAAGAAAACACACACACAACAAAATCCTCCCTATTAAAACATAGCTCACACTGATATTTCCTGGCTAAATCACTTATAGTCTGAACTACTCAGTTAGAGACTTTTGTTTTTTCCCCACGAACTATATGGTGGGAGCACGTGTAATTGTGTTCATATCTTTTTCTTACAACCAACCATTAGGTCCTTGGGAACAGACCCAACATCTTATTTTTCTTTGCCTCCCCAGTAAGACCATTTTATAATTTATTTATGATCCATCCAAGACTCATCCAAAAACAATGTGAAGTGGTTCATCTTATTAAGATATAAAAATAAGACAGTTAAAGATAAAAATAAACAAAACCCATCTGGGACAAAGTCCATTCTAAATTAAATAATCAAAATTCAGGTCCTACAAAGAGGGGAATAACAGACACTGAGGCCTACTAGAGGGTAGTGGCTGGGAGGAGGGAGGGGACCCAAAAAATAACTATTGGGTACTGGGGCTTAATACCTGGATGATGAAATAATCTGTACAACAAATCTGAGTTTACCTATATAACAAACCTATGTGTGTAATCTTGAACCTAAAAAAAAAGTTAAAAAAAATTTCAAGTCCTGATAATATCTACCATATACATGCCATGTTATTATTGGTAGTTTACTCATTTGTAAATGAACGTGCAATATTAACAACTGACCTCTGAATAATATTACAGGTTTGAAATGTACTGATCCACTTATATGCCTCCCTCTGACCCCCTGACCAAATATGGATCACAGGATGCGAAACCAGCATATATGAAGGGCCAACTTTTCATAATCAAGGTCCTGCAGGGCTAACTGCAGGACTTGGGTATGTGTAGATCTGGGTATTCACAGGGGATCTTGGAATTCAATCCCCTGGGTATACCGAGGGACAACTGTACTTCACAGATATAATACAATCAGCTGTTAGGCCAGACACTATTCAGTTCAAATCATAGCTCCATCACATAATTAATTGTGTAATCTTGGGCATAGTTACTTAACCTCTTTGGGTCTTAGCGTCATCTCTCTTAAGTGGTGATAATAACATTTTTACAGCTGATGTAAGAGTTAAATGAAATAGTAAAGCCATTTAGCACAATGTCTAGCACATAGTAAGTACTCAATAAAAAGGAGCATCACCTCTAGATTGTTTATTAAAATATTTTAAATAAGTGGGGGAAAGGCTCTGAAGTTTAAAGTGCTATGAAATGTTCAGAATGCTTATTACTATTACTCATATCCAAAATTAAGGAGCAAATTAATAAAAAAGGAAAAAAATATTCAAAGACAGTTGTCTTACACAACATAGTTCTCTCTTTTGCATTTCTAGCCTCCCTTCAAACATCTTTAATACACAATAAAATATGAGTGGAAATAAATGCAAGCTATGCATTTTCAACTGTCAGAAAGGTGAGGCCTGGGGCTTTTCCACCAAGTCGGAACAAAATTGCTACGTCTCCTACTTCTAGCCCTGCAGGTAGGTGCGTGCGTGCATGCGTGGGTGCGTGTGTGTGTGTGTGTCCCTGAGAATACCAGGGGTGGGTAGGGGTGTGTGGGTGTTTAGGGGTGTGTGCATATGTGGGTGTGTTTCCCCTGAGAGTACTAGGGGTGTGTGTGTGTGCACGCACACATGCCCTAATAGTACTAGACCACAGTAGTTCTCTCAGTCTGTGACCTGCTCTATAGGATGACAGGGGGTACAGCCTCCTGGCAGCAGAGGACATAAGACAACCAAAAAAGGGTAAGACAGAAGAAAAATACTCAAAAAGCCAGTGTAATATGATCACCAATGGGAACTAGTTTGTGCGTATATGTTGAATAAGCCAGTATGTGTGTAGTCACTGATCATTATGTTTTATTGCATTAAAACATAATGATGGCTTTATAAAGGGCAGTTCCCCTGCACATGCTCTCTTGCCTGCTGCCATGTAAGACATGCCTTTGCTCCTCCTTTGCCTTCCGCCATGACTGTGAGGCCTTCTCAATCATGTGGAACTGTGAGTCCATTAAACCTCTTTCCTTTATAAATTACTCAGTTTCAGGTATGTCTTTATTGGCAGTGTGAGAACGAGCTAATACACCAGTACAGCATCATTGTTATTACAGATATAGTAACTAAGGACCAGAGAGGGAAAGCAGCTTATCCATGATCACACAGGCAAGTCAAGGAGCAGAGCTGGATCAGAACTTAGGACAAGGCTGATTGTGAACTTGAGTATAAAGTGTGTTAGGAAGGGAGTCTGTTAAAAACCTTATCATTTGTTAACAAATCTCCAAGGATGGCTTAAGAATTCCCACAGTTACAAATCCTGCTATTAAGTGGGAGTCACTAAGTAAATCCTGCTAAGTAAATAATTCCCATCCACCACTGCCTTGTTGAATGTTTTTCAAACGTTCACCTCAGAAAAATGGGAAATTATGACATGTCATGGACCTTTGAAGCTGCTCAAGAATAGTCAAAGCACCACATATTAAGTACATCAAAGTGAGATGTCCACCACAAAACCCCAATTTGTAAAGGGCAAAAAGGCAGACAGTTCTATACCCAACTGCTGTACAGGGTTCCCATAACTAACTTTATAGAGGGATCAGTGGTATTAATAGAAATAAAAATTAAATCCCCAAATCTAGAATTCTAGGCTTTTAAGACCTATCAGCCTCCACTCTCCAGCACTTAACAATGTTCTAGGCAAACTGAACAGGTGCTTGGCTTTCTAAACTGTATAAAGAGGAAGAGAAGTATGTGTTCACTTTCCCTCCACAAATTTTATGCCATCTATGTAAATTCAAATCCTGGCCATCCTTCAGGCCTAGTTCAAAGCTCCCAACTCTGGGAGGCTTTCCCTAAAAAGCCCATAGTACAGAGATCCCCTTTTCACCTTTTTCCTCCAGCATTTCTCACTGCTTTCCCTTTACCGCCATTCACTTAATTCAACTTGTGCTCTGGCCATATTAGTCTAATTGCTTCTCTCCAAGTGCAGCTAACACTCACTGCCTCCAGAGCTCTGCTCCGTCTGTTTCTCCCCCATGAAAATCATACCAATCCACTCATAGTGTACTAGAAAGAAGACTAGACAACTCAGATTCAGAATATCTGAGTTGGAACCTTGGATCCATCTATTCGTAGCTAAGATCCTCCATCCAAGCCTACCTAGCTCTTTCAACTAGGCAACACATCCCCATTATGCAAAACCTGATAATAACCACTAATTTAATAAACCTGAGAGGTTATTAGGCATATCTTTGAGGGATAAGAGATAAGGCGTAATCTCTGTCCTCTAAAGAGCACGTGACCTTATGTGAGTAGAAAATTAGGAGGTAGTAGAGCCTCGTAGGGAGAAAAACTGGCCTGGAGTCAAGGCATCAAAGTCCTAGTCTCACCTCTGCCACAGAATATGTGGGATCTGGGTAAGTATTAGGTTAGTGCAAAAGTAATTGCAGTTTTTTGCCCTTACTTTTGCACTAACCTAATACTTTCACTTTATTGGGCCTAAGCTTTCTTCCTCTGTAAAATGAGCAGGGATTAGAGGCTGTCTCAGCTTTGATATTCTGTGGAAAATAACCACAGTACTAGCCCGTTCATGAGGTAAGCCAAAAGGGGGTACATCCTACCAGGATTCGGAATAATTTCCCATATTGTAACTTATTACTCCGGAAAAAAAGAACCATTTGGATATATAGGTATGGTCTGAGCTATGATATCAATTGGCTTCCTAGGGTTTATTGTGTGAGCACACCATATATTTACAGTAGGAATGGACGTAGACAGATAATGCCTAATGTAATCAGAAACAAGCTGCTGAATTCAATGGAAGCTGCTCTGTGACCACCAGATCCAATGGAACCTCAAAGCGGGAATGGAAAAGTTGAAGCCAGATGATGAATGCATCTGTTGCTAGGAGGTCATGGCTAATCACAGGAACACTTCTCATTCACAGGAAGCTCCACACAAACCCTCCATTCAGGTCCCAAGGTCCCTTCCCACAAAAGGAACCTCGTGGCCCAGAAAAGGAAAGGTACCAGTCAGGAGCCTGGAGACACAGACAACGGACAAAGCCAAATGGTGCAGAGCCCATTCAGCCCAGAGCCAAGGCCACATCTTGGGCCTTCTCAATTGTCAGGTTTTTTTTTTTCCTCCCTCGGGTAAAGGGAGCAATAAGCTCCAGTAGCACTGAATTTTTCTTTTTTTTTCTTTTTTTTGAGATGGAGTCCAGCTCTGTCGCCCAGGCTGGAGTGCAGTGTGCGATCTCAGCTCACTGCAAGCTCTGCCTCCTGGGTTCCCGCCATTCTCCTGCCTCAGCCTCCCAAGTAGCTGAGACTACAGGCACCGGCCACTACGCCCGGCTAATTTTTTATATTTTCAGTAGAGACGGGGTTTCACCTGTGTTAGCCAGGATGGTCTCGATCTCCTGACCTTGTGATCTGCCCACCTTGGCTTCCCAAAGTGCTGGGATTACAGGCATGGCCACCGCGCCCGGCTGAATTTTTCAAAATATGTAATGAATCTTAAGCTGTTTTAGCCAAAAACAGTTTTTGCTTTGTAGGACTTATTTGCAAATTTCAGAGAAATAGCAGCAAATTCTTTCTGTAAGCATCAGAAAGAGTAAAAACACAGGTTTTGCACCTCGTCAGAGTCAGGTTCAATCTAAGCTCAACTATTTAATATCTAGATGATGTTGTGCAAGCTATTTAACATCTCCGAGTCTTAGTTTCCTCATCTGTAGTAATGTGACTAAGGATCCCCACACTTCACAGGATTAGCCTGAGAATCAAATAAGATACATGAGAAGCACATTTCAGCCACTCTGTGTGTTCCTCTTTCCTTCTTGCTCCCATGTCACAGTGTATTTATTTCTACTACAGCATTAATCCTAATATAAAGTATGATCTAGCTATCTATTAGTATCTTTACATACTCTTTATCTGTCTCTGTCATGAGATTGCGAACAGCTTGCAAACAGGGGAAGTATTTTAATCCATATTTGAGATCCCCTAAAACAATACCTGGCACACAGTAGAACCCTTAGGAAACTGGATAAATGTGCCTACCATGTGTCCAGTCCTATGCTAGGTACTATATAAGGAATGAAAAAATGATCACAATAATATTGAACATAATAAATGCATAACAACAAACACATATAATTTACTTTGTGCTAGGCACTAAGCCCTTTAACTCTTTCCGTGCTCCCATATCACGCTTATAACTACCTGATGAGTAGGTATTATTATACCTACATTTTTTATGAGAAAACTGGGGCACAGAAAGGTTAAGTAGCTTTCCCAAGTCCAAAAGAGGCAAATCCATAGAGAAAGAATGTAGATTATTGGTTGTCAGGGCCTAGGAAGAGGAGAGAATGAGAAGTGGCTGCTAATAGGTACAAAGTTTATTTTGAGGGTGATGAAAATATTCTAAAATTAGATAGATGTGATATTTGCACAAGTCTGTGACTATACTAGAAACCTCTGAATTGTGTACTTTCAAAGGGGGATAAGGGTGGATTTTACAATATATGAATTATATCTCAATAAAGCTATTTTATTAAAAAAGAAAAAAAAAACCAACCTTGCCCAGGGGTCAGAGAGCTAGGAATTGGCAGACCCAGAATTCTGACCCTTAAAATCTGTGCTTTTAACCACTATTCTATACTGCACTATTCTATACTAAAAAGTTAAAATCTAGTACTATCTAGTTATTATTATTTACATAAATATAATACAGCTAGCTAGCTAGCTAGACAGATAGAAACACAGAGGCTATAGATACTGGAAAGAAAACAAGGCCTGGAATTGCAGATGTTCAATAATATTTAGTTGAATTGAACTGAAAAATATGCCCATTTATTAATTTAATCCCTGACCTCAAGGCATTCAGTATAAAACATGGTCCAGACACACTAGCAAACTCGTCCTAATGTAAAGCTGGAAGGAAACATGCACTATGTAAAGATATTGCCCTAGGGAAACATCTGCCGTAAAGTAGTCTGGCAGGGATATTCAATATCACTGACTATCCATAAGCTCCTCAACAGTTTCCAGTTCCATGTTTTCTCTCTTGTAGTTAGCACCATATGACCAGTTTTGGCCAATGTTCTATGAACAGAAATGACATGTCTCACTTCCAGGTCAAAGTTTTGTTTTTTTTTTTAATTTTTTTTTTTTTTTTTTTTTTGAGACGGAGTCTTGCTCTATCGCCCAGGCTGGAGTGCAGTGGCGCGATCTCAGCTCACTGCAAGCTCTGCCTCCCAGGTTCACGCCATTCTCCTGCCTCAGCCTCCCGAGTAGCTGGGACTACAGGCGTCCAACACCATGCCCAGCTAATTTTTTTTTTTTTGTATTTTTAGTAGAGATGGGATGTCACCATGTTAGCCAGGATGGTCTCGATCTCCTGACCTTGTGATCCACCCACCTTGGCCTCCCAAAGTGCTGGGATTACAGGCATGAGCACCGCGCCCCACCCAGGTAAAAGAATTTAAAAGCTAGTATATGACTCTTCTGCTCTCTCTCATCTACAAAGGCACCCTAGAAATCTCATGTTGAGATGGCAGCATCATAAGACTGAAGCAGCCTAAATACATTAGACGTCACATCCTGGAGGACGACGGCCCTCCAGAGTCACCTGACCTGCACTGGAATTCATAAGCAAGAATTCAACAAATCGTTTTTATATTAAACCACTGAAATCTTGGGGCCAATAAGTTACCACAGCATAATTCTGCCTGTCTAATATAACAAAAAACAAACCCAGAATATGTGAATTCAAATCTGTACTCTACCACTTACATTTTGGCTATGTTATTTGAACTTTCTGGCCCTTGGTTTACTCATCTTTAAAATGGAGGTAGTGGCCAGGTATGGTGACTCATGCCTATAATCCTAGCACTTAGGGAGGCCGAGGTGGGCAGATTGCTTGAGCCCAGGAATTTGAGACCAGCCTGGGCAACATGGCAAAACCCTCTCTCTATAAAAAAATACAAAATTTAGCCCAGAGTTATGGTACATGCCTGTAGTCCCAGTTACTCAGGAGGCTGAGGCTGCAGTGAGCCATGATCACACCACTGTACTCCAGCCTGAGCAACAGAGTGAGACTCTCTCTCAAAAAATAAATAAAATAAAAAGAAGGTAGTGAGCAGGCCACTGTACTCCAGCCTGGGCAACAGAGTGAGACCCTCTCTCAAAAAATAAAACAAAATAAAAAAAAGGTAGTGACAACACTGTCCTTTCAGAGTTGTTATGATAGTTAAATGAAATATATAAACGCACCTGGCATAATACAACTGCTTTTGAGAAAAAAAACTGAATCTGGTGCTTGATTGAGAAATTCTAATTGAATTTCTATGTTGTCAAAAGCAAGAAAGGACATACATAGTGTTTGAGGGAAATTGTGCTTTAACTAGTTTAGAAAGAACAGTTAATTGTTTCTCTAGGGGAGAAAAAAACAATCCCAGACTTCTGTCTGTACAACACTTTATTTGTATGTCCAAAATAACCTCCCTGTGAGGTGCAGTGGCTCACATCTGTAATCCCAACACTTGGGAGGCCAAAGCAGGTGGATCACTTGAGTCCAGGAGTTCAAGACCAGCCTGAGCAACATGGCAAGACCCCTGTCTATACAAAAATACAAAAAATTAACCGAGCATGGTGGTGTGCTCCTGTAGTCCCAGCTACTCAGAAGGGTGAGGTAGGAAGATCACCTGAACCCAGGAGGTTGAGGCTACAGTGAGCCATGATTACAGTACTGCATTCCAGCCTGTGTGACAGAGTGAGACTCTGCCATCCATCCATCCATCCATCCATCCATCCATCCATCCATCCATCCATCCATCACCTGTACACTACTACATTTGATCTTCACAAGGGTCCAGGAAAGCAAAGATCCTTATCAAAGAAAGATTAACACAAGCCCCCAAAGCTTAATCTACACCTACCCATGGACCAGTGGGAAGAGAACAGTGTCCTTTTAAAGCAATGGAAAGGAAAAGTACTTAACCTATCAGTAGCTCCCCACAACCACCTCAAGGAGTGATAGAGGTGCCATAATTTGTTCTGCCCCAAAATAGCTCCCTCTGGCCCATTTATAGTGCCTAAGATTCCTTCATTAAGATACTCACTCCAGGAAGGGATAATACAGCATCAACAATTAACACATAAGTTCTTATAAACCAATGAAACGGCCAGGCACAGTGGCTCACGCCTGTAAGCCCAGCACTTTAGGAGGCCAAGGCAGGCAGATCACCTGAGGACATGAGTTCAAGACCAGCCTGACCAATACGGTGAAGCTCCATCTCTGCCAAAAATACAAAATTAGTCGGGTGTGGTGGCAGATGCCTGTAATCCAAGCTACTCCGGAGGCTGAGGCAGGAGATCACCTGAACCCGAGAGGCAGAGGTTGCAGTGAGCCGAGATTGTGCCATTGCACTCTAGCTGCGGTAACAAGAGCAAAACTCTGTCTCAAAAAAAAAAAAAAAAAGAAAAGAAACAACTATCTATTAATTAATTTTAAAAGGAAAAGAAAAAGTACCATTACCAATCTATCTCATTAACAACAACAAAAAAATTTCTAGGGGAGATATAAAAAAAACTATAATCATTCATAATATATAAATTATAAAATCCCATGACCTAACATAGGGGCTCAATTGAACTGGCGCTAATCAAGAATAGAAATGTCATAGAAAGAATGAGGTTGAGGAAACACTTCTCACAGGACAAGTATCATGAAAGAGGTAACATTTTGGCTCAGTCTTAAGGGTCTTAAGAATCAGAATCTTCTGGCCAGGCTCACACCTGTAATCCCAGCACTTTGGGAGGCTGAGGCGGGCGGATCACAAGGTCAGGAGATCGAGACCATCCTGGCCAACGTGGTGAAACCCCGTCTCTACGAAAAATACAAAAATTAGGTGGGTATGGTGGCATATGCCTGTAATCCCAGCTACTTAGGAGGCTGAGGCAGGAGAATCGCTTGAACCCAGGAGGCGGAGGTTGCAGTGAGCCGAGATCGTGCCACTGCACTCCAGCCTGGTGACAGACTGAGACTCTGCCTTTAAAAAAAAAAAAAAAAAGAATCAGAATCATCTTAGAAAACTCCTCAAAGGCATTAAGATTTCTGGCTCTTTGGGGGAACATCTGGGAGCTCTATAAAATGAACTTAGAATATAATATAAAAGGCTTGTAGTCAAAAGACCTAAATGTGTCCTGGCTCTGTCCTTTATTAGCTGTGTTACCTCATGAAAGTTACTTAACCTCTCTGGTTTCAATTTTTTCATTTGTAAAATGGAGAATAAAACCACTTACTTTACTGGATTGTCAAAATAATTAAATGAGAGAAATTGTTGAGGAAGTGCCTGATAAACTGAGATTGTTAACAACACTTAACTCTAAATGAATATCCTTGGGACTAATACCCCTCCATCCCTATACTATGATAGAATCAAGTTTAAGTAATTTTCTACTGTTAAATTATTGCTGGAACTGAATGCTGTTACATTTCTAATAATTATACTTCAAACTAAGCCCAATTAAAGTTTACTTTTAAATGTAGAGTCCTTACCTCCTTCTCTAGGTTTCTGCAGAACTTCATGTTAAACTTCTAATATATATATTTTTTCCATGTCCACCTCTTCTCATAGATTTTGAGTGTCTCTAGGCAGAGTGTCTCATGGGCAATTCACTTCTAATTCAGTGCCTAGCAGGAAACGTCTGTTGTGTTGTCTACAAATGAGTCAATGGACCTCTGGTACTTTAAAGAATGTCTGCATGTTAGAAAACCCCTCATTCATTCATCCAAAAATATTTATTATGCACTTTCTATGTGCCTGCTCAATCTTACAGAAGCAGCAATAAACAAAAGAGACATTATCCCTGCCTTCATGGAGTTTACTATCTAGTGGGAAAGACATATATGAATCAAATAATTTCAAGTATACTAATAAATTATTTTTTAAAATGCAGATTGCTATGGGAGCTTACAGTAGACAAGAGCATGTAGTAACCAAAAATTTGTAGCTGTAATTACGGCATTTGCGAGACCACTGATTCTACATACTTGCAGTGGCACAATCACAGCTCACTATAACTTCGAACTCCTGGGCCCAAGCAATCCTCCCACCTCAGCCTCCCGAGTAGCTAGGACGACATGTGTGCATCACCACACTCAGCTAATTTTTAAATTTTTTGTAGAGACATTGTCATGTTGTTCACACTGGTCTTAAATGATCCTCTCACCTCGGCCTCCCAAAGTGCTGGGGTTACAGGTGTAAACCACCACACCCAGCCTCTACATACTTTTTAAAAAGTAACTGAGTAGTAAATCATCTCCCCCATCCCAATTTCCACCCCCCTTCCCCTCATGCAGCTAGTCGAGAATCCAGATTACCTGACTGCTAGAAGCTATTTGCTCTTTTTACTATTCCAATTCATAGATTTCTAAGTCCAACAGAAAAAGATTCTATATTATTAACAGTGAAAGGGTACTGTTTCGGCGGGGGCGGGGGGTGGTTAATACATGACGTGGTGGATTGTGATTGTCCATTAGTTCTTCGGAAGGTACACTCCTAACATGCAGAAATAAATACTTCTGTCTCTTAAGAGGATCAGGGAAAAACAATAACTCAGAAGTGTCTTTTATACTATACAACCTTGTTTATACTATACGACCTTGGCTCAGGAATACCAATTACTTTTTGAAATACCCAATATGACCTTCAGTGTTTTTTAACACGAAGGCAGATACTGTAGCTTTTTAACATAAAATAGGAAGCATTTGCCATTCATACAAGGGTCAATTACAGAAGCAGAAGATTTGAAACCAGTCCTTTCAGCGTTATGTCACAACTCAATAGCAAATGTCTATTCAAAAAAAAAGGAGTGGGGACTGTCAATGATTCCACTTACTGCCTTGCAGGCAGGAGCAAAGGCAATCTGGTTCACTACTGCATTCTCAGTGTCTAACACAGTGTCCAGGTCTTGACACATACTAGTACTTGTTGAAAGCCTGAAAGAATGAAGAAACTACATTTTTAAACAGGTTTTCTTTTTCTATCACTAGTAAGTGACAGAACCAAGCTCTGAACTCCTGACTTTTACACCGTAGTGGTGACTATCCAGGGATATTAGAGAGTAGTATATAGGCCTATAACCAGGCTGAATCAATCTCCCAGGGAAGATATGCAGTACCCAGCTAGGAATAATCTCTTGCAACAGATTGTATTTTCCAAAGATGGTCACAATAACATCTCTGCTATAGTTTGGAAATCTGACCTTCCAAACCTCATGTTGAAATTTGATCCCCTATCCTAAGTGAAATAAAAGAAATTTTAAAATATTAAAAAACATTAAAAATTAAAAATTAATTAAAAATTAAAATATTTTCATATTAAAATATTTTTTAAAAAGAAATCTGATCCCCAGTGTTGGAGGTGGGGCCTAGTGGGAGGTATGTAGGTCATGGAGGCAGATCCCTCATAAATAGATTAATGTGGGGAGGGGGCGTGGAATTGTGGTGGGGGAAAAGTTCTTGCTCTGTTTGTTCCCTCCAGTGCTGGCTCTTAAAACGAATTTGGGCCAGGTGCAGTGGCTCACACCTGTAATCCCAGTACTTTGGGAGGCTGAGGCGGGTGGATCACGAGGTCAGGAGTTCGAAACCAGCCTGGCCAACATGGTGAAACCCCATCTCTACTAAAAAATACAAAAATTAGCTGGGCGTGGTCGTGCGCACCTGTAGTCCCAGATACTCAGGAGGCTGAGGCAGGAGAATTGCTTGAACCCGGGAGGCAGAGGTTGCAGTGAGCCAAGATTGCGCCACTGCACTCCAGCCTGGGAGACAGAGTGAGACTGTCTCAAAAAAAATTGGCACCTCCCTCAACTTCCTCTCTCACCATGTAATTTCACTGGCTCCCCTTCCCCTTCTGCCATGAGTGGAAGCAGCCTGAAGCCCTCACCAGAAGCAGATGCTGATGCCATGCTTCCCACACAGCCTACAGGACCATGAGCCAAAGAAGCCCCTTTTCTTTATAAATTACAGTCTTAGGTATTCCTTTATAGCAACACAAATGGACTGAGACAATCTCCCATCCCACATGCTCTACCACAATGTGATCTTGCCACAACTCCATCAAGAGGTAGATACTATTTCTCCTCCCCTTGAATCTGGGTGGGTCTGATCTTATGAATACCATTAGAATGCAGCTTTTGCCTGGTTTTCATGGGATGCTTCCTAGGAAGGAACCATGAAAAAAAATGTAAGGGTCTCCTTCATTCATTCAGGCTTTCAACAAATATTTGTTATGAGTTCCTACCATGTGTCAGGCCCCAGACATTGTGTTAGGCACTGAGAATGCAATTATGCATTACTCAGCCACTGCCCCATCCTCAGAGTTTACACTCTAGAGGAGGAAAGAGATGAAGGACAAGTGGGACAGACTAATACATCCTATAATTACAACATGTAACAGAAGCTTATAAAGAAGCAAAAAGAGATTTGCTTGAGGATGGCAAGTCAAGAAAGGGCATTCCAAGGCAGTGACAATTAAACAAGCCATAACAGAGGAGTAGTTAGCCATGATGGAGAGAGGAACAGGCAAATATTTTAGGAAAAAGAACAGCATGAGCAAAGTCACTGAAGGAGAAAAAAGCTTGACAGGCTCTCAGAGGAGCTGAGAGATGATGAGGATAGCTGGAACACAGAGAACAAGGGAGAGAGCAGCACAAAGACCAGAGCATGTATGTGTGTGTGTGTGTGCGTGTGCGTTTGTGTGTGTATACATATATATATGTATATTTTTTTTTTCAAGAGATAGGGTCTCACTATGTTGCCCAGACTGGTCTCAAACTCCTGGGCTCAAGTAATTCTCCCACCTCAAACTCCTGAGTAGCTGAGACTACAGGTAGTGACTCTGCCCAGTACATAGATTTTTGAAGCAATATTGTTGGGTTAATCACAGGTCAAGAAGTGTAGCATATCAGATTCACCTCTTAAAATTATAATTTTATTATTATTATTATTATTTTGGAGGCAGAGTCTCACTCTGTCACCAGGCTGGAGTGCAGTGGCACAATCTCGGCTCACTGCAACCTCTGCCTCCCTGGTTCAAGCAATTCTCCTGCCTCAGCTTCCTAAGTAGCTGGGACTACAGGCGTGCACCACCATGCCCAGCTAATTTTTTTTTTTATTTTTAGTAGAGATGGGGTTTCACCATGTTGGCCAGGATGGTCTCGATCTCCTGACCTCGTGATCCACCCGCCTCAGCCTCCCAAAGTGCTGGGATTACAGGCGTGAGCCACCGCGCCTGGCCTAATTTTATTATTGTTTTAAAGCTAGCTTTATATAATTTCAGATATAAAACAAAATAACTCAAGTAATAAATGCTGGTACTGAATACTGTATAACTAGATGTAGTCACATAGAAAGCACATTATGCAAAAATGGGACTGTTTCCAAGACAAAGGAACATATGGTTTGAAGGCCTTCCTGTAATTAACCTCTTTAGAATTTCAGGGCACAGAAAGACAGGGCTGACTTTCTCATTGCCTCATTAATGGTGCATTACATAAATCACACCTGATTCGACCTAATTTTGTTAGCAGTCATCTCAAAATGTTTCACTGAAATTATAATCCTTGAATGAAAAGGATAATCAATGCTGTCACCAAAGGATGCCCTGTCTAAAATGAAACTCAGCCCCTTTATATATTCAGAACATCAATGAGGCTCCCTACATAACCTGTCCAATGGCTTTGTTCCTCTCTTATCAGGTGTCAAGCCATTCAAAAAAAAAAAAGATGTGGTTATATATTATTTTAAACCACTGTCAAACATCTGTTCAATCCCCCAAAGAAAATGGAAATAAGCAGCTAAAAAAAAAAACAGTACTGGTAACGGGTTCCAGGAAACCACCTCACAAGACCAGGGACCTTCCAACAAACACTACCTTAAAGTGTTTTGATCTAGAAAACTGTCTTTTACATTTGTTGAAACCAGTAGGTTCCAAGTGATAAATGAGCTGATAAAGTTTCATTGTGATAAAATAGTTTCAGGAAATATATGTGCTATCATTTTAATAAGACTGATTATAGCCTTATAATTTGACAGGATTGGTAGGTTGTTCTGCATGTGCGACCTAGCCTATGAATGTTGATTATCTCAGTAAGTGCCACAGTCCTTTCCAGTTAGCCCCATAAAAGAAATCTTTTGGCCCCCTCTCCAGGGAAGCCTGAATAACAGGACACACACCCTATACTACTATTGTGTGTACTATTGTTGCAACTGAAGGGACTGTTCCTCAGGGACAAGAGAGCTGAGACACAACCTACCCTACTACCCTACCCACCCTCTCATCATGGGCACTTGACCAAGCTGAGGGGCCCCCTCTTCCATTCCACTGAGCCCAAGGGTGGAAGGAGATTAGAAAAAAAAAACAAAAAAAGAAGAAGAAAACTCTGCTCTTCTTTTTTGTTCATATCTAGTTAGAACTTTTGCTCTGGTGGAGATGGAGAGGTAGGGGATAACTGCTCCTAATTTCCTCTTTAGAACTAGGAATTAGTCTTTACCTGGATAAAACAACCACAGATTATCTTCACTAAGCAAAGAAAACACAGGGAGCTTGCAGCTAATGTCTGAGAAGAAGAATGCTTTAATGGTAATAACAACGGGGAAGGGGACAATCTAGTATTTGATGTAAACCACCAGGATACTGACTCATCCTGAGGCCCTCATTCTGGGCTTGAAGCTGTTAGTTGGCAAATGAGGGCAAAGAATGATTCCCCAGCACTAGACAATGGGACTCCTCACTGAGAATAAAACTGTCACACATGATGGATGAGTGACAAATTATTTACAGAAGTAACCCAAAAGACTACATGAGGCACAGCAAATTTGGGAACAGTAGAGTTCAACAAAGGTGTTAAGGAGGGAATTCTCAAGGAAGTTGAAACTGTACCCTAGAAAAGAAGATATCCTACTTTACTAAAAGGAGGAAAAAAACCAAGGAAAGTAATGGAGCATAGCTTGCACTCAAGTTCTCTGACTTCTAAACTCTGGCTGTGACTTCCCTCTTACCACAGGGGTATTTTGTCAGGGGCCAGCAATCAACTTTTAAATTGAAGAGCATGGATCTATGTAATTCCTATAAAGGGGTATCTCTAGTCCACCAAAAAAAAAAAAAATGGACATGGCTGCAGAACTGACATTTTGGAAAGCAATTTTATGTTAATTTATTAACACAGAATCAGCTACTCAGGAACCGGGGTCATCAGGACTCTGGGTTTTTTTTGTTTGTTTGTTTTGAGACGGAGTCTCGTTCTGTCGCCCAGGCTGGAGTGCAGTGGTGCGATCTCGGCTCACTCCAAGCTCCGGCTCACTGCAAGCACCACCTCCCAGGTTCACGCCATTCTCCTGCCTCAGCCTCCCAAGTAGCTGGGACTACAGGTGCCTGCCACCATGCCCAGCTAATTTTTTGTATTTTTAGTAGAGATGGGGTTTTACTGTGTTAGCCAGGATGGTACCAATCTCCTGACATCATGATCCACCCACCTCAGCCTCCCAAAGTGCTGGGATTACAGGTGTGAGCCACCACGCCTGGCCAGGAACTGGGGTCATTAGGACTTTTACTGGCTATGTCAGATACTTTGCAGTGTCCCAAATGCGGAGGTTGTAACAGCCAATATAAAAGACAATGAGGCCAGGCATGGTGGCTCACGCCTGTAATCCCAGCACTTTGGGAGGTCAAGGAGGGTGGATCACCTGAAGTCAGGAGTTTGTGACCAGACTGGCCAACATGGAGAAACCCAGTCTCTACTAAAAATACAAAAATTAGCCAGGCATAGTGGCGGGCATCTGTAATTCCAGTTACTTGAGAGGCTGAGGCAGGAGAATTGCTTGAACCCAGGAGGTGGAGGTTGCAGTGAGCAGAGATAACACCACTGAACTCCAGCCTGGGCAACAGAGCAAGACTCTGTCTCAAACAAAAAACAAAACAAAACAAAACACACACACACACAATGAGAGGAGGGGGCTGCTGGAACCACAGGTTTACTCATGTGAACATCACCAGCAAACACTCCAAAGAAGGTTTCTGCTTTCTCTAGAGCAGAAAGGGCAATGGTGAGAGTCAGAGAGTCAGAGCCAGAACTGGAGTTTCAGCTTCTCTAGTAACTCATTCTAAAAACCTTTGGTCCCCTAATTCTACAGGCCTTATTTCCATGTATGGTAATAACGCTTTACTTCATATGTTTTTGGGGAGAAGGAAGGCATAATGATCATTTATAATTTTATTTTATTTTATTTATTTTTTAAGAGACAGGGTCCTGCTATGTTGCACAGGCTGGCCTTGAAGTTGGGCTCAAGTGATCCTCCTACCTCTGCCTCCCCAGTAGCTGACACTATAGGCACACAGTGACCGCCTTAATTTTACATTTGATTAAAGCTAATAGATTGATAGTTTCACAAGTCAAACTCAATACTATAAGGCTTATATCAAAAAAGCAGCAATCCCCTATCTTACCTTTGACCTCTGCTTCCCAATGGTAATCACGTTCAACTTTTAGCACCATGCCTGGTTAATTTTTCTGTTTTTGTAGGGACGGGGTTTCGCCACGTTGCCCAGGCTGGTCTCAAACTCTTCCTGGACCCAAGCCATCTTCCCACCTCAGCCTCCCAAAGTGCTTGGATTACAGGTGTGAGCCACCATGCCCAGCCCCTCTTCCTTTTCTATCTCATTTAGGTATATCAAACTACCAAGTTTCCTGAGATAGCACAGGTAGGAGATAAATCTTTTGAGATACTGCATATCTGAAAATGTCTCTTTTCCCCTATTTTTTTTTTTTTGAAGAGAGAGCATCTCACTCTGTCGCCCAAGCCAGAGTACAATGCTGTGATCATAACTCACTGTAACCTCAAACTCCTGGGCTCAAGCAATCCTCCCATCTTGGCCTCTCAAAGCACTGGTATAGGTAGGAGCCACTGCCCCCGGCCCCTACTCTCATAATTAATTGTTAGTTTTGACTGGGTATAGAATTATAGCTTGAAAATCCTTTCCTCTCAGAATGTAAGATAATTCCTCCACTTTCTTCTAGCTTCCAATACTGCTTTTGAGAAATCAAATGCTTTTGTATATAACCTCTTAATTCTCTCTGGAAGCTTTTATATTCTCATTTCGAAATTTTATGGTGTTCTGAAATTTTATGGTGTTGTGTTTCTTTTTTCATTCAGTGTATTGAGAATTGATAGGGTTTTCAATCTAAGCACATGTGTACTTAAGTCCTGGGAAAAGTATAATTTCTTTGATGATTTCTTTCACTTCATAAGCCAAAACCTAACTATGAGGAGATCCAAAATCTAACTATGAGGAGTTTCTCTAACTAGAGAAACTGGAGAAAAGAAAATCATTAAAAAAATAAAATTAATATTCTTAAATTTAAATCTTTTAAATTTAAATAAATCTTAAACTGATCCTCTAATTTATTTCTTTCCTCTTCTATTTTCTACTTGTTTTCATTCTACCTTATTTTTGATATTATATACATATATATGTGTGTGTGTATATGTATGTGTATATATATATATGAAATAGAGTCTTGCTCTGTTGCCCAGGCTGGAGTACAGTGGCATGTTCTCAGCTCACTGCAACCTCCGCCTCCCAGACTCAGGCAATTCTCATGCCTCACCCTCCCAAGTAGCTCGGATTACAAGCATGCGCCACCATGCCTGCCTAATTTTTTGTATTTTTAGTGAAGACAGGGTTTCACCATGTTGGTCAGGCTGGTCTCGAACTCCTGGCCTCAAGATGATCCACCTGCCTCGGCCTCACAAAGTGCTGGGATTACAGGCAAGAGCCGCTGCATCCAGCCTACTTTCAATACTGTATTTTTAAGTGTTCAAAAATTATTTCTTGCTGACTATTCCTTTTTCAAATAGGACCTTATTCTTGTTTCACTAAGGTAATAACTTTTTTGATCTGAGTTTTTTGCAATTTTTTTTTTTTTTGCTCCTACATTGTTTCTCTTGTGCTTGTATGCTTTCCCTTTCCCTCAATCCTTCTCCCCTCTCCATTCCCTCTCTTTTTTGGGGGGTAGGGTTCCTTCTATATGTTTCTTTTAGTTTCTGTCATTCATGCTAGACGTTTTTCTCAAATATCAGGTGATCTTTGCCTATTCTTTCATATTTAAGACTAAGAAACATACAGACACGTACGAACAGTAGAGCATTTTAATTGCTAAGTTTCACTGTAACAAGACAAAATGCCATGCCAATTTTTTTTAAACTGGGGAAAGGGACGTTCAAATGTCTATGGGTCAGTTTCTCAGCAATACATCCTCCAGTCTCCTATCTGAGGAGATTAAGTTTGACTACCTATATCTGGGAACTAAGAACTGAATGAAGACCTTCACTAAATCCCTGTTTTGGGAATGTCACCTCTCAGCTGAGTCTAGCATCCCCAAGTACAGGTCCTGCCTGATTTTATTTCTCCAGAAAATAAACCTCCAAAGTTCTGCTGAGAAAGGATGTGGGAGTTTAATTGTTCCTTATATAACCTTTGAACTAATCCTCCTCTTTTCACAGCTCTACCTCTCAACATTTGAGAACCTCTAATACCTAGGCTAGGGTCTGTACCACAAAATGACTGTTGATACTGACATTCCTCTGCAGCCTAAGTTTTCTGCTTTCTGCAACTTGCTAAATTGTTCACAACCTGCACCTCTTTTCCATCTTCCAAAATCTTGTTCCCTCTCATTTACTATTATCTCCTCTCCTATCTTCTTAGCCCTTGCGAAATACCAGTTCTGTTCCATTTCAATGTTTTTGAAAAGATATAAGATGTACATGTTCAAATTACCTTATTTTAATTGCAAGCCCCCTCATGAAGTTCTTGAAAGGACAAAAGACATAAAGAATATGAAAGTTTCTTGGAAAACTCAGAAAATAAATTTTAACTGGTAGTGTTAACAGGGGTAGTAGTATGCTGTTTTTTTGAACAGTTAGCCTAGTATAAAGGACTATTTTCTTTGGTGCTCTAGGGATGCACAAAGTTTCATAAATAAAAATCAAAAATATTTGCACCATGTATATCAAAAGAATTAATACTCTTAACATACAAAGAGTCTCCACAAAAGTGATGAGAGATGAAGAACCCAGTATAAAATGTATAATAAATGACACAAAATTCACAGAACTATAAATGGCCAATAAATATTTAAAAAATTAACTTCACTAGTAACTAGGGAGATAAAAATTAAAACAATGAGATATTTTTCTTTCAATGGGTTGGCAAAAATTATAGAGTGATAATATCTAATGTTGGCAGGGTGTGCAAGGTGTGACGATGTTCCTAGTGAAAATCAGAAACCTAAAAATAAAAGGGCTTTCTTGTGCCTGAGTTCTAATTCTAACCCTGCCTTTGACTCGATAGGTGTCTCTGAATTAAGTCACCTCTTCTCTGGGCCTCAGTTTCCTCATCAGCTAAAAACAATAACAAAAATCATTAAGAGTAGCTAACTTGCTTATCTTATAGAAGTATTATGAAGAAAAAATGCAACACTGGCCATGAAAGGACTTTGAAAACATCATAGCTCAATATAATCTTGCAGCATTTATGAGAAGGAAAACCGGTGAATATTCTTGAAAACAAATCGCTTATTGTTGGCTAAACATCTTGTGAAATAAACAACTAATTTCCCCAAAGAACTACAGGAAGAAAGTTAAAAGGAAGAAAGCTAGGTTCACCATATGACTTTAAACAAATCCTCTAATCTCTGTGTTTTGGCTTTTGAAGATCTCTCCACTGCACTCCAGCCTAGCGACAGAGCAAGACTCCATCTCAAAAAAAAAAAAAAAAAAAAAAAAACGGAGAGAAATGAAACAAACTGAAACAGTTGGAATTCAAACTTGCCAGAGTCTCTGGCTTGAAAAGACTAAGTAGATCACAGGTTAGCTTTGCGGGGACATCTAGCTTCTGGCCCACAAATATTTTTTACTGGCCAGCCCTCCTTTGTGGTTTGGTATAAAGAAATAGCAAAACTAACAGCATGATCACACCTCCTTAAAGGACCATAACAAACACTCCTTAATCTTGTGTACTGACCAGACCCAGAAATACAAAGTATTGGAGGTTTTGAACTGCAACTCAGCCTTTCTCATCCACTAACAGCAGAAATAGGACTAAAAGTTTGGAAGGAAACTCATGGGGAAACGACTCCATGGTTCCATCTAGATACATGAATACCAGCAGACCACATAAAACTGCCCCTAAAGGAAATGACAAGAGCACCCCACTGAAAGAATTAATCAATGAGTATGTATTAAGCCCTGACCCATCCCACAGGAAATAACTACCTTTAATGATCTCTTTCTTTAGGTCTTCTAAAAACAATGGGTCATAATCACTTATTGAGCACTAGCATATGCAAAGTCTATGTACCAAACATGCCAGTAGACATTTCCATTTAAATTAGCCAATTTATTTCTCAAACCAAACCTATTGTTGAGGAATTATCACATCCATTTTACAGATAAATTGAAGTTCATGGAAATTAACAGACATGCAAAACCATGGATTGCTATTGTCATTATTATCATTATTCTCATTTTAATGAGAAAACTGAGGCTCAGAAGGGATAAATAACTATTAAGTTATTAAGTAGCAGAAGGGGGTTTTGCCCAGGTGGGTTCTAGAAAAGCTCATACTAATACCACTACACCACCTTTCCTGTTCTATGCTAAATGACAAAACGAAAAAAAAAAGACTTCAACTTATATAGAGTATGCAGTTAAAAATAAGTGACACATACAGGCTCTTTCAGCTCCTACCAAAGAATAAATGTCATCACTTCTGAAAAGCAGTTAGGCAGCAGTGTTCACAGCCAGGAAAACCAAAGAGGAAGGTGACTATCCTAAGATTCCCTCAATAATGATAGTACCAAAAGAAACTAAGGAAAGATGACATTGATCCAAGGACTTCTCACTCTCATCATGAGAGCACACCTTCATGTCAGCCAGTCTCTGTAGCCATGCAGTGGATAATCACAAAATAAACAGCTAAATAATTTGATTAGCAAATCCTGACATTACTGGCCTCATCCAATACTTTTGATGAAAACTGTCTCCTAGAACAGAATCTCTCCCAGGCCATGTGCAATACTCTTGTCAGAGGCGTTCGAACCAGAGCGACTCCATTTTGAATGAGGGCTAGGAAAATGAGGCTGAGACTTGCTAGGCTGCATTCTCAGAAAGTCAGGCATTCCTAGCCTCCAGATGTTTACGGTTAAGGGAACAAATTAATAATGTTTACTAAACAGACCCACACTTGGGAGTGTACAGATATCCCAATATCCGGAAAACAAAGTAGCATTCCTAATTTTGCTTTAAAGATAATAGTATCAATTCGTGAAAAATATAGTAATTAAGAAAATTAATCCTTTATCACAAACCCTTGTAGCAGAACACATCTCCTCATATATATAAATATTGTACCTAGAGTGGATGTGTTCCTCCTCTTACTTTCAGGAATGTCCTATTCTGTCTATGCAGTAGCTGTCCTTTCACCACTTTACTTCCTTAATAAACTTGCTTTCACTTTGCACTTAGGACTCGCCCTGAATTCTTTCTTGCGTGAGATCCAAGAACCGTCTCTTGGGGTCTGGAACCTGGACCTCTGTCCTGTAACACTCTGACCCTGCAAGTAATGAGACCAGGGTCCCCACTTGTGCCTGGATGATGACCTGGGAAAGGCATAACTGACTCCCAATCCTAAATACTTTACTGAGAGTCTTTGTGTCTGTTGGCCCAGGAGCAACAACATCAGCCTCATAAATTTTGCTTCCTAATAATAATTAAGTGGTCTACCTAACTTCAGCCCCCAAAAAAGGAAAGAAACCTGCCAGAGCAAGAAAAGAGACGCTTAATATTGCAGGGAATACATCTGCATTCTTTTGTGAGCTGCTAGTGTGGGATTTAAAAAAAAAAGTACCCTGCTGCTAGGTAGCAACTGTTTCACAAATCAGGTGTCTGAAGCTCAAGCTCTAACTGGCTTATTTAAAAGGTCGATTATTACCAAACATTATCACTGCAGCTTGCAAGTGCTGCTATTGTGCATTGTTGTTGCTTGCCCAGCCCCCCAAACAGCTAGGAAGAGAAATCACTTCCACAGATTTCTACTGCTATCAGCTAGCAAAAACTCTATGCTTGCCTTCATAAGCTGGGAGAAAGGAAGGTGTTGCCTGTTCAAATTTTAGAACAGCCAAACCTGGGCTCATGTCCTAGCTTTGCCTCTTACTTTCTGTATAACTTTGCATAAGTCTCTCAACCTTTCTGAGCCTCAGTTTCACCATCTGTAAAATGGATTTTAAAAATGGGCTCCAGAAATGAAATAAACTATTGTAAATGACAGATAATGTTTGTCTCTTTGCCCTTCTGAGGAGTACACTATGTGCAAAGCACCTACCCTAGATTTCAGATGGTCACCCTTTAGGAAAGAGGATATGTTTAATCTCAGAGTATATTAATATCAACAATAGAATGTTCTCCTTACCTTCTCTCTAGCATCTAACACAAGCTATGCACATGACAGGCACAAGAAAAATGACATTCAATAAAGCTTTAACTTACGTTAAGAACAGAGCTTCTAGGGAGGATGCCTATTCCAGTGGTCCCAATCCATTCCAAGAAGAATCAGAATTAAGCCAACCTAGAGAAACACCTAACTTTCCCTATCTTCAAGAGACATTCCTTCATTCAAACAACTTTTTCTTCTTTTTTTTTTTTTTTTGGAGACGCAGTCTTGCTCTGTTGACCAGGCTGAGAGCAATCGCAGCTCACTGAAACCTCCACCTCCTGGGTTCAAGCAATTCTTCTGCCTCAGTCTCCAGAGTAGCTGGGATTACAGGCGCCCGGCACCACACCCAGCTAATTTTTGTATTTTTAGTAGAGACAGGGTTTCACCATGTTTGTCAGGCTGGTATCGAATTCCTGACCTCAGGTGATACATCCACCTCAGCCTCCCAAAGTGCCAGGATTACAGGCATGAGCCACCACACCTGGCCCAAACAGTAATTAATGATCAACTTTTTAGTGCCAAAGTCACTTCTGGGACAATGCAGATATGGAGACAAATCAGACTGTTCCAGACACTACCAAGTTCATGGTGCAATAAGGAAGACATATCAAAAACAGACAATTATAATACAGAAGTTAAATTATTGCCTTACAGTTCCAAACCAATTCTTCATTGCCTTGCTCTGTGATACGAGACTAACCTAGGCTGACTACATTTCTCCTTTCCCAGTGGAGCGAGTGGCTATTAGGTTCTGCCGATAGAGGGTGCTGGAAGGAGAATACAAAGCCAGTTGCAATGCTCAGTTTTTCACAAAGTAGCAAGTAGATCAGTGTGCAGGGGAATCTTGGTACATTTCAAAGCAGCGACTCTCCAGGTTCTGAGGTGAGTGCCCTCCAGCCAGTTTCTTCTTCACCACAGCAACAAGCAGCATACTGCCACAGCAGCCATACTCTCCTCTGAGGTCTGAATCTCAGCCTTGTGGAGCTCTAAGTTCCTTCCTTTTTCACTTTTCCCTCAGCCTTAGGTACAGCAATCTTTTTCTGCAGTTACTATCTCTATTATACCTTAGAATTCTCTTTTATCTCTTTTAAGTAGTTAAAAACCTTTTACCTAAACAATTCTTAATATTAAATTTTATCTATTTAAATTATTGATGGCATTTCTGTCTCCTCAACTGGATCCTGACTAAGTAGGATAAATGTTATGATCCTGGTCATAGAGTGCAGCCCCCATATTTTACAGATAAACTGGAGCTCCAAAGATTGGAGTGACCTGCCCAAAGTCACACAGTGGTAAACCTGGGATTTGTAGTCCTGTTCCCAACTCTCAATAAACAATAAACATGTAGCAAACACCTATTCTGCATCTGGGCTCTATGTTGGCTGTTGAAAAAAACGAGATGAACTAACAAATCCCTCCCATCAGGGGAACCTACTATCTAGTAGAGGAGACAGACACTGAAACCAGAAGGAGTTCTAATGGAGGATGACAAGCACTAAGACAAACAGAATAGGAATTACTAACTCTGGGAGAGTGGGAGAAGGCTTCCTAGAGAGTCTCATTTCACTACACTTTACTCCCCAATCTGAAAGATACCTGAGTTGAACAGAGGGTTAAACAACTTCAAAATAAACCTGTAGCCAAGGCTTAAGAAATGCAAGTAACCAAACAAGAAGCCTCAACTCTGGGCATAACCAGAAATATCACTAATGGCAAATCCTAAAGTAGAAAGCAATACAGAAACAAATTATGGATGAACACTCATCAGTATTAACTTAGGAGATGAACTGCACTGGCTCACAAAGAGCAATAGATATCAGATGAACGACAACATCCTGGAAGGCTTTTGAGAGGAGAATATAATTATGCTAACTAAGCTCTGAAGAAAGCCTGGCAAGACTGCAGAGGAGATGCAGCCTGTTTCAGAGAGCACTTGCACATGAGTAAGAATATACCTATAATGAGCAGACACTGGTACAGAGTAACAGGAAGAGATCTTGAGAGCCCCAGACCAGAGAGGAGACCTAGGTTACCTTACTCTCCAATTCTAACTGAATCAAGCTTCTCACTGCTTCTCTTAAAACAACAAGCTCTTTCATATTTCTGTGATTTTGCATATACTGTTTTCTCTGCCCACAATGCCTTTCATTCCCCTTCTGTCTAAAGAGCTGACCCATCCTGCAAAGCACAGACCAAGTATCACTTTTTTTTTTTTTTTTTTTTGAGACAGGGTCTCCCTCTGTCACCCAGGCTGGAGTGCAGTGGTGTGATCACAGCTCACTGCAGCCTCAACCTCCCAGGTTTAAGTGATCCTCCCACCTCACCCTCCCAGGTAGCTGGAACCACAGGCGCACACCATCATGCCTGGCTAATTTTTTTTTTTTTTTTTTTTTGGTAGAGAAAGATTTTCACCATGTTGCCCAGGCTGGTCTCAAGCTCCTGGACTCAAGCAGTCTACCCTCCTTGGCCTCCCAAAGTGTTTAGATCACAGGCATGAGCCACCATGCCTGGCCCCAAGTATTACTTTCACTGTAAACTTTTCTCCAGTCATTCCCTGCACCCTTGATCTGGGCAAAATTAATGATTATCTGTTTAGTGCTCTTTATACATCTCTCATTATAACTTATTATGCTGTAATGTAATTATTTGTGTGTCTCTTTCCAAACAAACCATGAGATTCTTATCAGGACATATACCTACCCCACCCCTGCCCAGTGCCTGTTATTATTCCTAGTACACCGCAGGAGTAATGTATATAAAATTGCTCTACTGAATTGCCTGGATAAACTCAGCCTTTAAGCCTAAGAATGAATGGATCCTGGAGCCCTAAGATTTCCCAATTCATGACAAATCCTTCCTGGGGTCTAGAACATTAGGCTGTACTAGAAATTCAGTAAATATTTGTACTTGAGAGCTTAAGTATTTCTTTGTGCCAAACCAGCAATGCAACTGTATATCTTTAGAGCTTCCACTAAAGGAATCAGTTTTTTGCAAGTCCAAACACAACAGTTCTTTATCCTCCTCCTCTACATAAATTGGAAAATAGACTGAGAATTCCAATCAGCTGAAACCTTCCCAGAGAAGAGGACTTGGTTGTTTACTACAGTTCAAACCATTGCTATCTAAATTTCAATGTTGGTGGCATATTTTTTCTTTTGGCAGCTCATTCTGACTTAGGGCGGATGCATCATGCACCGCAATCAGAGAGCAGGAGTTGGAGTCAAAAGAAGAGAATGAGTCCCAGACACTGTCATGCCTTATTTTTTCAGGTGAACTTGGACAAGTCATTTAATCTCTCTGAACTTCAATTTTCAGCTGGGAAAGAGGAAAAATGCTACCTGTCCCACCAGGCTACTACAGGATCAAATGAGAAGTATTCCTTACTGCATTGCTCTCTGACCTTAAGAATTTGACCTTCTCTGTAGAAGTCCATATACAAAGGCTAGAACAGAGAAACGACAGAGCAGTAAGGTTCGAATCAGACAACCTGAGATTAGTCCCAGCTTACCACTCAATTATGTGATAGAGCAAGGCATTTAATTCTCTGAACTTCAGATTGTCCAATCTATAAAATGGGGATAATCCCACCTGCCCTACTTACCTTATAGAATCATTATGAAGCTTTAAAAAATGAGATAATATAGATGAAAGCAATTTATTTGAGAAATCATGAAGTTTCATTATAATATGTCACTTACGTGGAATTCAGCAACCCAATTACCTTGTCTTTCTGGAACACACAGAGAACTAGGAAGCAAGCAAAAAAGGTCTCTCTAAAGCCAAAATAACTGTCTTTAATTCTTCACACTTTACTACTAGTAGAGTCCCTAGGGCCTTACTCTTCCTTTGAAAACACATCTAATAAACCGTAATTTGGGAGCACCACACAGAGTAGGAGAAAAGTGACCAAGTAAGAAAGGAGAACCATATTCTCTGTTGTGTTTCACCAACAGCAAGGAGAAAAGGCCAAAAAAAAAATTCAAAACAACCACAAAAATCTAAAAAGCATAGTATTCACACCAAAAAGTGGCTTTTAGCTTTTTTGTTTTAAAGTACAGTATTAGGGTATTTAGTATAAAATGTATTACTGTAACATAAAAAAGCAGACTAGCTGATGTTCAAAATAATTAACTTGAACCTCAAGAAAGATTCAATAATGTTCTGACTATTCTGAAGAGGGTAATATATAATGTTTTTAGGGAGAAAATTCACTCAAAACAGTAAACTTTTGGGGGGAGTGCTTAAATGAATAAAGCATCAACTGTCAAGGTAAGTTAGTCATCTGGTGGGTGCCTCTACCTAATTTGCTAATGGACATAAAAATTTATTGGTGGAATTATGAATAAGTGCCCTAAGGTCACACAGCTTGTTAAGCAATAGATTCAAAACCCAAGCCTCTCAGAATCAAAAGCCCATACTCTTCCCAGTGCAAATAGCTACCTTCAAACATGGTAATACATGATTTCTTCACCTGTCAAACAGGGAATGAAATGCTGATACAGACATCTTCATAGAGTTGATAAACTGAATAAATGTCCTCTCCTTAGACCCTACTTTTGGATTTTAAATGAAGTGTAAAACCATAAAAACAAAGAGAAATGGAGACGAGCAATAGCCATAAAATACTGAAAGCTAGAAAGCAGATGGATGAGCAGAAACTGACTTATTAGATCCAAGGAAAATGAATACTAAGTCAGCAGTGGGAAAAAACAAAAACTAACTCAATTTTACCTGTAGAAGCCACACAAGGCTCAGAAACTGGCAGTATCATGTATTTCTTTCTTTCATTTTTTATTTTTATTTATTTATTTTTTTTTTTTTGAGACGGAGTCTCACTCTGTCACCCAGGCTGGAGCGCAATGGTGCGATCGCAGTTCACTGCAACCTCCACCTCCTGGGTTCAAGCAATTCTCCTCCCTCAGCCTCCCGAGTAACTGGGATTACAGGAGCCCACCACCACGCCTGGAAAATTTTTGTATTTTTAGTAGAGACGGGGTTTCGTCATGTTGGCCAGGCTGGTCTCGAACTCCTGACCTCAGGTGATCTGGCCCCCTCAGCCTCCCAAAGTGCTGGGATTACAGGGTGTAAGCCACCACACCCGGCAGTACCATATATTTCTAGAAAGAAAGCATGCTAAAATCAGGGGAATTGATTACATGAAAATCTGTCTGAGAACCAGTTAAAGACCAAGATTGCCTCCCCTAGTATAGAAGACTAAAGGTTTTCTTTTCCCTCTGGAGAGAGTAAAACAGAGAGGGTCTCCAGACAAAGAAATAACAGGCACAGTTGAGGGCAGGGTTACTATACAGCAAAGAAGACTGTAAGTGAAATGAATATTGAGGATCCCCCTACAGCCTTGTTCTCCCACTTAGCTTCCAGACCACAGGCAGCCAGGCCTCCAACTTGTAGGAAGGAGACTAGAGGATTCTTCCGGAGAATCTGACCAGCCCTAGTGGAAAAACCTAAAGATACTGACATGTAGTTGCCCCACACATAGCCCAGGCAAATCATCACACAGAGAAGTCCACACTCAGTAAGCCCAACTCATGTATTTAAAACCTTTTTTTTTTCTTTTTTTTACAGACAGGGTCTCACTGTCACCCTGTCTTCACACTTTACTACTAGTAGAGTCCCCTTCTTTGAAAACACATCTAATAAACTCAGTAATTTGGGAGAATCACACAAGGCTGGAGTTTAGTGGCACAATCACAGCTCACTGCAGCCTTAAACTCCTGGGCTCAAGGGATCCTCCCACCTAGCCTCCCATGTAGCTAGGACTACAGGTGCTCACGACCACATCCAGCTATTTTCTTTCTTTCTTTTTTTTTTTTTTTTTTGAGACAGAGTCTTGTTCTGTCGCCCAGGCTGGAGTGCAGTGGTGTAATCTGCAGCTCACTGCAATCTCCACCTCCCGGGTTCATGCCATTCTCCTGCCTCAGCCTCCCGAGTAGCTGGGACTACAGGTGCCCGCCACCACACCCGGCTAATTTTTTGTATTTTTAGTAGAGACGGGGTTTCACTGTGTTAGCCAGGATGGTCTTGATCCTCTGACCTCATGATCTGCCTGCCTTGGCCTCCCAAAGTGTTGGGATTACAGGCGTGAGCCACCGCACCTCACCCTTCTTTTTTTTTTTTTTTTTTTGAGAGATGGGGGTATCACCATGTTGTTCAGGCTGGTCTCAAACTCCTGGGCTGAAGTGATCCTCCCACCTTGGCCTCCCAAGGCACTAGGGTTGCAGGTGTGAGCCACCACATCTGGCCTGCACTTAAAACATTTTTTTTTTTTTGAGACAGGGTTTCACTCTGTCACTCATGGCTCACTGCAGCCCCAACCTCCCTGGGCTCAGGTGATCCTCCCACCTCAGCCTACTGAGTAGCTGGGACTACAGGTGGCACACCACCACGCCTAGCTAATTTTTCTATTTTTTGCAGAAATGAGGTTTCAGTGTGTTGCCCATGCTGGTCTCAAATTCTCGTCTCAAGCAATCTGTCTACTTCAGCTTCCCAAAGTGTTAGGATTACAGGTGTGAGCCATCACACTCGGCCAGCATTTAAAACTTCTAATCAGCTTTTTAGTATTCCACTTTTAACAACGAACAGACAACCAAGAATCACCAGATATACAGGAAAGCCCCAACATAAAAGACAGAATTCAGATCCTATTTATACCAGAAGAAATTTGGGACCACAAATAAAAAGTTATTTGAAAGAAAGCATAAACATGCTTGTCTTCATCAAAGTTTGTCAATGGTGAATCATATCAGGTGAACCTCAGCCATCAACCTGAGAATAAATAGGCCTCCCCAGGCCAAGCGCGGTAGATCACGCCTGTAATCCCAGCACTGTGGGAGGCCGAAGTGGGCAGATCACGTAAGGTCAGGAGTTCGAGACCAGCCTGACCAACATGGAGAAACCCCATCTCTACTAAAAATACAAAATTAGTTGGGCGTGGTGGTGCATGGCTGTAATCCCAGCTACTCGGGAGGCTGAGGCAGGAGAATCGCTTGAACCCAGAAGGTGGAGGTTGTGGTGAGCCAAGATCATGCCATTGCACTCCAGCCTGGGCAACAAGAGCTTAACTCCGTCTCAAAAAATAATAATAATAATAGGCCTCTCCAAACCTAGGGTTTGTTTTATTGATGGTTATTCACTTCATAGGGGCAAGAGGTACAATAAAAAATAATTTGCTGAGTCCTGCAAGATGCTGCACCGTATCTGCATTTATTTTCCTGATTCCAAAGATATCTGTTGTGAACGGATCCATATGTGGATAAATTGAGTGTTCCAATGAAGGCACTAAAATAAAGAAACTAATGGGTCATAGACAAAGCATTAAGAGATGCATCACTGTGTTTACTAATCATTGATGCTACAACATGTAGTTAGATTTTTGTATGAGGAAGGAGGTCTCTCATGCCATAGCATTTCCCCTTCAGAAGTCAGGGAGAACTTCACACAAAACATGGTGCTTGAGAAGAGTTTTAAAGAAAGAGTAGAAGTTTGTCAGGCAAAACAGAGGAACAGAAAAGAGGGGAAGTGTAACATAAAAGAAAAACTACCAAGGGCTAGTCTAAATGAGCACAGAAGAGTTGAGAAACTGCAATTAATACAGTATTGCAAGAGCAGTAGGAAGTGAGGCTGAAAAGGCAGGCAGAAATCAGATCAAGAAACACTTTGTAGGCCAGGCATGGTGGCTCACACCTGTAATCTTAGCAATTTGGGAGGCCGAGGCTGGCAGTTCGCTTGAGCTCAGGAGTTCAAGACCAGCCTGGGCAACATGGCGAAACCCCGTCTCTACTAAAAATACAAAAATTAGCCGGGCATGGTGGCATGCGCCTATAGTCCCAGCTACTTGGGGGACTGAGGTAGGAGGATCGCTTGAACCCGGGAGGCAGAGGAGGCAGAGTGAGAGTGGCTATAATCTTCCAAGCTATGTACTAGCTGTTCCCAAAAGGCAATTCTCATACTTACAAACTCCAGGTTCCGTTCTCAGCTTATTGTGAAGCAAATTATTCCATTTCTAAGAGAACAGTGACTACCAGAGACATTCTAATGGTCCCCCTAAGGAAATCAGCAGCTCAAGGCCTCTACCCTCAGGTTCTTTCATTTTTCCTCCTGAGGTCTTCTTTAAGCACACAAACATTGTGTTATGTTAGCTTATCAGAAAGTATTTCTCAGTCTGGTTTCAAGGAAGACATGTATCTGCCCCAAGCCTTCACTTCCCAATTCCCAATGATGGTGGCAAATTCCAGCCACTTTTTAGAACTATATTAAACTAACACATGTACACACACACTTGCATAAATGTCTGACTTCCCCATGTATACTCCTTAAGGAGATAGGAAGAAAAATAGAAGGGAATAATTAATGAGCACCAACTTAACACTTGATCCTTTCCTATATATTCTCTCATTTAATACTCACTGTAACCTTGGGAAAGGTGATATCTATAACTCCATTTTCAGAGATGAAAAAACTATGGCTCAGAAATTAAATGACTTACCCAAGGTCTGAAACTTGAAGCCACATGTTTGGGTTGACTAACACTTTTCTACTACCTCATGTTAGGTTCCCCATATCTTATTTTATTCATTACTAAATATTCACTCAACACAGTCTGCTGAATTGCATTATACTAAGCCACTCACTGAACAAATTAGCAACCAGGAAAAGCAACTGAACAGAAAAATAAAGGACAAATTAAAAACTTGGACAATGGATGCAGGTTCCAAAACAAAAAACAAAAAAAAAAAAGAGAGAGAGAGAGTGAAGTAGCAACATCAACCCCAACAAGCTCTTCAGAGCCCTGACTAATACTGGCAAGGATTGAAATAGCCAAAATGCATGTTGATAGATCTCCATTCCAGAATTTTATCTCCTCACCCAGCCCAGCAGAGTCCCTGGTAAATTACTGCCAGTCAGGCACACATCACAAATGAATTACAATAAGCAGATGCAATCTCTCCCTGTAGCCTTCCCACTCTCACAAAACCTCTAGGAACTAAAGAAATCTTTTGTTCTCCATCTGAACTGCCCTTGCTGGTAACAGGAAATTGGGTTTGAGAAGCAGATGGCTTGTCAAAGAGCCTAAAACCTAAAGTGAAAAGGAAGTAATTTACTAAAACCAAACATTCCAAAAGAGAAACCAAGCTTCTCTGAGGTGACAAAGAGTGTCTTCATTGTCATGGCTTGCCCTCTAAACAGAGCGTCCCCAAATCACCTTGTAGGAGGGGCTGAGGCAAAGACTCAGACTAGCTCTAGCCACATTCATCTAGATTTTTCTAAAAGTAAGCATCATTTGTTTGTAGCAACTATGTTTGGTTATGGAGATTTGACTATCAAAGTATTTTGTTATGGAAGAAAAGTACTACTACAGTAGTTAGATCCTCAATATAAGAAGATGAGACAAAAAGGAACTTACAGGTTAAATAAGATAATGTTAAGTAAAGAACCTAAGAACAGAGCTAGCACAAAGTAGATGATTAATTTGGCTGCGCATTTCAATCTGCTATGCAACTTAGGTCCCTTCCCCTATCTGGGTCTTCATTTTCTCAATTCAACAGTTAAATGGTACAACATTTAACTTAAAAAATCAATTGAATTAAATGATCTCAAACACTCCAGGAATATAGGATACACAATCAAGACTCTTTATTTTTATTTATTTATTTTTTTATTTTTATTTTTTGAGACGGAGTCTCATTCTGTTGCCCAGGCTGGAGTGCAGTGGCACGATCTTGGCTCACTGCAACCTCCGCCTCCCAGGTTCAAGCAATTCTCCTGCCTCAGCCTCCTGAGTAGCTGGGACTATAGGTGCATGCCACCATGCCTGGCTAATTTTTTGTATTTTTAGTACAGATGGGGTTTTACTGTGTTACCCAGGATGGTCTCGATCTTCTGACCTCATGATCCACCCGCCTCGGCCTCCCAGCGCTGGGATTGCAGGTGTGAGCCATCGGGCCCAGACACAATCAAGACTTTACTAGACAAGAAGCTCTTACTGCTCCTTCTAGCTACACTCTCAGGACTAAGAGATTACCTCTACCTGTCCATCAGCCACTTCTAAGCCAGGAGCATCCTTTACAGTGCAGTTCACCATCTGTGCTAGATGCTTCATTAAGTGTAAAGCTGATACTGTACTTTGTTAGAAAGCTAGTGCACAAATGTTACCTAGAGATGAATAAATCATTCCAGTTGTGTTGGGCTGCAATTGCAAGGGCAGCATCTGTGGGTCTGAAAACAGATGGTCTTATAAGGATGGAGGATTTGGCTCTTATCTGAATTTCCCAAGGCAAGCAGGTTTGGATCAGCAGGAAGCCTGACAGGGAAGCACCAGAGTAGAGCTAGTATCCAGTGATGAGGAAAGATGACAGAATTGCACATGCAGTTTCTTTCCATAATAAATGAATATATCGGAGGATGCAATTACCAAAATCCCAAGCTGCTATTTTTGTACCTACTCATCAACTTCTAAATCATTTTCTTTTTTGTCCAACACTTTCTTATTTCAACACAAAGACATGCTCAGAGAAATTACCTAGTAAAGCCCTGGCATAAAATAAGAACTTTAAGATCTACTGACTAAAACAAACTGAAAAAACAAAGAAAAACAAATTAAACTGATTTGATAAAAGTAGAATAAATGCCTATTATACTGTCAACAATAGTAGGTATACATTAAACATGTTAATGTTTGAGGTCTAGGGATTTTACATACATTCTCTCGTTCAATTCTCAAGGTAACCTTTATTTTATTATCTCTATTTTATAGATAAGAAACTTAAAGTTCCAAAACGTCAGATACTCTGCCCAGAGTCAGATACCAAATTACCTAATGGAAGTCAGAACTAACCCCCACTCCCACCCCTACCAAGGGCTAAATGACTCCACAACTCTATGCATTTTGTCTGCCTCCTGCCCAACCAATTGCCTTCTTACTATTCCACAAAATGCACCTGGCTCATTCCTACCTCTGGATCTTTCTACTTGCTGTTTCCTCTGCTGAACTCCCTTCTATTATATCTTCTCATGGCTTACTACTTAAAATCATTCAGGACTCTGCTCAAATGCAATCTCTTCAGAGAGGCTTTTCTTGATCATCATCCCAACATATGGTGTTTCCTTATCTTGCTTTATTTTTTATTATGGCCCTTACATTATATTCTTTATTAACATGTTTGTTTACTGTCAGTTTCCCCCACTAGAATGAAAGACTTATGAGGGCAGGAACTTTGTCTTGGTTACAACTGTATCTCCAGCACTTTGAGCAGTGACCACTAGAGCAGGTGCTCATCAAATATTCATTGAATAAATAATTAAATTAGTCCGGGTACGGTGGCTCGTGCCAGTAATCCTAGCACTTTGGGAGGACAAGGCAGGAGAATCACCTGAGGCCAGAAGTTCAACACCAGCCTGTCCAACATGCTGAAACTCCCTCTCTACTAAAAATACGAAAATTAGCTGGGTGTAGTGGTGCGTGCCTGTAGTCCCAGCTACTCGGGAGGCTGAGACAGGAGAAGCACCTGAACCTGCGAGGTGGAGGTTGCAGTGAGCCAAGAATGCATTACCGCACTCCAGCCTGGGTGACAGAGTGAGATTCCATCTCAAATAAATAAATAAATAAATAAGCTCACAATCACAGAGCTCTATAATATTAGTGTAAAAAGGTAGTTGCTATATAATAGAAAGACCACAGGCTTTGAGATCAGGCAGAACTGCATTCAACTTTCTCACTGATTATGATAGTGTAACTTTAGACAAGTGCCTAAACTTCTTTTTTTTTTTTTTCTTTGAGACAGAGTCTCACTCTGTCATCCAGGCTGGAGTGCAGTGGCATGATCTTGGCTCACTGCAAGCTCCTCCTCCCGGGTTCACACCATTCTCCTGCCTCAGCCTCCCGAGCAGCTGGGACTACAGGCGCCTGCCACCACACCCGGCTAATTTTTGTATTTTTAGTACAGACAGGGTTTCACCACATTAGCCAAGATGGTCTCGATCTCCTGACTTGTGATCCGCCCACCTCAGCCTCCCAAAGTGCTGGGATTACAGGCGTGAGCCACCGCACCCGGCTCCTAAACTTCTTTAATCTCCTCATCTGTAAAACAGGTATAAATATCTAGGTCCCATAGATTTGTTATGATGATTAAATGAGATAAACTTATGAAAATGCTTTGTGTAAACTATAAAGTATTATAGAATGTTTATGATGTTTATGATGATGATAGGAGAAAGTTTAGAGACAATCTACTTAAGCCCTTCACTTTAGAGATCACCCCAAGGCCCTAAAAGGTAAAGTGAACTATCCAATGTCCCAGTTATTTAAAACCAAACCATAATTAGACTCTAGGACTTCAGATGATCACACTAGGAGACTTGCTTGGCATTACCCAACACAGATTACCTGATCTCTGGTACTCCACTTTCTCTAGGTTCTTCCTCTACCTCACTGGCTACTCCCTTGATCTTTTCAACTTCTCTATGTTAGAGTGTCCAGAGTTTGGCAGTCCGATCTCTTCTTTGCTCTAAGTACACACATTTCCTAGGTGAGCACATCTACTCCATGGCTTTATATATGCTAATTACTCCCAAATTTATTATCTCCAACTTGAACTTCTCTGAATTTCAGACTTGTATATCCAACTGCCTGAGATCTTTTGGTTATCTAATAACCATTGTAAAAATGTAATATGTCCAAAACCAAATGTCTAACTCCTTCCTGCAAACCTGCTCCTCCCACTGTTTCCCAACTCTATAAGTGGCAATTCTAATCTTGTAGTTGCTCAAGGCAAAAACCTCCGAATCTCCTTTGACTACTTTCTTACTTTCATAATCCTCATCTAATCTATCAGCAAATTCTGTCAGTTCTACTTTCAAAACACATGCTGATTCTAACCATTTCTTGCCATTACTACACTGACTCAAGTCTTCATTATTGTTTTTAACTATTGTAACAGCCCCTGCTTCTATCCTTGCCATCTGCTTATCCTGTCTCTCTCTTCCCAGAAGCCAAAATGATCCTTTTAAATAAAGTTTGGAGCATGTAACTCCACTCTGTTGAAAACCCTGCAATGAGTTATCATCTCAGAGTAAAATACAAGGTCATTACCATGACTTACCAGGTAATCTAGCTCCCTTTATCTAATCTTACCCCATAGCACTCTCCTCCTTGCTCCATACTACAGTAAAATTAAATTTTAGCATCAACATTTGTGTTGTTTAGAAACCATTCTGAGGGGGCCAAAAGCACAGACACCAAGAAGAATATGCAAGCCTTGGATCGCTTAAGCTGAACAACGGGAAAATTCTCCTCTTCTCGTTATTCTTTGAAAAACCAAGTACATTCTCACTTCAAGGAGTTAGTACTTACAGTTCTCTCTGCCTAAAGAATTCTTCCCTCAAATTATCAATATGACTTGCTCCTTTATTTCATTAAGATCTCTACTCAAATTTCACCTCATCAGCAAGGCCTAAGTTAACTGATTATATCTAAAATAGCTCCTACCCTTTCAATCACACCCTTTTCCCATACACTGCCTGTTTTTTTCTATTACTAGGACACAATTGAAAGCACGGACTTTATTTTATTCACTGCTGTATCCCCGGAGCTAAGATCATATTGTAAGTATAATCAATACTAGTAATCAACTTCAGCCATTAATTGTTCTTTTTTTTTTTTTTTTTTTTTGATGGAGTCTTGCTCTGTTGCCCAGGCTGGAGTGCAGTGGCACAATCTCAGCTCACTGCAACCTCCGCCTCCCAGGTTCAAGCAATTCTGCCTCAGCCTCCCAACTAGCTGGGATTACAGGCACCCGCCACCATGCCCAGCTAATTTTTCTATTTTTAATAGACACGGGGTTTCGCCATGTTGGCCAGGCTAGTCTCAAACTCCCGACTTCAGGTGATCCACCCACCTCGGTCTCCCAAAGTGCTGGGATTACAGGCATGAGCTACCGCGCTCGGCCCATTAATTGTTCTTTAACTATATCTTAAGTCTTCAATCGGGTCTTCCTCTAAACAGACTGAATATTCTTTGAAAATGGCCATTTTCTAGATATGCTAACTGAGTACTTTCAATTTAACCTGATAGAAGTAACCAAAAGAAGGAAAAATAATAAGATTAAGCTATATTTATTTCCTCTGGGACTCTCTTATAATCAACTAACAAATCAGTATTAATAAGCTCTTTTGGGTGCAGAGTACCATCTTAATAAAGAAGGATATCACCAAGCTAGGTAGTAAAGCACAAAGAGATACATAAAGTGGCTCACATCTATAATCCCAGCACTTTGGGAAGCCAAGGCAGGAAGATCTGCTCAAGCCCAGGAATTAAGAGACCAGCCTGGGCAACATAGCAAGACTCTACCTCTACAAAAAATAAACAAAATTAGCTGGGTATGGTGGCACATGCCTGTAGTCCTAGCTAGTTGGGAGGCTGAGGCAGGAGGATCACTTGAGCCCAGGAGTTTGAGGCTGCAGTGAGCTATGATCCCACCACTGCAATTCAGCCTGAGTGACAAAGCAAGATTCAGTCTCTTAAAAAAGAAAAAAAATAGTAACAAGGTGAGCAATGAGCTAATGAAAGATGTTCAGCATCATTAGCCACCAGGGAAACGCACATCAAACCAAAATGATATACCATTTCACATTGAGTAGGTTGGCTAAAAGAAAAAAGACAAATAACAAGTGATTACAAGGATGTGGAGAAGAAAATGGAACCTTCATACACTGTTGGTAGGAATGAATGTGAAGTGGTACAGCCACTGTGGAAAACAAGTCCTCAAAAGGGTTAAACATAGAGTTACCACATGCTCTAACAACTCTACTCCTAGATGTATACCCAAGAGAAATAAGAAACCTATGTCCACATAAAAACTTATATGCTAATGTTCACAGCTACATTACAAATAATAGCTAAAAGTGGGAACTATCCAAATGTCCATCAACTGATAAACAAATAAAAGGTGGCATATACATATGATGAAATATTTAGCAATAAAAAGGAATGAAGTACTGATACATGTAACAACATGAATGAACCTTGAAAAAATATATACAATTACATATATTATATATAATTATATATAATTATATATTTTATATGTAATTATATATAATTATATATTTTATATGTAATTATATATAATTATATATTTTATATGTAATTATATATAATTATATATAATTATATATTTTATATATGTAATTATATATCATATATAATAAATTTATTATATATAATATATATTAAATATATAATATATAATATATAATTATATATATTATATATAAAATATAAAATATATTATATAATATATATTATATATAATATAAAATATATTATGTAATATATAATATATTATATATAATATATATTATATAATATATTTTATATATAGTATATATAATATACTATATATATAGTATATATAATATATATATATTTTTTGGAGACAGTCTCCCTCTGTCACCCAGGCTGGAGTGCAGCGCCACAATCTTGGCTCACTACAACCTCCACCTTTTGGGTTCAAGCAATTCTCTTGCCTCAGCCTCCTGAGTAGCTAAGACTATAGACATGCACCACCACATCCAGCTAATTTTTGTATTTTTAGAAGAGATGGGGTTTCACCATGTTGGCCAGGCTGGTCTCTAACTCCTGACCTCAAGAGATCCACCCATCTAGGCCTCCCAAAGTGCTGGAATTACAGACGTGAGCCACCACACCCAGCCGAACCTTGAAAATATTAAGCTAAATGAAAAAAGCTAGCTATAAAGGCCACATATTATATTATTCCATTTATATGAAATATCCTGAATAGGTTAGTGATTGCCTAGGGCTGGTGGAGAAGGGGACAACAGAGGGTGATTGCTAAAGGGTACAAGTTTCCAATAGGTAACGAAAATATTCTAAAACTGACTGTGGTAATGATTATGCAACTCTATATATACTAAAAACCACTCAACTATACAATTTAAATGAGTGAATTGTGTGGCATATGAATTATATCTCAGTAAAGCTCTTTAACTTTTAAAATATAATCTTGGGCTTATTTTGGATTCAACTTAACATTTATTGAATACTATATACTTTTTTTTTTTTTTTTTTTTTTTGGAGACAGAGTCTTGCTCTGTCACCCAGGCTGGAGTGCAGTGGTGCGATCACGGCTGGACTCAAACTCCTGGGCTCAAGTGGTCCACTTGCCCCAGCCTCCCAAAGTGTTGGGATTACAGGCATAAGCCACGGCGCCCAGCCAACATACTCTTTATTTTACTTAATATTCACAACAAAAAAACCCTGTGAGATGAGGGTTAGCAATTCACCCATCTTGCAGACAAAACACCTACATCTCACAGAAATTAAAAGATTTAAGGTTTTTTAGAAAGTTATCAGAGCCAAGAGTTGATTCTACATTCACTACCTCAATCTAGGGCTCTTTCTTAGCTCTTCCCACTTCTTACTACTGAGCATACTTAAGACCTAGCTGTAGTTCTTTTTTTATAAAAGCTTCTATGGATTAATAAACCAAAGACTAAGATCATAAGCACACAGATTGACAACCACAGATTGAGAGAATGTTTGCCAAAGTTATATATCTAAGATCCTATATCCCTGCATTTAATTATTTGGTCAGCAGTAATACTCTGCTACATGAAAAGAAGGGGCTAAGTCTGATTCCCAAGTTCACCTATGTGGGGGGCGGGAAGTGGGGAGAAAAAAGTATAGAGTATACCCCAGCAAATCAATCAAGAGCCATAAGCACCTTGGACTAATTTACAACTGACTAACCAATTTTGAAATAAGACAGCTTCTCAATAACACTACTGGAAAGCACCTATTAAAAAGCTAGCTGTTGGGCTGGGCACGGTGGCTCAACACCTTGTAATCCAGCACTTTGGGAGGCTAAGGCAGACAGATGACCTGAGGTCAGGAGTTCAAGACCAGCCTGACCAAAATGGTGAAGCCTTGTCTCTACCAAAAATACAAAATTAGCTGGGTGTGGTGGCACATGCCTGTAATTCCAGCTACTCAGGAGGCTGAGGCAGGAGAATTGCTTGAAACTGGGAGGTGGAGGTTGCAGCGAGCCTAGATCGTGCCATTGCACTCTAGCCTGGGCAACAAGAGCGAAACTCCATCTCAAAAAAAAAAAAAAAAGCTAGCTGTGATGAAGATGATTTTTAGGTAATGGAACTGTTCTATATCTCGACTGTGGTGTGGTGACAGTTACAAAAATTACATATGTGTTAAAATTAAAAGAATTTTATTACAATTTGATTTTACTGTTGTTAATTTTAAAATAAAATTTAACAAAAACTGCATATGAAAAAATAACAACAACAACAAAACAATTACAATTTTAAAATGTGCAAAGAACTTGAATAGACATTTCTCCAAAGAAGATATACAAATGGGCTGCGCACAGTGACTCACACCTGTAATCCTAGCACTGGGAGGCCAAGGTGGGAAGATTGCTTGAGCCCAGAAGTTCAAGAAAAAAAAAAAAAAAGAAAGAAAGAAAACAAAAGGAAGAAGAAAGAAAAAGGAGGAGGAGTAGGCAGAGGAAAAGGCGGGGGGGAGGAGGAGGAGGAGGAAGAAGAAAGAAGAAGAGAAAGGAGGCAAAAAGAAGGAAAAAAGAAGAAATACAAATAGCTAACATGCATTTTAAAAGACCATTAGAGAAATGCAATCCAAACCATAATATCACCTCATATCCATTATGATGGCAGGTATTAAAAAAAAAATCCAAGACAAAATAGAAAATAAGAAGCGTTGAGGATATGGAGAAACTAGAACCCTTGTGTGCTGTTGGTGGGAACATAAAATGGTGCTGCTGCTATTGAAAATAGTATATCTGCTTGCAGGAAGTAACAAAAGAAAAAGAAAGAAAATAGTATAAAGCTTCCTCCAAAAATTAAAAATAAGCCAGGTGTGCTGATGCACACCTGTAGTCCCAGCTACTTGGGATGCAGAGGCAGGAGGGTCGCTTGAGCCCAGGAGTTCGAGGATAAGAGTGTACTATTATCATGCCTGTGAATAACCGCTGCACTTCAGCCTGGGCAACAGAGTGAGACTCCATCTCTTAGAAAATAAAAATAGAATGACCATACTATCTGGCAATTCCATTTCTAGATATACATCCAAAAGAACTGAAAGCAGAATCTTGAAGACATATTTGCATATCTGTGTTCAGTGCAGCATTATTCACAACAGCCAAGAGGTGAAAGTAAACCAAATGTCCATCATTGAATGAATGGGGAAAAAAAAAAAAACACATGGTATATACATACAAAGGAATAGTATTTAGCCTTAAAGAAGAAGGAAATCCTTTCACATGCTACAGCATGGATGAATCTCGAAGATATTATACCAAGTGAAATAAGCCAGTCACAGAAAGGCAAATATTGTATGATTCCACTTACATGAGGTATCTAAAGTAGTCAAACTCACAGAAACAAATAGTAAAATTGTGGTTGTCAGGAACTTGGAAGAAGGAGGAAGGGAGAGTTGTTGTTCAATGGGTATAGAGTTTCAGTTTTGCAAGAAAAAAATGTTGTAGAGATCTGTTATGCAACAATGTAAATTAGTTACTACTACTAAACTATACACTTAAAAATGGTTAAGACAGTAAATTTTATGTTTTTCATCACAATTTATAAATAAATAAATAAATAAGCAAGCAAGCTGGGTATACATGGTAGTATGAAATAGGAAGTAAGATGATAATAATAATAGCTAACATTTTACTGAGTGCTTACTATAAGCAAGCACATTATTTCGCCCAACTGTGACTAAGGTGGGGACTATTATGACCTTTCTTTTATAAATGACAAGGCTCAGCCTAGAAAAGTCAAATCACTTGCTCAAGATCAAACAGCCAGGGGCTCCAAGACAGTGTAATTCTTTAAGCTGCATATGTGACAACCAGTTATATCTACTCATTTTTGAAGACTCATAAAGATATAATACTTTCTTGAATCCCTCTCCCCACTCCCAGAACTGACCTAATCCTAGAGAGAACCCTAGATATATTTCTTTCTTTTTTAATTTGATTTTTTTGTGTGTGTGTGAAAGCGTCTTGCTCTGTCATCCACACTGGAGTGTAGTGGTGCAATCATGGCCCACTGCAGCCTTGACTTCCTGGGCTCAAGTGATCCTCCTGCCTTAGCCTGCTGAGTAGCTGGGACTACAGGTGTGCGCCACCAAGGCCAGACAATTTTTTTTTGTAAAGGTGGGGTCTCCCTATGTTGCCCTGGCTAGACTTGAACTCCCGGCCTCAAGTGGTCCTCCCTCCTTGGCCTCCCAAAGTGCTGGGATTATAGGAGTGAACCACCACACCTGGCTCCATAGACATTTCTCTTTTTTTTTGAGACGGAGTTTTGCTCTGTCGCCCAGGCTGGAGTGCAGTGGCACAATCCCGGCTCACTGCAACCTCCACCCCCCGAGTTCAAGCAATTCTCCTGCCTCAGCCTCCCAAGTAGCTGGGATTACAGGCATGCGCCACCATGCCCAGCTAATTTTTGTATTTTTAGTAGAGATGGGGTTTCACCATGTTGGCCAAAGTGGTCTCGAACTCCTGACCTCAGGTGATCCACACGCCTCAGCCACCCAAAGTACTGGGATTATAGGCATGAGCCACCATGTCTGGCCTCCATAGACATTTCTATCATAGTACCTACTACACTTAATTGTACTTGCTTATTTACATGTCTGTCTCTCCACTGATCGGCACCTCTAGATCTGTGCTTCCAATAGCCATTAACCATTCATAGCTGTTTAAATTCAAATTTAAATTAATTAAAAGTAAAAAAATTTAAAATTCAGTTATTCAGTCTCACTAGGCATATTTCAAGCACTCAAGACCCACGTGTAGCTGGTGACTACTGTATTGGACAGCATGGATATAGAACATTTCCATCACTGCAGAAAGTTCTGCAGGACAGCGCTATGTCTAAATTCTGTGTGTTCCCGGAGGCACAAACAGTCTAGCAGGCAGTCTGGCAGGAGCTATGCCTAACTCATTTCTGTATCCCAGCACCAACCTTTAGTAAACCTCCAGTAAGTGTTTCTTAGCAATGACACGGGGTAACACAGAGCTTGTTCTACCTTATTATCACACACCACTCATGATTTAAGTTCCATACATTCAATGTCCCTTACAGGCTAGCATCAGTGTAATAACCCACCATCATCCCAACTTGTGGAAAGAGGCAGGAATCACAATAAGTAGAGCTAATCGGAAAGTCTTTGTCTAGTCCTTCACCCCAAACCGAAGTTCCACTACTTAATGTGAGACTTGACTAAGAAGAGGGCTTATTTCTTGCTTCAGGTTTGGTATGTAATTAAATTACAGGTGTTTCTAGAAGGAATTTCTTTTCCAAATATTGGAACAACCTCACAACTTGGCAGAAATAAAAATAAGAAGACTGGTTAAAATTTATCATACTTTTTATCATATCGTTTCATACGCTATGAATAAATATATATGAATGAACATATCCTCAGAATGCTCTTTATATTAAAAAACATAGTCACTTGACACACATTTTCTGAGGAACTATAATAAAGAAAGAGAGATAAATAAATTGCGTTGGTAGACAGAAACTTAAATTGGAATAACAGAAAGTGGTAAGAGCTCTAAGATAGAGAAAGAACTGCTAGGAACTATGAAGACCACAAAGGAGGGTCAGAACCCAGTAGTGAAATGGAATAGAAGGTGGGGAAACCACAAAGGAAGCTACTCAGAGATAAATCCCAATTAAGTTTTAAAGGGTAATTAAGGCCAGGCTTGGTGGCTCATGCCTGTAATCCCAGCACTTTGGGAGGCCCAAGGCAGGCAGACTGCTGGAGCCCAGGAGTTCAAGACCAGCCTGGGCAACATGGCAAAACCCTGTTTCTATAAAAAATACAAAAATTAGCCAGGTGTGGTGGCAGGTGCCTATAGTCCTAGCTACTCAGGAGGCTGAGGTGGGAAGATCACCTGAGACTGGGGGGTCGAGGATGCAGTGAGCCATGATCGTATCACTGCACTCCAGCCTGGGTGACAGAGTCAGACTCTGTCTCAAAAATAAACAAACAATAAGTAAATAAATAAATATTTTTTTAAAAGGAGGGTGAGAGGGTGTCCCAAATAGAGATAAATGTCATGGATGAAGATACAGGAATATGACCTGGACAGCAGGTGAAAAGTAGTTCAATTTGGCTGGAACAACATATGAAAAAAAAAGGAGAATTTGGCCAGGCATGATGGCTCATGCCAGTAATTCCAGCACTTTGGGAGGCCGAGGCAGGCAGATCACAAGTCAGGAGATCAAGACCATCCTGGCTAACATGGTGAAACCCTGTCTCTACTAAAAATACAAAAACAAAACTAGCTGGGCACGGTGATGGGCGCCTGTTGTCCCAGCTACTGGGGAGGCTGAGGCGGAAGAATGGCATGAACCCAGGAGGTGGAGCTTGCAGTGAGCCGAGATCGCGCCACTGCACTCCAGCCTGGGTGACAGAGCGAGACTCTGTCTCAAAAAAAAAAAAAAAAGGAGAATTTGGGCTAATGAGGCAAGCAGAGGCCAAACCATGAAAGAGCCTGCAAGCTAAGTTAAGGGGTTTGAATTTTATCCTCCAAGTTATGAAAAAACCTCTGGAAGGTTTTAAAGCAGAGAAGAGTACAATCTGTATTCAACAAAGCTCAGGAAGAAGCAGTAGGGAGGACAGATTTGGTGGAGGTGAGACAGTAGGTAGGGAGACCAGCCAGGAAGTTGTTGCAGAAAGTAATGAGACAGGAAGTATCTGATACAAATAGTTTTAAACATACCCTATCTTAAATGGGTCTCTCTCCATTCGTCTATGCCTCTCAAAGCTGGAACACCATGATTCAGCTATATAGCACAATTACAAAAATAACTGTTAAAGTCAATTCTATAAACTAAAAATTTAACTGCACTCCTTTATTCAATAGCCATTCCGGATTTCGAACTAAAACTGCTCATTCTTCTCTTTCCCACTGCACACAATTTTGGAAAAACATTTCAGCCAGACGATCACATCTGTGCAGTGTGCAACAAGTGTAAACAATTTAACAGGAGTTTAATGAAACATTTCCTATTCAATTGGAGAAAAAGATTAGAAAATTCTAACATGGCAACACCAGGTTGCAAATTGACATTTTTTAATTAGCTTTTTTAAAAAATATGAACATGCCAATTTTAAATCCCATCTGGTTGCATGTTGCAGCTGCCCTGAATGAATTTCCAGTTATTAGGCACTTGCCTAAAGCATTCAGAACTGCCATGTGCTATCAGCAGCAGCAGCCACAGTACAGTACTTAGGAAGTACTTAAATACCCATGCTGGTACAAAAGGATTTCTTAGTCTGCCCTGGAGAGAAAGGAATATGTGGGGAAAAGGAAGGAACGATCTCACATTTTTAAGAAAATATCTTTCAGTTTTACCTCCTCTCCTCTTCAAAAGCAGTGGACTTTCTTATCTTTGACCTCACAGTGCCTTAGCCTGGAGAGTTTTACCTACCCTTATGCCTTGTATAAACAAAATCCTAAGAACCAAGGATTTGGAATTGGACTAAAACTGGGTTCAATTCCAACTCTACCTCTTACAAACTGTGAACTTGGGCACATTTCTTAATCTTCCTTAGACTCTATTTCCTCATGTTTAAATGATAATGCCTAACCTTGAAGAGCTGTGGGGAAGACGAAAGAAAATGTATATAAAATATCTATAGAATGTCTAGCTCATATGGGCATTCAATACATGGTAACATTTAACACTCTCCTTTGTATTCCACTATAATTTACACTTTACAGTAATTATGCACCTTCTTTAAAAGTTTAAGAATTAAATGAATTAATTTAGGTAAAGGCTTTATAACAGTGCCTGGCACATAGTAGGCAAGCATTAAGTATTAGTTGTGGTGGTTGCTACTATTACATACCAATATCATAGTATGTTTCATAGTGAACTACAGTTTCTTTATTTGCTGTTTTCCTTTCTATCTAGTACTTAGCATAAAACCTGGCACGAAAGAGGTACTCAATTAACATCTGTTGACCAGTTGAATAAATAATGGATGAGGCCAGGCGTGGTGGCTCATGCCTGTAATCTCAACACTTTGGGAGGCCAAGATGGGTGGATCCCTTGAGGTCAGAAGTTCAAGACCAGCCTGGCCAACATGGCAAAACCCCATCTCTACCAAAAATACAAAAATTAGCCTGGTGTGGTGGCACACAACTGTAATCCCAGCTACTCGGGAGACTGAGGCAGGAGAAACACTACAACCCAGAAGGCAGAGGTTGCAGTGAGCCGAGATCGCGCCACTGCATTCCAGCCTGGGTGACAGAGTGAGATTCTGTCTCAATCAATCAATCAATCAATCAATAAAGGATGCATGACTGAAGGAATGAATTTAATTTATCATACAATTTTACAAAGTAGCCATTCAATAATATATTGTTTTATAAATTAATTAATCCTATCAAGCCCATATGATAAGAAAGGGAGTTATTATTATGGCCCTTTTTACAGATAATAAACAGAGTCCCAGAGAGATCAAAGGTTAAGGTCAGCCAGGTAGAGCAGGAATTAGAATCCCTTTGGTCTCTCAGAAACTAATTCTAGATTTTTTTTCAACGAGACCTTAATCCCTCCCACATTTTAAATATTACCTAAGGGATTGGTCAAGTTTTTCAAGTCTCTATGGTTTCAAGAAGGGCCCTCAAAGTCAGAAGATGCTACCAATAAATGATGGAAGGGTGAAGAAAGACCATGACCAAATGAGAAGTTCAGTATCTCTTCTTTGGGAAAGAAGGAATAAAGACCTGATTTCATCTGGCCTGAGCATAGAGAAAGCAATTAAGTCTGACTAATAAGAGGATAAAGCCCTCACTGTAAACAAATGAGGATGGAGGACACTGAGAGGATCAAATATGAAAGGCAGTATGGGGAGTTAGAGCCACTCGTCTACTCCTGTAAAGAGCATGACTACTCACAGTCTTTCTAGCGGGTAGTCACTCTTTCATTTAACAAATACTTAGTCCCTGCAATGATCTAGGATAATAACTCAACAGTGTATATCAAGAGCCTTTAAAAAGTTATACCTGGCCGGGCGCAGTGGCTCATGTATGTAACCCTAGCACTTTGGGAGGCCAAGGCAGGCAGATGGATTGAGCCTAGGAGTTCAAGACCAGCCTGGGCAACATGGTGAAACCCTACAAAAAATAAAAATAAAATTAAAAAAAATTAGCCAGGTGTGGTGCCGTGCACTTGTAGTGCCAGCTATTCAAGAAGCTGAGGTGGGAGGATAGTTTGAGCCCAGGAGGCGGAGGTTGCAGTGAGCTGAGATTGTGCCACTGCACTCCAGTCACTGCACCCCAGCCTGTGTGACAGAGCCAGACCCTATCTCAAAAAAATAAAAATAAAAATAAATTATACCTTCACTCCAATTACCCTATTCCTATTTATCCTAAGAAAACTACCAAAAAAATAAAGACTGAGGCCAGGCGCAGTGGCTCACACCTGTAATCCCAGCACTTTGGGAGGCCAAGGTGGGAGGATCACTTGAGCCAGGAGTTCGAGACCAGCCCGGGCAACACAGGGAGAACCCATCTCCACAAAAAACAAAATTTTAAATTAGCTGGGCATGGGGTGTTCGCCTACAGTCCCAGCTACTTGGGAGGCTAAGACAGAAGATCTCGAGCCCAGGAGTTTGAGGCTGCAGTGAGCTGTGATCACGCCACTGCACTCCAGCCTAGGTGACAGACCCAGACCCTGTCTCAAAAATAGAAAATGCTTATGATATAATGTTAAATTAAAAAATACTCCAAAAGACTACCTATAGTATGATCTTAATTATATAAAATAAATAGAAAAAAAACTTCAAAAAAGCCTAAATGCTGAGTTTTAAAAGTAATCTCTGCATGGCAGAATATAGAGCGATATTATTTGCCAAGTTTTCTAGTTTTTCCATAACAGGCATTTTTCCAAAAAACAAGGTGAAGGAGATTTTAGGACAAAAAATGAATATATAAAATGCCATCAGGATTAATTAAGATCATTAGAATCTCTGCTAGGTGAGAAACATATTAGAGGCATATTATTTTTACACAAAAAGATTATGTTAATCCTACTGAGAATTGACACAAATGCAAGGGTGAAATACAATGGGAGAGCAATAAAGAGGAAATCCCATCAGACTCCCAGGAGGTCACTTTCATTTCAGAATGTCTGTCATCAGCAAAGCCAAGTTCAATGAGTAAAGAGAGAAATGAAACTTGATGGGTGAAGAAGATGGCAAGCTAAGACCCACTGCTAAAATCCATAAGTTCCTCAAGATCATGGAACCTGTCAATTACCATATAGCGTGACAAAGGCCATGGAAGGAAGGCAGCAGCAGGAATGTGGCAAAGTCAAGAGAAGGTCAAGGTAGCCTTTGTTGAAGATGACTAATTTAAAGGAGAAAGACATTAGCCTAGAGGAAAAGGGCATTCTAGGAAAAAGGGAGAGCCTAGAGAATAGAAACAGCTTAACATGCCTTGGGAAATGACATGTATTTCAGTGTTGCTAGAGTCCAAAGTGCAAGGCAGGCTGTGGTGAAAGATGTAGTTGCAAAAGTCATCAGGGGCCTGTCTCAGAGGACCTGAATATCTGGTCTACCATTAAGCCAAGCAGCTATACATGAGTCAGTCAACAAGGGTACCATTCCAGTAGAAGAGAGAGTTAGGCAGCATTATAATAAAGATAAGTGATGGGTGGTTAGAGCAGAAGAGGAACACCCAATCCAGCCTGGGGGCTCATGAAAGGCCTCTAAGAGAAAATGCCAAAGTAAGGCACAAAGGAAAAATGGGGCTAAGGTCCCAGCACTTTGGGAGGTCGAGGCGGGTGGATCTCTTGAGGTCAGGAGCTCGAGACCAGCCTGGCGAACATGGCGAAACCCCATCTCTACTAAAAATATAAAACAAATTAACTGGGCGTGGTCATGGGCGCCTGTAAAACCAGCTACTTGGATGGTTGAGGCAGAAGAATTGCTTGAACCCGGGAGGCAGCGGTTGCAATGAGCCAAGATCTCACCACTGCACTCCAGCCTGGGTGACAGAGTAAGATTCCATCTCAAAAAAAAAAAAAGAGAAAATGGGGCTAAGGGCTGCAACGTCCAAAGTGAGGACACACAGTTGATACCTGGCCTAATCATAAACTCAGCAAATCAGAGAACTAGTGCCTGGCAAGGCTTCCAAAGAGGGAACCATTCTTATCAACAGAATGTAACCTCCAAGGACCTTGTTAGTCTTGTTCACTGCCAGGCTTCTAATACTAAAAATAGTGGGCATAAAGAAGCTGCTCTATAAATATTTGTGGAAAAAAAGAAAAAGAGAAAGGAAGGCTTGCTGTTATATTAAAAAGCAATGGGGCTGGTAAGCTCCAACCCAGTGTCATGCCAAAGACAAAAGAACAACAAAAAAAGCAATGGGGCTGGGTATAGTGGCTCACACTGTAATCCCAGCATTTTGGGAAGCAGACGCAGGAGGATCATTTGGGCCAGGAGTTCAAGAACAGCCTGGGCAACATAAGTGAAACCCTGGTTCTACCAAAAAAAATTTTTTTAATTAGCCAAGTGTGGTGATACATGCCTGTAGTCCTAGCTGGTTGGGAGGCTGAGGCAAGAGGATGGCTTGTGCCTAAGAATTCGAGGTTGCAATAAGCTATGATCGTGCCACTGCAGTCCCTCCTGGATGACAAAGTGAGAATTGTCACTTTTAAAAAAAAAAAGGCAGTGAGAACCCATTCCCTCCATCCCACCACTAGCAAATTAATAATAATAATAATAATTTAAATAATTAAATAAAATAAAAAGACAAATCCTATATGATTCTACCTATATGAGGTACTCAGAGTCATCAAAATCACAGAGACAGAAGATCGAATGGGGATTGTCAGGGGGGTAGGGAGAATGGGGCAATAGGGAGTTTGTGTTTAATGGGTAGAGAAATTTCAGATCTGTAAGATAAAGAGTTTTAGAGATAGTTGACAGTGATGGTCACACAACATTATGAATGTATTTAATACGCTAAACTATACACTTTCAAAAAATTGAGATGATAAATTTTATGTTATATGTATTTTACTGCAATAAAAAAAAATTGAGGGCCAGGTGCAGTGGCTCACGTTGGTAATCCCAGCACTTTGGAAGGCCAAGGCAGGAGGATCGCACAAGGCTAGGAGTTCAAGGACAGCCTGGCCAACATGGCAAAACCCTGCCTCTACTAAAAAAAAAAAAATACAAAAATTGACCAGGCATGGTGGCACGCACCTATAATCCTAGCTACTTGGGTGGCTGAGGCACAAGAATCACCTGAACCCAGGAGGCAGAGGTTGCAGTGAGCCAAGATCACACCACTGCACTCCAGTCTGGGCAACGGAGCAAGACACTGTCTCAAAAAAAAAAAGAGGAAAAAAAGCAATGGGAAATTCACAACCGCCAAAAGGTGGAAGCAACTCAAGTGTCTGTTGATGGATGAATGGATCAAAAAAATGTGGTATATACATACAATGGAGTATTATTCAGACTTAAAAAGGAAGGAAATTCTGACACGTACCAAAACATGATGAACCTTGAAGATATTATGCTAAGTGAATTAAACCAGTAATAAAGGACAAACACTATTATTCTACTCATATGAGATACACAGAACAATCCAATTCATGGAGACAAAGTTGAATGGTGGTTGCCAGGAGCTGGGGTAGGGGAGAAATGAGAGTTACTGTTTAAGACAATAGTGCCACCACTCCTGGCTAAGTTTTTTTTTTTTAATTTTTAGCAGGGATGGGGTCTTACTATGTTGCCTAGGCTGGTCTTGAACTCCTGAGCTCAAGCGATCCTCCTGCCTTGGCCTCCCAAAGTGCTGGGATTATAGGCATGAGCCACCATCTCTGGCCAAAATTAAGTTATTAATTTAAAAATCCTGTATTCATGAATTGGAAATTTTAATATTGTTAAGATGTCACCTCCAAAGCAATCTACAGATCTTATCAAAAGTCCAAAAACCTCTTTTTGTAGAACTGGAAGAGCCAGTCCTCATATTCACATGGAATTGCAAGAGGCCACAAACAGCAAAAATAATCTTGAAAAAGAACAACAAAGTTGGAAGACTCACACTTTCCAATTTCAAAATTCACTATAAAACTATGGTAATCGATACAGCATGGTACTCGCATAAGGACAGGTATATAGACCAATGGAACAGAATCACAAGTCTAGAAATAAATCCATACATCTCTGGCCAATTAATTTTCAACCAACATGCCAAGACTAATCACTAATCAATGAGAAAAGAAAAGTTTCTTCAACAAATGGTGCTTGGACAACTGAATATCTACAGGCAGAAGAATGAAGCTGGACCCCTACCTCAAACCACATATAAAACTTAATTCAAAATTAAAGACCTAAATATAAGGGATACAACCATGATAAATCTTCATGACCTTGGATTTGGCAATGGATTCTGAACTATGACAACAAAGTAAGCAATCAAAGAAAAAATAAACTGGACTTCATCAAAATTTAAAATTTTTGTGCATCAAACGATATTATCAAAAAAGTGAAGAGGCCAAATGTGACAGCTTACACCTGCAATCCCAGCACTTTAGAAGGGCCAAGGTAGGAATTCAACATCAGCTTGGGCAAATAGCAAGACACTGCCTCTACAAAAAATGTAAAAAAGAAAAATTACCCAAGCATGGTGGTGCACATCTGTAGTCCTAGCTACTTAGGAGTCTGAGACTGGAGGATCACTTGAGCCCAGGAATTCAAGGCTGCGGTGAACTATGATCATGCCACTGTACTCCAACCTGGGCAACAGAGCAAGACCCTGTCTCTAAAAAAAAAAAAAAAAAAAAAAAGTGGAAAGACAACCCACTGAATAAGAAAAAATATTTGGAAATCATATATTTGATAAAGGTCTGGAATCCGGACTATATAAGGAACTTTTATAATTCAACAACAAAAAGGCAAAAAAAAAAAAAATTTTAATGGGCAAAGGACATGAATAGGTATTTCTCTAAAGGTATACAAATGGCCAACAAGTAGATGAAAAGATGCTTAACATCATTTATTAATCATTAGAGAAATACAAGTCAAAACCATAAGATATATTATGCCATACTCATTACAATAGCTATTTATTTTTTAAAAAAGAAGAAGGAAATAAGTATAAGCAAGGATGTTAAAAAATATGAACCCTCAAACATTGTTGGTGGGAATGTTAAAATGGTGCAGCCATTATGGAAAAGTCTGGCAGCTCCTCTGCTAGTTAAACATAGAATTACCATATGACCCAGCAATTCCATTCCTAGGTATACACTGAACTAAAACAGGTACTAAAATAAATACATCTACCCACATGTTCATAGCAGCACCTTCACAATAGCGAAAGATAGAAACAACTCAAACGTCCATCAGTGGACAAACTGTAGCATATCTATACAATGTAATATTACTCAGCCATAAAAAGCTTTAAAAAGTAATGAAGTACTAGCCGGGCGTGTTGGCTTATGCCCGTAATCCTATCACTTTGGGACGCCGAGGCAGGTGGATCACCTGAGGTCAGGAGTTCGAGACCGGCCTGGCCAACATGATGAAACCCTGTCTCTACTAAAAATACAAAATTAGCTGGTCATGGTGGCAGTCACCTGTAATCCCAGTTACTCGGGAGGCTGAGGCAGGAGAATCGCTTGAATCCAGGAGGCGGAGGATGCAGTGAGCCGAGATCGCGCCACTGCATCGAGCCTGGGCAACACTGGCAGTGACCCAAGATCATACCACTGCACTCCAGCCTGAGCGACAAGAGTGAAACTGTCTCAAAAAAAAAAAGTAATGAAGTACTGATACATGCTACAGCATGAACATCAAAAACATTATTCTGAGTGAAAGAAGCCAGATGCAAAAGGCCACACATTATATGATTTCTTTTATATAAAATATTTACAATTGGTAAATCCATAGAGATGAAAAGCAGATTAGTTGCCGCCAGGGGCTAGGAGGGAATAGGAATGGGAATGACTGTTTAGTGGATACAGAACTTCTTTTTAGGGTGATCAATGTTTTGGAACTAGACAGAGATGGTTGTTGCACAACACTGGGAGTGTATTAAATGCCACTAAATTGTTCACTTTAAAGTGGTTAATTTCAACAATGATATATAAATTTCACCTCAATCCCTCAGTCAATAATGAGAATCCTCCCTTCACACAAACTTCCCAAAAATTGTTTTGTTATCTTTCTTCTTCCCATTGCCAAGTTGTAATCAAGCATTGCTTGATTCTTGGCAGGAAAAAAAACAGCACTGAGGAGTTGCCACAAATGAGAACAATGTAAACAAAATCCTCAGTACCACTACTGCAGCATTAAATAAATCCAAGCAGTTATATCCACAGAATTAGTCTCACTTAAGAAAAGGCCAATGAAGGTTTTTTTCTTGTTGTTGTTTTCTGAGACAGAGTCTCACTCTGTCTCCCAGGCTGGAGTGCAGTGGCATGAACATGGCTCACTGCAGCCTCGACCCCTCGGACTCAAGCGATCCTCCCAGCTCAGCCTCCTGAGGAGCTGAGACTATAGACATGTGCCACCATGACCATGCCTGGCTTTTTTTTTTTAAAGAGATGGGGTCTCACTATGTTGCCCAAGTGGTCTTGAAATTATGGCTTCAAGCATTCCTCCCACCTCAGCCTCCCAAAGTGCTGGAATTATAGGCATGAGCAACCATGCCCAGTCTCCAATGAAGGTACTTTTGCTAAGGTGTGTGAAGATACCTGTTGCTGGGATCAGGAGACATGAAAAAACTAAGAAAAAAAATACTGAGAAAAGTTTTCAATAGCTTTGTAAGCCTTCAGAATGTAAAGTACATTAAGAAATAAAAACTTAAATGCAGTGGGTACAAACATGGCAAATCTGAAAGCTAAACCTGACTAAGGCTATCAACCTGCCATGTGCTAAAAACAAATGTACTCACTCAGAAAAACTGAAAGAGGTACTACATACCTATTAAAACAGCTAAATTTAAACAGTGATAATACTAAATGCCGACAAGTATGCAAAGAAACTGGACTTCTCATACATTTCTGGTAGGAATGTAAAATGGTACAGACACTCTGGAAAATAATTTGGCAGTTTCTTATAAAACTAAACATGCAGCCAGGCATCGCTGCTCACACTTGTAATCCCAGCACTTTGGGAGGCCAAGGCGGGCACATAGCCTGAGACCAGGAGTTCAAGACCAGCCTGGCCAACCTGGTGAAAATGTCTCGACTAAAAATACAAAAATTAGCCAGGCATGGTGGCACACACCTGTAGTTGCAGCTACTCAGGAGGCCGAGGCTGGGAGAACTGCTTGAACCTGGGAGGCAGAGGTTGCAGTGAGCCAAGATTGCGCCACTGCACTCCAGCCTGGGTGACAGAGCAAGACTCTGTCCCAAAAAAAAAAAACAAAAAACAAAAAGACCGGGCGCGGTGGCGGTGGCTCATGCCTGTAATCCCAGCACTTTGGGAGGCTGAGGCAGGCGGATCACCTGAGGTCGGGAGTTCGAGATCAGCCTGACCAACGTGGAGAAATCCGTTTCTACTAAAAATACAAAAAATTTGCCAGGCGTGGTGGCATGTGCCTGTAATCCCAGCTACTCAGGAGGCTGAGGCAGGAGAATCGCTTCAACCTGGGAGGTGGAGGTTGCAGTGAGCCGAGATCACGCACCATTGCACTCCAGCCTGGGCAACAAAAGTGAAACTCCATCTCAAAATAAAAAAAGTTATCCTTCTCTCCTAGGCTTCCAAGAAATTCAGGGGTAAATTTGTAGTTCACCTATAGCAACTGGGGAGACATATATATATATATATTATTCTATTTTCAATAGTACTCAGGGTTTTTCTTTTTTAGGTTATTTTATTAGATTACTTTTGTAAACTACTCTCAATCCCTTGTGGAATAAATACAAAGACCACACAAACGTGGTAAATGCTACTCTGTCCCTAATAAGTACATTAAAATTATTCCATAGAGAACTAGAAATGGCATAGCCATTCACTCTTTTTTTAAGCATCTGATCATATAAGTAGAGTCATTCACTTTTTTGTTTTTTAATTCACAAACCAAGATCTTTATGAGGCCTCCCTTCTTTTACTGAAATAACTTTTACTTTTATATCTGTATCAACTAAGGGGTAAAAGTGACACTTTAGTCACTTTGGACAATAAAAATAAATTTTTAGATAATTTTAATACCCTTTTATCCCATACGATTCTTGATCTTGAATTTCAATTCTGCAATCTTAGGACTGTGGTTTAAAACATTACAGGAGGATTTTCTTTTTTTTTTTCCAAAGACTGAGTCTCACTCTGTAGCCCAGGCTGGAGTGCAATGGTGCAATCTCAGCTCACTGCAACCTCCACCTCCCAGGTTCAAGCAATTCTCCTGCCTCAGCCTCCTGAGTAGCTGGGATTACAGGCGCACGCCACCACGTCCAGCTAATGTTTGTATTTATAGTAGAGATAGGGTTTCACCATGTTGGTCAGGCTGGTCTCAAACTCCTGACTTCGTGATCCGCCTGCCCTGGCCTCCCAAAGTGCTGGAATTACAGGCGTGAGCCACCGCACCCAGCCTACAGGGGAATATTTACAGCTGTATGACCTCTCTTCATCTCTCTGACCCTCATCATAAATGAGGATAGTAACACTTACGCTGAAAGGTTCTTTTGGGGATTATATAATATATGCAAATTATCTAGCAGGTCCTTATAAACAGTATCATTTGACTCAGACCTTGGTCTACAACCTAGATCTCTTGCTTCAAGGAGAAAGTGTTTTCCATCACAGAATGAAGCGTATAATGCTAGTTAGACTTTTTCATTTGATTTCTTGCTTAATCTAGAGTCTGAGTTTAACATTCAATAAAGAATAGAAGGTTGGCCTGGCACGATCGCTCATGCTGGTAATCTCAGAACTTTGGGAGGCTGAGGCAGGCAGATCACCTGAGGTGAGGAGATCAAGATCAACCTGGCCAACACGGTGAAACCCTGTCTCTACTAAAAATACAAAAATTAGCCGGACATGATGGTGGGCGCCTGTAATCCCAGCTACTTGGATGCTGAGACAGGAGGATTGCTTGAACCCAGGAGGTGGAGTTTGCAGTGAGCCAAGATCGCACCACTGCATTTCAGCCTAGGCAACAGAGTAAGACTCTGTCTCAAAAAAAAGAATAAAAGGTTACCTACTAACAGGGTGGTTCTGCCTGAACCTGAGCAAAACGTACCCTGAGTACCAGCTGAGCATATTTAGTAAGGCATCAATTCACACGGGCCCCAGAGAGGGGACATTCACTGTAATATTCAATGGGACATCACCATAATATATAGTATCCTCGTGACCAGTATTTCTAATGCTACTACTCTCTGTATCTTTTATTATTATTTAATAGTGATGCAATGGATTAGTGAAGTCAATTAAACTACTCCAAGAAAAGACTCGAAAAATAGCTTTTCAAGCAATTCCAAACCAGGCCAGGATTTCATCCCCATCAGGTATTTACTTGATGTTCACCTCTATCATTCACCTAAGGCAGACATCTCAAACATTCCTGGTATATGCTTTGGAAGGCTCCATCACATTTATTTTCCATCATAACTCAACCAACAATTTCAGCTCTCCCGTTTGTTAGCTAAGCAACTATCCTCTGAGGACAATACTGCTTATCTAATAATAGCTATCTAATACTGCTATTAGCTGAGGTTTAGAGATAATTTATGTAGAATGCCTACACACTATCTGGCCCAATAAACGTATGCAATAAACTGTAGCTGCTATTGTCATCACTAATAAATATTCACGAGTGCCCACTATTTTCCCAACACTGTGCTGAGCAGTAGGAGGAAAACAGTAAGTATGTAAGATGCCATCCATTCTAAGGGGGTACACAATCAAGTTGAAAGAAAAAAAAAATTATACAATGGTTATATGTAATTGTATAATTAAATGGTCAATTGTTTGGTATAGACTAAGTTCAGAAGGGGAGACCCAAAAGCTTTTCCTTCTATTAACTCACAACAACCCTTTGAGCCAGGCAGGCAGAAATTATCATTCCCATTTTACAGAAAAAGAAACTGAGACTAAGAAAGACTAAGTCATAGAGTTCAATCATTTACCCAATTAACAAATACTAGGCTATGAACTATGCTTAAGTGCAGAAGAGAAATAGATTAGTTAGGACTCTTGGTTGTAAATGACAGAAAACAAACTGGTTTAAGCAAAAAGCCTAATTACTGACTTAATTAACTGAGGCCCAAGATTAGGGTAGACTATGGTGGAGGCTCAATTCAGAGCTCAAAGTCACTGCCTCCACCTGTTTAGCTTCACTTCCTCAATGTTGGTTCTATCATAAGCCAGACTCTCTCCTCCTAAGGTGGCAAAATGGCTATAGCAGCTCCAGCCACACACCTCTGTAGTGTAGCAGGACTTGGAGAAGGTCTTCTATAGCGGCTTACAAAAGTCCTGAACATTCAGTTTAGACCAGCTTAAAACACATTTACCCCTAAACCAATCACTATGGCCGGAAGAATGTGATGCCTTGGTTACCTTGAGCCTGGTTCACATAACACTAGAGCTAAGAAATTCCTACCCAAACTATATGAAGCAAAGCAGGGGGGAGGTGTGGTTCCTAAAACCAACATCTGAGGCCATTGCTGAGATAAGAAGGAAGCTACAGAAGCAAACTACAAATGTCCACCTCAAGGAACCCTGTGACTGTGCTCTCACAGAATATACAGTTTGGGGCAGTGATTCTCAAGTGCAGATGGGCTGGTAGTAAAAAGAAGGCTAGAGGTGGCCAGGCGCAGTGGCTCACGCCTATAATCCCAGCACTTTGGGAGGCCAAGGTGGGCAGATCACAAGGTCAAGAGATCAAGACCATCCTGGCTAACACAGTGAAACCCCGTCTCTACTAAAAATACAAAAAAAAAAATTAGCTGGGCATGGTGTCGGGCGCCCGTAGTCCCAGCTACTCAGGAGGCTGAGGCAGGAGAATGGAATGAACCCAGGAGGCAGAGCTTGCAGTGAGCTGAGATCGCGCAACTGCACTCCAGCCTGGGCGACACAGTGAGACTCCGTCACAAAAAAAAAAAAAAAAAAAAGAAGGCTAGAGGTATAGCTCTAGTCTAAAAGAAACATAATTGCAGAACAATGTGGTAAGTGCCATACAGCCAATACTTAAAACAACGTGTCAGAGTGTCCAGGAAAAAAAAAAAGGAAGGCCACCCTAAGACTTTAGGGAAGTCTTCAAAGAGGTGGTACTGACCAAACTTAGTCCTGAAGAAAAAGGGTCAGTTAGCAAATCACCTAACTACAACTATAGCATCAAAGTTTCCTGATTCCCTATCAAGAGCTCTTTCCACTACTAGGGTGGAGAGGAAAATGGGCACTGAGGCCTCAAGGGAAGTGACTGCCACAGAAGCTCATTTAAACCAGCTGTCAAAATTGCTCAGCACTTAAGTACACTGTAAAGGACTTGTCCACACTGCAGCAGGACCACAAAGACCCTGACAACCTTACAGGAGGATGTTTCAGTTAGATAACAGTCATGATCTAAGCATGGAATGGGATATTCTGTCATTTCCCAGCATTTTGGCTTCCTCACCTACTACCAGGCTGCTCTTTCCACTATATGCGTAACGGCTGACAGTTCAAACAGAAAAGTACCAAACACAGTAAGCTAAATTGAGACCACATTATAAGTTAAAGGAAAAACCCACTATACTGATATTTCCACACATGCAGTTTATGCTCATTGAGACAGGAGGTAAATAAAGGGTTTGCATCGGTAGGTAGGGTTTGCATCTATCTCTACCACTTACTAATTGTGTGACCCTGAGCAAGTCACTTTTCTGACCCTCAATTTCCTCATCTGTAAAATGGGAAACATTATAATACCTTTCTTGGAGCTACTATAGGAATTAAAACAAGATAAAAGGAAAGCACTTGGTCAAATTGTAAAGCATCAGTAAATATTAGTTATGTTCCCTAACTCTTTAAGGAGAGACATTTCAAAGTACTATATGACTTCTAACTTCATAAAGAGCAGAATCCTCAACACTCCATTCCATTTGGACTTGAAACAATAAAAAATCTTTCCAGGGAAGGCTTTTAAAAACAATACCATATTAAACATTGGTGATTTGTTTTAAAAGCTGCAATTAAGAGGATTCCACTGTTTCACCAGGCTCTTGCGGCATCCAATTAAGTAATAACATGAGAGAGGAGCTCTTAATTATGGAGGAAAACTTCCACAAGCCAGTGGCAGGTGTGCAGGGCTCAAGCTGAGATCAAAATAGTTGACTACAGCATTAATTCCCCCCTTTCCTTTTTCCCAAAGACACTTAAGTTTGCATGCAATTAGTTGAAAAGTAAACCAGACCAAATGACTGCCATATTTCAAGCTTTATTACCTTTTATCATGTTAACATCTACCAATTGAGTTTTAAGGGATTAACACCAGAACAGATGGTTTAAATGCACAATAAGTGAGCTTCAGTGATCAGAAATGGTAATAGCCAAGCTGAATTTACACTTACACTGGGATGTTAGCATTTTTCCCTAAATTGTGTCTATTGTAAATTAAAGTTATTCCTTTTCTATTTTCACATATATACTTTGTAAATAATATTAAAAATAAAACCCTCTTCAAGGGGATGCATTTTTTTCTAATTTGCCTGCCTTCCCTCCAAATGTAAAGCAAACTTCTTTTATCCCTTGATGTAATCAATAAAAATTAAAGCCAAACATCCAGCATTTACTTATTTTGCAAGTTACAGACAATGGTTTTAGCAGCACCTACCAAAAAAGCACACCCCCAAAATCCACATGGAAAGACAATTAAGCATCCATTTGTTGAAATAGCCCTTTTTAGGGCTACACTTGATTGCCAATGAAAAGAGCTCCTGGAAAGTCAGACCTCCAAATTTGGTGTTGGGAAGCAACTCAGGAAATATGTACACACTTACACAGGATGAGCCATCATGATAAGAAAAACACAAGATTTGGATTCAAGTCCCAGTCTGTCATACACTCTACTCATTCAAGCAATTACAGAGTAGCTGTTTTCTATCAGGTACAATATTGAATGCTAATGATAAAAAGCAAGACATATTACAAATTATTACTATAAAATGTTACAGGTCCTATAACAGGCATCAACACAGGAGAAGCATGAGGAGAAAACAGTCAATTCTACCTGGAAAAGAGAGCAACAACTTTACAGTGGAAGCAATGTAGGTGGTAGATTTTTAAAAATAAAATAAGGCCATGTTTGCCAAGTTGAGAAGGGAAGAGGACCATTTGAGTAGAAGAAGCAACACGAGTAGAGATTTGGCAGTTTAACAGCGTATAGTTAAGTCCCAAGGATTGCAAGTGGTTTGGCAGGGTTGGGCTGAGAAGAAGGAGTCACAGGAGGTGACCCTGGCAGCAGATGGAAGAATGGAGGCTGCCGTCCACACAAGAGCTGCTGAGAGTCTGAGCTAAGGCAACAGCTGTGGGGATGGAGAGAAAGGAATAGATTCGAGAAATGTTAAGGTGATAGTATCTATACAACTTAGTGACTGAAGGAATATGAGAAGATAAGGAAATCTCAAATTTCCGGCTTGAGTGACTGAGAAAATGGTGATGTCATTCACTGAGATAAGAAATACAAAGAGAAGAAGGTATGGAGGGAAAAGGATAACGAGTTCGGTTTTGAGCCAGACTTGTGACTTTAAACCAGTCACTTGATACCTCATAATCAGTTCCCCAGTTAGCAAAATGGTTATACCACTTACCTCAAAGAAATTCTCAATGTGGTGAGAATTAAGATAATAAATGAGGAAAAGGTTTTATTATTTTTACCCTCTACCTATGACTCTGTGGAAGAAACTGCTAATAGTATCCATTTTCCCTTGCTTCCTTTTAATACAGACACTCCCCTACCACAACCCTCTGCCAAAATAACTGAGCACATGCAACCGAGTTGGAAACTACATTTCCAAATGTTATTTATAACTTGATATGTCTTGTTTCTAAAGATAATGAATGAGATGCTGGGAAAATTGACATATAGCTCACTTTTTTTTTAAGGCAACTATGTGTCCTCTACTCTCTCTTCTCCCTTCTCATGGACTTATTTCAAGGTAGATGTGTTAATAAGCTATCATTGAGAATGCAGATGAGGGCATCACCCCCGGACAACAAGATAGAAGGAGCCTGGATCTCTAGATGATTTCATGGAGCAGAACCTCTGCCCACTGTGGTCATAAGAGACTTACCCCTGAACTGTTTTATAAGAGATAAATGTCCATCTTGTTTGAGCCACTGAATGTTTGGGTCTCTTTCAGCAGCTACCCTGTACTCTAACTACTCACCTTTCAAGCTTGTAAAATCTGTAAGGAAACTGAGCAAGACAAATTTTAGGGCCCTAGAAATCTACTAGACGTTGGCGGTACCTTTTAGATTGGAGAGAGGAACATCCATGAGTATATATGCACATGCACAACTAACAGACATAAAATGAGAATAAGAGTTGGATTGATGTGTGCCAAGCAACAAAGCAGGCCCAGGACTGTAGCCAACTAATCAAGGCTGAAAATTCCAATTTCTTATCTCATATGGCTTCCACATTAAAACAATTAATTCTTAAAAGATCCTGTAATATGTAAATTACTACCTGATACTCAAATCTACAATCTGGAACAACGGAATCAATTATGACACTCTTAGGTGAGGGGTTAATTTACCTGAATATAACAATCTCAGACTAAAATAAGAAAAGAAGCTTAGGAATTCTTAAATATTTTGCACTATAATAATACACAAAAATAATGCAGGGCAGGGCACATGGAAAACCAAGTAGCTATGCTATGACATGACTGTATTTGAATGTGATATAACCTAGAAGCTAAATGAAGTATAATGGCTTCTTCTCAAGGGTCAGGAAGAAGGCTATTAAGAACTAGACCCTTGGTCGGGGGTAATGGCTCACACTTGTAATCCCAGCACCTTGGGAGGCCAAGGCGGGCAGATCACAAGGTCAGGAGTTTGAGCCCAGCCTGGCCAACTGAGTGAAACCCCGTATCTACTAAAAATACAAAAATTAGCTGGGTATGGTGGTGGGCACCTGTAATTCCAGCTACTCAGGAGGCTGAGGCATGAGAATTGCTTGAACCCAGGAGGCGGAGGTTGCAGTGCACCAAAATCCAGCCACTGCACAAGCGAAACCCTGTCTCAAAAAAACAAAAAAACAAAAACAAAAACAAAACTGAAAAACTAATTTGCCACTGTCATATCTTATTTATATAAAATACAAAAGAAATCTGACAAGGCAATCAAAAAGAATTCAATACAATTAAGTTCACCTAGACATCAAAAAAATTGTTTCTTCGGTGTTACAAAATGCTTAAGTGTAATCCCTCTCTTATATGAAGGCTCTGTTATAGACAGTTACCATATACTGGCTCAACTATATTTAATGCCACTATATTAGCACTGTTGTAATTCTCAAACATAATCAATTAGTGACTAAGAACGAAGCAATCAGGAGAAAGCATAGGATATAAAAATAAACTAGCAATTTTAGTATCGCCACTCTTTAATACTAGACACAGCATCAACTTTTTCAGTCATGCATTCCCTCAGCAATCATTATGGAAAACACACTGTTGCCAGCTACTAAAACAGAGATACACAGGAACACACACACACAGCGGTCTTATCCACCTTCAAGTAGCTCTCAACAGTCTGTCTACCATGGAATTTTGCTCGTTGGATTTGAGAAAGAAAGACGCACAGAAAGATTTTTAGGGTTACCTCTTACCTTCAGTTAGTATAAATGAAAGTATCTATTTTACATACGAAAAAGACTATTGTGTATTCCTAAGAAAACAGATGTTGGCTGGGCATGGTGGCTCATGCCTGTAATCCCAGCACTTTGGGAAGCCGAGGCGGGCAGATCACGAGGTCAGGAGTTCGAGACCAGCCTGGCCAATATGGTGAAACCCTGTCTCTACTAAAAATACAAAAATTAGCCGGGCGTGGTGATGCGCACCTGTGGTCTCAGCTACTCAGGAGGCTGAGGCAGAAGAATCACTTGAACCCGGGGGGATCGGAGGTTGCAGTGAGCTGGGATCATACCACTGCACTCCAGCCTGGGCAATAGAGTGAGACTCCACCTCAAAAATAAATAAATAAATAAATAAATAAATAAATAAACAAAATAGATGTGAAGCTCTAATCAACAGCTAAAAGTATTACAGCAGGGGAAAAAAATATGAGATTTGGAGTCAGGAGACCTGGGATGGTGGGGTCCAGATTCTGTTACTCAACAAATGAATGATCTTGTGTAATTAACTCATCTTACTTTTCCTAACCTATAGAATGGATATGAAAAGCATAATTAACTGCTTCACAGAGTTTTAAGACTCAAATAAGAGAGATAATATCTTTCATGTATACCTACATATTCATACAAGCTGTTTCTGAGAAAATATAAGGGTTAAGTACATAGCTCTGAAATCAGATTGCTTGGGTTCTAATCACAGCTGCATCCCTTCATTAGCTGTGAGACTAAGCAAGCTACTTCCTTTCTCTGAGACTCAGTTCTCTCCTCTATAAAACGGGGATAATGAGGATTAAAACAAATACTGCACTTGGCACAAACCCGGCATAAAACACAGTGTTAGCTAGTATCATTATGATTATTCTTAGCTCAGTCCTAAATAAAGTGAGTACAAAGATGAAAAAAAATGGTCCTCCACAAAAAGAGCTACCAGTTTAGTACAAGAAACATATTAGTAAAAAGAAAAATTTTAGACTGGACACAGTGACTCACACCTGTAATCCCAACACTTAAGGAGGCCAAGGCTGATGGATCACTTGAGCTCAGGAGTGTGAGACAAGCCTGGGCAACATGGTGAAACCCCACCTCTACAAAAAATTAGCTGGGCATGATGGCATGCACCTATTGTCCCAGCTACTCAGGAGGCTCAAGTGTAGAGATCACTGGAGCCTGGGAAGCTGAGGCTGCAATGAATCATGATCACGTCACTGTACTCCAGCCTGGGTGACAGAGTGAGATACTGTCTCAAAAAAAAAAAAAGACAAGACAAGAAAAGAAAAAAAATATTTAAGTATCATAAAAATACCTTACAAAGAATTATGCAAATATCAGTTGACATTATTATATATAAAGTTAATATGATAAAGTAACTCAGGCTGATTCTGACTGGGGCCTATGGAAACCCATCTCCTTACTTAGTCACTGTATTATGTTCATACTAGCAGACCAAGAACAGAGAAGAAAGATGCCTAAGTATGTTCTTATAGGCAAATAAAACACAGACTTTGAAACTGTCCTGAACAACAACTATTCTACTGTAATACTTAATACAGAAGACAATGATCCAGACAACATAATGCAGTTACTTGCAATGAAGAAAAACTGACATCCCCCTGGAAAAAAATGAATAAAATTAGTGTAGTACCAAAACTCACAGCCAGAAGCCTCTCATATGGAAAAATGCTTAACTAATACACTGCAGCATTCAGATACATCAATAATTAAACTCTCCCTCTCCCCCTCCCCCTCCCCCCCCCCTCCCCACAGTCTCCCTCTCCCTCTCTTTCCACGGTCTCCCTCTGATGCCGAGCCGAAGCTGGACTGTACTGCTGCCATCTCAGCTCACTGCAACCTCCCTGCCTGATTCCCCTGCCTCAGCCTGCCGAGTGCCTGCGATTGCAGGCGCGCGCCGCCATGCCTGACTGGTTTTCGTATTTTTTTGGTGGAGACGGGGTTTCGCTGTGTTGGCCGGGCTGGTCTCCAGCTCCTAACCGCGAGTGATCCGCCAGCCTCGGCCTCCTGAGGTGCCGGGATTGCAGACGGAGTCTCGTTCACTCAGTGCTCAATGGTGCCCAGGCTGGAGTGCAGTGGTGTGATCTCGGCTCGCTACAACCTCCACCTCCCAGCCGCCTGCCTTGGCCTCCCAAAGTGCAGAGATTGCAGCCTCTGCCCACCACCACTCCGTCTGGGAAGTGAGGAGCGTCTCTGCCTGGCCGCCCATCGTCTGGGATGTGAGGAGCCCCTCTGCCTGGCTGCCCAGTCTGGAAAGTGAGGAGCATCTCTGCCCGGCCGCCATCCACCTAGGAAGTGAGGAGTGCCTCTTCCCGGCCGCCATCCCATCTAGGAAGTGAGGAGCGTCTCTGCCTGGCCACCCATCGTCTGAGATGTGGGGAGCGCCCCTGCCCCACCGCCCCACCGCCCCGTCTGGGATGTGAGGAGCGCCTCTGCCCAGCCACGACCCCGTCTGGGAGGTGAGGAGCGTCTCTGCCCAGCCGCCCCGTCTGAGAAGTGAGGAGACCCTCCGCCTGGCAGCCGCCCCATCTGAGAAGTGAGGAGCCCCTCCGCCCGGCAGCCACCCCGTCTGGGAAGTGAGGAGCCCCTCCGCCCGGCAGCCACCCCGTCTGGGAAGTGAGGAGCGTTTCCGCCCGGCAGCCACCCCGTCCGGGAGGGAGGTGGGGGTCAGCCCCTGCCCGGCCAGCCGCCCCGTCCGGGAGGGAGGTCAGGGGTCAGCCCCCGCCCGGCCAGCCGCCCCGTCCGGGAGGGAGGTGGGGGGTCAGCCCCCGCCCGGCCAGCCGCCCCGTCCAGGAGGTGAGGGGCGCCTCTGCCTGGCCGCCCCTACTGGGAAGTGAGGAGCCCCTCTGCCCAGCTACCACCCCGTCTGGGAGGTGTACCCAACAGCTCATTGAGAACGGGCCATGATGACAATGGCGGTTTTGTGGAATAGAAAAGGGGGAAAGGTGGGGAAAAGATTGAGAAATCGGATGGTTGCTGTGTCTGTGTAGAAAGAAGTAGACATGGGAGACTTTTCATTTTGTTCTGTACTAAGAAAAATTCTTCTGCCTTGGGATCCTGTTGATCTATGACCTTACCCCCAACCCTGTGCTCTCTGAAACATGTGCTGTGTCCACTCAGGGTTAAATGGATTAAGGGCGGTGCAAGATGTGCTTTGTTAAACAGATGCTTGAAGGCAGCATGCTCGTTAAGAGTCATCACCACTCCCTAATCTCAAGTACCCAGGGACACAAACACTGCGGAAGGCCACAGGGTCCTCTGCCTAGGAAAACCAGAGACCTTTGTTCACTTGTTTATCTGCTGACCTTCCTTCCACTATTGTCCTATGACCCTGCCAAATCCCCCTCTGTGAGAAACACCCAAGAATGATCAATAAAATAAATAAATAAATAAATAATTAATTAAACACACTGAAAATTTAGGTTGATGTTCCACTTAGGAAAAATTTCATCCACATTACTGAAATGCTGTAAACAGAATCAATTTTCAGGTAAGAGATAATCTGAATAAGCCTCCATAAAATTAAGCATTCTAGCCGGTGGAAGCAGATCCCCCATTTGCCAGCCACCATCTGCACCTCTTTAAATGAAGATACATCAATGTGCTCACCTGAGAGACACCACTGGATTCATGCACAATAATCGCAAGACGCACTTGGAACTTTCCCCTAAAAATGGACACACTTAACTGTTAGAAGGTAGAAAGAGGAATGAAAAAAAATCTATTTTAACTTCTGTACATACTCCTAGAAGGCTTAAAACCAGGATTTCAACTTGAGTGTCATCATGACGGAAGCTACAGTTGTTACCTCTATCCCTATTCCTCAACAGTTCTCCACACACTACCCTGTGTCCTAAGTTTTTCTAATCAAGGAGCCTCCCACTTCCTTGTTCTAGGGATCAAGATTAGACCAAGATCCAAATCTCAAGTCTAAGCTCTTCTCTAAGTCCTCTGGGCCTGCCTCACAGTAGTACCACACCCCATTTTCTCATTTCCACTATGCAGTTACATTCACTCAATACTTTATCTACCCAGAACATCATTCTGGCCTCTTTTCTTCTGCTGTCCCCAAGGACTACCATAATAAAACTCATCAAAATGTCTTTATATAGTTCAAGGGAAATTTTAAATTTGCCTCTTAAAATAGCAGTGAATTCCGACGGGGCACAGTGGCTCATGCCCGTAATCCCAGCACTTTGGGAGGCCAAGACAGGAGGTTGGCTGGAAGACAGGAGGTTGGCTGGAGGACAGGAGTTCGAAACCAGTCTGGGCAACATAGAGACCCTGTCTCTACAAAAAATTCAAGAATGAGCCAGGCATGGTGGTACATGCCTATAATCCCAGCTACTCAGGATACTGAGGTGAGAGGATCACTATGTCCAGGAGTTCCACGCTGCAGTAAGCTATGAGCGGGACTCTGCACTCCAGCCTGGGTGACAGAGCAAGATTCGTCTCAAAATACCAAGGGGCAGGGGTGGGGGCAGGGCATGGCGTTGCACACCTGTGGTCCCAGCTACTCAGGAGGCGAGGCAGGGGGATCACTAAGCCCAGGAGGTGGAGGCAACAGTGAGCCATGAGCCCACCACTGTACTCCAGCCTGGGTGACAGAGCAAGACCCTGTCTCAAAAAAAAAAGTAATTAATTCTCTAAGCCCCACTTAATACTAATTATGAATGTCACATAATAGTTACTATCTTGGCTGGCATTTTTCCAATTTAAAAGGCATTTTCACATTCATTATCTCATTTGATCTTCACAACAGATGGGAAAGTTGGCTATTATTATCTCTATCCCAAGTTTCAAACAGAGAAAGTCAGTTGTCCCATGAAACTTAGCTAGTAAACAGCAATGCTGGACCTCCCACCAAGTTTGTATAATCACAAATCCAATGCCCTTTCCACATATGCACTCACTCTCTTGACCAAGAGAGTATAAAAAAATACATCATCTATCTAACTGCCCCTTAAACAAATTACCTAGATGGAACAGCAAGTTCCTGGAGAAAAATCAGCTCTATTAGTTTAACAGCATCACATGAAAATATAACATAATGGCACTTGAAGTTGGCCATCTTTTTTTCTGAGATGGAGTTTCCCTCTTGTCGCCCAAGCTGGAGTGCGATGACATGATCTTGGCTCACTGCAACCTCTGCCTTCCAGGTTCAAGTGATTCTCCTGCCTCAGCCTCCCAAGTAGCTGGGATGTGCCACTACACCTGGCATTTTTTTTTTTTTTTTTTTTTTTTTAGTAGAGAAAAGGTTTCACCATTTTGGCCAGGCTAGTCTCAAACTCCTGACCTCCAGTGACCCGCTCATCTCAGCCTCCCAAAGTGCTGGGATTACAGGTGTGAGCCACCGTGCCCATCCGATGTTGGCCATCTTTTAATAAATCCTGAGGCCAATGATGAAAGCACCAAATTATCCCCTGATACTCTACTAGCAGTAGCATTACTCAATAAAGGAAACCAACATATTACAGTCATATACTAGACCCCACCACATACATTAACCCTAACATCCCTGTAAAGTGTGTATCATATCCCTATTTTGCAGATGAGCAAAATAAGGCTCATACAAGAGTAAGGGTTATCCAATGATGGTCAAAAGGTTTATCCAAGATAACCCAATAAATGGCAGTGCCAAGATTTTGAAACCCAAGTCTGAGGCTATTTCCAGTGACTACGCCATGCTTTGGAGCCTTTTAAAGAATTCTTAAAACAGGATTATGCCTAGAAGTCCTTTAATTTTGGTGAGATAATCAAAATATTCCATGTATGTTACTGCTGTAAAACAAGATTAAATGACAGGAAGAACAATCAGATATATACATCTGATGATAGGTATTAATTCACATATAATATTATTTTTGAGCCAACTGCTGTAATATCTAACAGTTTAATTTCAACTTGAATGTATCTTCAGAATGTCTTACCCTGTAATTGAAAGCCTAGGATAAGCTTTGAATCTGGTAAACTGTCTGCCACTAATTAGCTGAATCCCTTAATTTAGTTACTAAACGTGTCTTAACTTTTTACATGGGTAACATGGAAACAATACCTACCTATCAGAGTTCTCATTAAGATTTAGAAATGGCCGGGTGTGGTGGCTCACACCTGTAATCCCAGCACTTTGGGAGGCTGAGGCAAGTGGATCACCTGAGGTCAGGAGTTTGAGACCAGCCTGGTCAACGTGGTGAAACCCTGTCTCTACTAAAACATAAAAATTAGCTGGGTGTAGTGGCAGGAACCTATACTCCCAGCTACTCGGGAGGCTGAGGCAGGACAATCACTTGAACCTGGGAGGTGGAGGTTGCAGTGAACCGAGATCGTGCCACTGCACTCCAGCCTGAGCAACAAGAGTCAAACTATGTCAAAAAAAAAAAAATTAGACATAATGTAAGTAAAACACCTATGGCAATGTCTAGCATGTGTAGCTATTATCAGCCTCTGCCCTCTGTGGATATTCCCTGCCAAAACATGCACATGAAAATTTAAAACTCAAACATAGGATATTCCAAATATAATGGGTTGTTTGGTGTCATGGAAAACAAATATTCAGATGAATTAAATTTCAATTTTCATCAAATATTTTGGTATTAGATAATTTTTTAAATCCCAGATAATCAAAACAAACCTGGGTATTTGCCTTGAATCCCTAAGCAGAGTTTCTTCTCCATTCAGAAGATCTTCTAGTTACCTAGTAACCACCTGCCATCCCCAAACTGAAAAAAACTGGCTCTGTTCTGGGCTAATTACCCAACCAGCATGAACAATCTAAATCGAAGTGTAGAATAAAGGGAATTGTCAGCCAGAATGTTAGCGAAATTATTCACAACAGGAGACCTGAGAATCCAAATACCACCGGGCAGTTATTTCCATGAGAATAAAATCACAATTTATGAACCCTGCAAATTATACCATTATTAAAACAAACATCCCATTGAGGCTACAGCCATCAGATAAATGGTTTTATTGTCCCCATTGTTTCATCTACTGCAGCAAAGAGGTGAAAACTGAATGAGCGGTTACCAGAAGCAGTAATTTCTAGGAAATTACAATGCAGACCTCCATCTTAAAGCTCCCTTTGTGTTGGAGTGTACAGGCTCTGGAAATGAAGACGGAAATGGGGAATCAACTGTTTTCTACATGCCCCCCAACTCAAAGATCCTGACAACTTTACAAGCAGAACTCACCAGTTTTCTCCACATCTTCCTATTTCTTTTCTTGCCCAGTAGTTCGATCCTGGGCTCACCCAGGAGGGAAGAATCTGAACTCAGCAAATCTACTTTATTCACTAGGGAACTTTTAGACAATCCTCCAACCCAAATAAACACAGAGAGACAAGAAAATGGCCCCTGGTTTCCCTGGCTCTCACAATACAAAGTATCTCTAGCTAGACAGAGCAATGAGAATTGATGAGAAAGTACAAAAGCAAAGCATAGGTGCCTCCCATTATTTAAAAAAAAAAAAAAAATTCCTTTGCAATAACTGCTAGCACCATAAAGCTCAAATGACATTTACAGACTTGAATGGGAAACCTGAGACACTACCTAACAGCTAACCTGTGCTGAACCGCATCACGGAATAGAGAAGGCAAAAGTCATCCCTTCAGGAATAGTTCAACGAATCCACAAATCTACCAATTTTGGAAATGGAAGGAATGAAGCTAGCGTCACTGGGCATCTGCTATATGCCAACTATGGTACACATATTATTTCTAATCCTCCCAACAACCCTCTGAGGTAGAACAGATATGCCTTATTAACAGGTGAGAATTTAAGGCTCAGAGAAATTAAATAACTTGTCCATGGTCACACAGCTACTTAACTAATATCTGAATTAAAGTTTCTCTGACTTTAAAATGGAAGCACTTTTAACCTTGAGCAAATAATTTCACAAATTATTTATCTGTTGTTATTTATTTTTGCCACTTTATTCTATTAGCAGAGCCCAATTTAAAATACTTATATTAAAAACCTGTAAGATATCAGATTTAAATGCTGCCTGATCCTTTTACAAAGTTCTGACACTGTGAGGCAGTCATGGGAGGATGCAGATGAACTATAACCTCATCATACAATTCACTTTCAGAATTCTCCTTTGATCCTCTCAACAAACTTCTGAGGTATGACTCCACCACCACCACTTCACACTGAGAAAACTGAGGCTCAGAAAGATTTTATGATTTGCCCAAGGCAGAATAGGAACTAAAACCCAGAACTCTGACTACAAACTCATTGCTTATGCAGCTTGATCACAATGCCAGACTTAAACATAGGCATAAAGAATGCAAAAACCTGCTGTGGAGATCTTTGCTTATTTTTGAAGAACATCTGTTCATAATTAATAGCATGTGTAACACTGGGCATGAGGGAGGGAAGGTAGGAGCAACAGAACGTCCCTTAGGGCCTTAAGCTGCCTAAATGTAAATTTTCCTGTTTCAAAAACACTGGAAGCCCATTCAGTGGAAGAGAACAGGAGCTCTAAGTGACAGAAATGCATTTTGGCACTCTGAACTCCTAAATGTACTCTAGACCACCAAGTGAAAGCTTGCTGGTAATACTGGCTTCCAGGGACTGAGGGCCTACTATGCAAGAGACATTATGCTAGGCTCTTTATACACATTAATCCTAATCTTCTCCAATGGTCCTTTGGGAAGATGGTAGAATCCCTGTTTCACAGACGATCAAACTACAGCTGAGAGGTGAACTGACTGAATCCTGATTGATCTGACCATTGTTTAATCTATAGTGATAGAAAAGCCGATAGGTGGTTGCTTAAATGGGGGGGATATGAGGAGAATGAGGAGGGAAAGACTTCAAAGGGGCACCAAGAAACTTGGGAGGTGATGGATATGTTCACCATCTGCTTTGTGGTGATGGTTTCATGGGTGTATATGTATGTCAAAACTTAGCAAATTGTACATAAAATTTGTATCACTTACTGTATGCCAATTTTACTTCAATGAAGCTGTTTAGGAGAAAATACACTCACACACAAACACACACACACAATTTTCTTTTTACTAACCACTGACTACCACCCCAGAATATCTGCCCTAAAACTGTCTGATCACAGGGAGGCCAGGCCAAAGATTTCTTTCCCTAACCAATTTAGTTTCAAGTTTATGTAAACGGTTAGTAAAACATCACTGAAAGTTTTAAATACCCAAGAATAACAAATTACTTCCAAGCACTCTACAGCATTTCAGAATACGTTTCCATACAAATGAAATGTTAATTACAAAATGTAGCCTGGTAAAAGAATAAACAGTAAAGTCTTTGGCATCACACAAACCTGGATTGAATCCCATCCTTGCCTCTTACTATGAATCTAATCAGGTTTCTAAATCTGTATTCACCTTCTCATTTATAAAATGAAAGTGACAATAGCAATGCTATCCATCTTAGTCAGCTCAGGCTGCTGTGTACATAACAGAATACCACAAACATTTATTTTTCACAGGTCTGGAGGCTGGGAAGTCCAAGATCAAGGTACTAGCAGATCTGGTGTCTGGTGACAGTCAGCTTCCTGGTTTGCAGATGGCCCTCTTCTCACTGTATCCTCACATAGTGGAAAGCAGAGAGAGAGGAAGTAAGCTCTCTGGTGTCTCTTCTTATACAGGCACTTATAGAGCTCCATCCTAATGACCTAATTACTTCCCAAAAATCCCACCCCAAACATCACACTGAGGATTAGGGTTTCAACATATGAATTTTGGTGGGATACACTCAGTCCATAGCACTACCATTTTCTGAAATCATACTATGTGCCAAACACTGAACTAAGCACTTTAGTTACTTCCTAACAATTATATAATGTAAATACCATTATGTCTCCATCTAATGGATAGAGAAAATAAGTTATAGAAAGATTAAGTAACTATATAATATAAATGCCATTAATTCTCCACCTAATAGATGGAGAAAATAAGTTATAGAAAGATTAAGTAACTTTGAAGGTCACACTGCAAGGAAGTACAATAGCTGAGATTTAAACTCACCTTACAAAATTATTGAGGAATAACTGGAAGAAGGAGGTAAAATATCATCAGTGTCAGTAAAGCATAAATAACAGAATTCCCCCCACCCACCATTTAGAGCAAGTTTCTCTAAAGAAATGTAATTAAATGGAAATTTGTTTAATATTCCATAAATTAACTTTTAACTGATAAAAGCTAGTGGTAAGCAATTTATCCAGTTTATTCCTAATTCACAGTCTACAAAGTAACTATTATTTTTCTCCTTTACTGATGGAGAAAATGAAACTCTGAAATGTTAAATAACCTTCAGCAGCACAGACATAAGTTGCATCACTTGGATGCAAGCATAAGTCTTCTGACAAGAAATGAGGCTCTTTCTAGTTCAGCTGGTTGCTATCCAAGCCACTCAGAAGCAAACTCAATAATTTTTCAGATACCATTCATTTAGGTACCTTAAGCAGTATCTTGTACAATAGCACAGAATCAAAGTTTCATGGATCTGAACTTTAAAATATTTGCCTTGATACATGTTTATAGTGTTAGCACTTCATAAATGATGTCTACACACTAATATACTCAATATTTTCCTCACTTATTTCTGGTTTGGGTAAGAAAACTGATGCTACAATCTGTCAAAATATAATTGTCAATGAATAAGTAAAAAACAAAAACCAGAAGAAGAGGTGAGAACGACCCCCAGACCAACCAAAGCCTGTGCTCCGCTGCATCCCACGCCCAGTGCCTACGTCCCGCTGCCGTCACTGTCGCCGCCACCATGCCCAAGAAAGGCTGAAGGGGATGCTAAAGGAGATAAAGCCAAGGTGAAGGATGAACCACAGAGAAGATCCACAAGGTTGTCTGCTAAACCTGCTCCTCCAAAGATAGAGCCCAGGCCAAAAAAGCCCCTGCAAAGAAGGGAGAGAAGGTACCCAAAGGGAAAAAGGGAAAAGCTGAGGCTGGCCAGGATGGGGATAACCCTACAGAAAATGGAGATGCCAAAACAGACCAGGGACAGAAAGCTGAAGGTGCTGGAGATGCCAAGCGAAGTGTGTGCATTTTTAATAACCATGTACTTCTGGTGACTGTACAGTTTGAAATACTATTTTTAATCAAGTTTTATAAAAATGCAGAATTTTGTTTTACTTTTTTAAGCTATGTTGTTAGCACACAGAACATGTCCTTGTTGTTTTGAGAGGAAGGGGCTTATGTCACTAATAAAATGTCTCCAAAGCTGGATTGATGTGGGGAAAACACCTTTCCCTTCCAGTTTTGAGAGACTTCCTCTTGGCTCCCAGGAGCAGGGATTCCCTGACTTTGACACACATGGCCACCTTGGCACAAAAGCTTTGTGGTATGGAAAAACAAATTTGTTTTTATGTCCTCTTCTCCCTTTCTACCTTTCAGCTAGACTTAACTCCCTTAAACCCAGACATCTGTTGGGACCTGACCCCTAATCATTGGTTACCAGTGTGTCAGGCAATCTGGACTTTCCAGTGATGCCACTGAGATGGCACCTGTCAAAAGAGCAGTGGTTCCGTTTCTAGATTGTGGATCTTCAGGTAAATTCTGTCACTTTCACTTCACTTCCTGAAAGTCAGGGTCAGCTTATGAAAAGTTGTTAAACAACATGCTAAATGTGAAATGTCAACCCTCACTCTAAACTTTCCCTGTTCAGAGCATCAGATGAAGACTTCATTGGGTTTTATAGTGGCTTTCTGATTTTTGGTAGGCCATTAAAGAAGGGAGTTTGAAAGTTGTTGTATACTGTTAACGATTGTCTGCACATGTCCTGTCTGAAATGCCATGATTGTTTACGGACAGTATCTTTAATAAAGCTGGATACAGTTTGGCTTGGAAAAAAACAGAATATAATACTTGTATACCACATTTATGAGCTAAAAAACAGAATACTTGTATATCACATTTATGAGCTTCTTTCAAATGTATTGAATTTCAAAGGTGGATATAGATATGACTGTCCCCACTTTACATGGGAAAAAACTGAGATTCACAGAGTACTTAAACAACCTGTCCAAGTCAGACAGCTAGTAAGTGGCTAAGCTGGGGTTCAAATTCAGTTCTTCTGACTCCATGTCCAGAATTGTCCACACATAAGACCTAGTCTTCTTTCAAAAATAAGCTCAGGTTACTCTTCCTCCAAGAACTCTTCCCTAAAAAAAGGTTTGAATACCCTGTCTCTGCTACTTATTTTATAACATCTATAACATTGAACTGTAACTTGGTTTTTGTTTTTTTTTTGAGATGGAGTCTCCCTCTATTGCCCAGGCTGGAGTGCAGTGGCGCAATCTCGCCTCGCTGCAAACTCTGCCTCCCGGGTTCAAGCGATTATCCTGCCTCAGCCTCCTGAGTAGCTGGGACTACAGGCATGCGCCACCATGCCCAGCTAATTTTTGTATTTTTAGTAGAGACGAGGTTTCACCACGTTGGCCAGGATGGTCTCAAACTCCTGACCTTGTGATCCGCCCACCTCGGCCTCCCAAAGTGCTGGGATTACAGGCATGAGCCACCGCACCCAGCCAACTTATTTGTTTATACCTTGTCTCTATTGCATCTGGAGCTCCTTGAAGACAGCAACTACACCTTACTCATCTCCGTGTATCATCAAAACCAACCTAACATAGAGGCTGATATCCATGTTGACTAAAATAATGCATAGATGCATAAGTGATTATTTTTGCTTGCTACAAAGACTCTAATCAGCAAAATATTTTGGGGAATCCTAATTAAAATTGCCTGCCAGAGGCCGGGCACCGTGACTCATGCCTGTAATCCCAGCACTTTGGGAGGCCAAGGTGGGTGGATCACGAGGTCAGGAGATCGATACCATCCCGGCTAACACAGTGAAACCCCATCTCTACTAAAAATACAAAAAAAATTAGCCAGGCGTGGAGGCACACACCTGTAGTCCCAGCTACTCGGGAGGCTGAGGCAGGAGATTGGCATGAACCCAGGAGGCGGAGCTTGCAGTGAGTCGAGATGGTGCCATTGCACTCCAGCCTGGGGAAAAAAAAAATTGCCTGCCAGAAACTACTAATGGCTTAATAGGGTAATTAAAAACCCACATTTCTTAAAGTCTCAATCTTTCTACCATCAAATAGTTAAGTCAAGTCTTATATTTCAGTTGTAAAAATCAAATACACAAGCATTTGATACAATTTGGTTTTATAGCATTCATTTTATATTATCTACAAATTAAAACTGACCAAAGGTTAATAAAGAGGAAACTTTGAAGCAGAAAAAAGAACTCTAGACTGAGTCAGAAAAGCAATCATAAGGTCCCGTCTTCTCCATTTACCAATGTGATCTGCATTCATTCCAAGTGAGATTCCAGGGATCCGTCATAAATCAAGTTCTTTCTGAGTCTCATTGTGTCTACTGTGTACACAGCTCCACTGACCCAGCTATGGGCAAAGAGTAAAGGAAAGCTACATGAGAGTGGGCTAAAGTAGAGTAGAGACAACACAACGGGCAGGGAGCAAGGGGCAACAACAATGATAGAAGACACTCTATTAAAACTCAGCCCAGGCCAGGTGCAATGGCTCATGCCTATAGTCCCAGCACCTTGGGAGGCCAAGGCAGGCGGATCACGAGGTCAGGAGATCAAGACCATCCTGGCTAAAAGAGTGAAACCCCGTCTTTACTAAAAATACAAAAATTAGTTGGGCATGGTGGTGCATACCTGTAATCCCAGCTACTCGGGAGGCTGAGGCAGGAGAATTACTTGAACCCAGGAGGCAGAGGATGCAGTGAGCCGAGATCACGCCACTGCACTCCAGCCTGGGTGACAGAGCAAGACTCTGTCTCAAAAACAAAAACAAACAAACAAAAAAAACTCAGCCCAGAGCAACATGGAGTAACTGACTCATTGGGAAATTACAGCTGTTAATAGGCCAGTTTGAAATGATGGATTCACCTGACATGTCTTTACTGATGCTTATTCTGTACAAGGTCCCAAGATGGGCTCTGAGAATAAAAGGATGATCAGATACAACTCCTGTCCACTGCAAGTGGAAGAGACCAACAAATAATAAATGGATAACCACAATCAGAGTAACCCAGAGATGGGGTACCCAATCCCAACCTAGGAAATCACGGAAAACCTTCTGGAAAAGGTTATCTCCTAGGCTGAGTCTTAAAGGCTAAGTCAGAGTAGACCAATTAAGAGTAACAAAGAGATATCTAGGCCAAGAGAACAGCACGTGCAAAGACAGTGAGAAAAGAGGCACTGCACATCTGAAGAACTGCAGACATAGTACAATGCAAACTTCAGGAGTACTGGAGGTAAAACGCACAAGCCAGGAGGAGAGACAATAAATGACAATGGTGAAGAAGTTGGGGAGAGGATCTTGAACTACCTCAGATACCATATTGGGAAACCTGGACCTCATCTCAAAGGTTTTAAGTCAAGAGTTTAACACTAACTCCTATCTAGGAGACAGTGTCCCTACAATGACACTTGGTTGAAGGGCAGGCTTTCAGGCATGCTCATTTTAAAGGGTGTTGGTTTTTCCCTTCATAATTATACAGCCTGATCAAAATGTAAGTAAACACAGAAATATATTTTTAAAAACACTCCTTTGCTTCTGGGGCAGGGGATTATGGAGAAATACTGTACCTCCTCAATGATGATTGATCTAGTCAGAAAAAATTTAGAAAGGGGTGTTTTTTACATTCACTGACTTTTTTTTTTTTGAGACATTGTCTCACTCTGTCACCCAGGTTGGAGTGCAATGGCATGATCAGTGCTCCCTGCAGCCTCGACCTCCTGGGCCCAAGCGATCCTCCCACCTCAGCCTCCCGAGTAGCTGGGACCACAGGCATGTGCCATCACTCCCAGCTAATTTATTTTTATTTTTTTGTAGAGATGTTGCCCAGGCTGGTCTCAAACTCCTAGTCTCAAGTGATCCTCCTGCCTTGGCTTCCAGAAGTGCTGGGATCACAGGTGTGAGCCACCATGGCTGGCCCACTGACTTTTTTTTTTTTTTTTTTTTTTGAGACGGAGTCTTGCTCCGTCACCCAGGCTGGAGTGCAGTGGCGCAATCTCGGCTCACTGCAAGCATCGCCTCCCGGGTTCACGCCATTCTCCCACCTCAGCCTCCGGAATAGCCGGGACTACAGGCGCCCGCCACCATGCCCGGCTAATTTTGTTTTTGTATTTTTAGTAGAGACAGGGTTTCACCGTGTTAGCCAGGATGGTCTTGATCTCCTGACCTCGTGATCCGCCCGCCTCAGCCTCCCAAAGTGCTGGGATTACACGCGTGAGCCACCATGCCCAGTCCACTGACATTTTTAATTGAGAAAAAACTATCAACCTCAGTGAACTCTCCAGAACAATCCAATCTGTTTCAACCAAAAACCACAAAGTTTAAAAAGATGATAGAGTCCGAGCACTCTGGGAAACCAAGGCAGCAGAGGATTGCTTGAGGCCAACAGTTCAAGACCAGCCTGGGCAACATAACGAGACTTCATCTCTACCAAAAAAAAAAAAGAATGATGGAGAGTCAAAGGTCATACCATACCTCCACTGGTTCACCAAGAAATCCAGGCAAATAGCCAAAGTTTGATCTCTGTTGCAAGAAGAGACCAAGTAAGCTACAACCAGAAAATAGGTCCCAAAATACAGAAACCAATAAAGTCAGCGCTTAATTTCTCTAATAAAGGTGTTTTAAAAGACAAAACATTATTCCTTCTTCATATACTGAAAGTCACAATAAATTCCATACTTCTACTCTAGAAAGATAACATTAATAACAGCTACCATTTGTTAAGTAATTAATATTTGCCAAGCACTGTAGTAAGTTCTTTATGAATTATCTCATTCAATCCTCACAACTACATAGGAATTATGTACTATTATTACTACACTTCCCTTTTAAAGGTTACAAAAATGAAACACAGAAAAGTGTAGTAACATACCCAAGGTCTCATAGCTATTAAGAGAGTAAGCCAGAACAAAGTAGATGCAGTATGTATTTCTAAAGAGATAATTAACAATCTAGGGAAAATTCATCCCATTAAATTTCTTAGACTACTAAATATCCAAATTATTTAAATAGTTTTACATTTATCATCAAGAAGACTGACCCTGGCCAGGCGTAGTGGCTCACGCCTGTAACTCCAACACTTTGGGAGGCCAAGGCAGGAGGATCACCTAAGGTCAGGAGTTTGAGACCAGCTTGGACAACATGGTGAAACCCCACCACTACCAAAAATACAAAAATTACCTGAGCATGGTGGCACGCGCCCGTAAACCCAGCTACTCAGGAGGCTGAGCCAGGAGAATCACTGGAACCAGGGAGGCAGAGGCTGCAGTGAGCCAAGATCATGCCACTGCACTCCACCCTGGGTGACAAAGTAAGACTCCATCTCAAACAAAAAAAAAAAAAAAAAAAAAAGAGATTGACCCTTTCCCCATAGCAACAAATGGTGACCAGATCCTAGTGTGCAAAACCACTGCATTACTCTATACTTTGTAGTACCAACATGCACATTAGCTCAGAGTGGGTGAGTTATATCCTGCTCTGTAAAAACTGGTTCACTCACTTAGCACTGGCTCAATCACTCCACAAAAATGTACTAAGCCCCTGCTAAGTTCCAAGTATCAGGGATATACAAATAATCAGTGAGACACTGTCTCTGGAAGCCAGCATGTCACATAGGAAAAAGCACTCATAGGTTTTGGAGGCAGAAAAGTCTGGGGATTAAATCCCACCCTAGTCACTTATTGGCTGATGGGCCTGCATAGGCTCAACATCTCTGAGCCTCTGTTTTCTTACACATAAAATAATTATGACCACCACAGCAGGGTGCAATGACATACACCTGTAGTCCCAGCCATGCAGGAGGCTGAGGCAGGATGATCACTTGAGTCCAGGAGTTCAAGACCAGCCTGGGCAATATAGCAAGACCCCATCTCAAGAAAAATAAAAAATCATCATCATCATCTTTTTAAATGTCTAAAACTAAAAAATATGGCCACATACACACAGAAAAATTGTCAGGTTTAAGTAAGATAAGAGGGCCTAGCACAATGTCGGTACACAATGAATGTTAATTTCCCACCCCCAGAACAAAGGTTCCAGGCTATACAGGGGTGTTAACTGGAAGATAAAATAATGTTTAGCACTATGACTTGTCTAGACTACTTCTTTCTCCATTCTCCTCTGTCCAATCACAGTGAAAAACCAAAGTCATTATACAAGATTATTTGCCTATGGCTACATCTGTACCTTTGTCTTTTTCTACTGCAAATGTACCAGGCTAAGGGTAGGGAGACCTAATATACCTTAAAAACCACTCTTATGCATAGCTATGGATAGTTCTCTAAAAGCCATTTCACACCTTTCCTTAACCACAAAGTGGAGAAAAGTAAGCACCAAGCCCAATTAATTTTCTAACATCCTGACAAAATTGTGAAACTGTTCAACTCTAAAGTTTTTTTATTCTACTAAGGCAAAGAAAAAATTGCATTCACATTGGCTTTCAAAACAGTATTTTTAGTAAAGGTTTGACAACATCAGCCATTCCCCCAATAAGAAATAAGTAAAGCCTAGAAACATAATAATATCAACAAATAAAAATACGTCATTTTATACTGAATCAAGGCAGTGACACCAAACTGTAATAGTGTCATTGCATTCTTCATGGACATGTTAAAAAAAAAAAAAAAAAAAAAAAAAACTAAGTTTCAGTTTCATTAAAGAATGTTCTTGCCAGACGCAATGGCTCACACCTGTAATCCCAGAACTTTGGGAGGCCGAGGTGGGCGGATCACCTGAGGTCAGGAGTTCGAGACCAGCCTGGCTAACATGGCAAAAACCCCGTTTCTACTAAAAATACAAAAATTAGCCGGGCATGGTTTCGGGCACCTGTAATGGCAGCTACTTGGATGGCTGAGGCAGGAGAATTGCTTGAACCCAGGAAGCGGAGGTTGCAGTGAGCCCAGATCGCACCACTGCACTCCAGCTGAGGTGACAAAGCGAGACTCCGTCTCAAAAAAAAAAAAAAAGGAATCTTCTGGAAGTCGTAAAAACTATTAATTTTACCCAGGCACAGTGGTGCAGAGCTGTAGTTCCAGCTACTAGAGAAGCTGAGGCAGGAGGAGCACTTGGTGCCAGGAGTTCAAGACCAGTCTGGGCAACACAGCAAAACTCCATCTCAAAAAAAAGTATTAATTTTACTAAATCTTAATCCTTAATTATACATCTGTTTCATATTCTATGTGAAGAAATGGAAAAATGGAATGTACATTTAAAGCATTTTTTTTTTTGAGATGGAGTCTAGTTCTGTCGCCCAGGCTGGAGGGCAGTGGCGCAATCTCGGATCACTGCAACCTCTGCCTCTCTAGTTCAAGAGATTCTTCTGCCTCAGCCTCCCAAGTAGCTGGGATTACAGGTGTGTGCCACCACGCCCAGCAAATTTTTGTATTTTTAGTAGAGATGGGGTTTCACCATGTTAGCCAGGCTAGTCTCAAACTCCTGACCTCAGGTGATCCACCCACCTCGGCCTCCCAAAGTGCTGGGATTACAGACGTGAGCCACCGCACCGAGCCTCACATAAAGCATTTCTGCTGCATATTAAGGTACAAGAATTGTCTCAAAGAAAAGCACTAAAGCACTTGTGCAATTGAGTTGCAAACTGTACTGGCTGCTTTAATAAACACCATTTTTACTTGAAAAAACGACTGGCAGAAAAACTATGATTATTCAGACTTGGATGTTTGGCAGACAATTTTTTGAAAATGAACAATGTGAGACTGTCACTTCAACGAAAACAACTGTCAGTATTGGTTGCCTATGATAAAATTTGAGCTTTCAAATGAAAATTAGAAAAGATTTGTCTGATGAGATGAGTGGTGATATTAACAAATGTGGGTTCTTAAACATTATACAGTTCAGAAGATCTGCACATGGCCAGGTGCGGTGGCCCACATCTGTAATTCCAGCACTTTGGGAGGCTGGGTCAGGGGTATCACTTGAGCCCAGGAGTTGGAGACCAGCCTGGGCAACACAGTGAAATCCCGTCTCTATGAAAAACTACAAAAATTAGCAAGACACGGTGGCCTGCACCTGAAGTCTCAGCTACACGGGAGGCTGAGGTGGCAGGATTACATGACCACGTGAGCCCAGGAAGTTGAGGCCAAAGTGAGTCGTGAATGCACCACTGCACTCCAGTGTGAAACCCGGTCTCAAAAAAGATGCTCCACAATAACTCAATAATATAGACTGAACTGCCTCCCCTCAAAATTCATAAATTGAAGCCCTATTCCTCAATGTGATAGTATCTGGAAACACATCCTTTGGGAGATAATTAGGTTTAGATGATTTATAATTAGGTTTAGATTAGGTCATGAGGGTGGGGCTGCCATGATGGAATGAGTGCCTTCAAAAAGAGACACCAGAGAGCTTGCCTGTCCACTCGCACTTATTCTTTCTCTCTCTTCTCCCTCTCCAATCCACCATGTGAGGAAACATCGAGAAGATGGCCATCTAGATGCCAGTAAGAGAGCCCTAACCAAAAACTAACCATGCTGGAACACTGATCTTGGACTTCTTTCTAGCCTGCAACACTGCGAAAAAATAAATTTTTGTTGTTTAAACCACCCAGTCTATGGCATTTTGGTATGGCAGCCAGAGCAGACTAAGATATTCAGTGAACCAATATTTTCCAAATGACCAACGCATAATGCTACAAAAATTATGCACGGGTAAAAGATCTAACAAAGTACGAACAGACCAATGGTTTTTCTTGGAGAAATAAGCAAATTAAAAAATAATAAAGAAAAAAACAGACCAATGGATTTTAATGTAACAGAGCATGAAAAGCTCAGTGATATGGTTCAGACTGTACAAGGCAATGAACCTTAACAAACTACCAATTGTCAAGTTTTGGTGTAACATGGGCGTCCAACCTTTTGGTTTCCCTGGGCTACACTGGAAGAAAAATTGACTTGGGCTTCACATAAAATACACCAACACTAACGATAGCTGATAAGCTGAAAAAAAAAAAAAAAGAAAAAAAAAGTGTGTATAATTTTCATGATATCCACTACAGATAAGCAAAAAAGTCCTCACATTCAAAGGGCTGGACATGACTGGTGTAGTATCAAAGAGGAATATCCACAATTATATAAAAACATTCCTCCTTTCGGCTGGGCACGGTGGCTCACGCCTGTAATCCCAACACTTTGGGAGGCCAAGGTGGGTGGATCATGAGGTCAGGAGTTCAAGACCAGCCTGGGCAAGATGCTGAAACCCTGTCTCTACTAAAAATACAAAAATTAGCTGGGCGTGGTGGCGCACGCCTGTAGTCCCAGCTATTTGGGAGGCTGAGGCAGGAGAATCACTTGAACCCAGGAGGCGGAGGTTGCAGTGAGCCGAGATCCTGCCATTGCACTCCAGCCTGGGCGACAAGAGTGAAACTCCGTCTAAAAAGAAAAAGAAAATTCCTCCTTTGTGGGACTGGATTTTCTTTATATTCCATGCAAAACAACAAACTGCAACAGACTGAATACTGAGGCAGATCCAATAAGATACTAAAGAGATTGTTTTAAATGTAAAATATTATTCTAATTTTTTACATTTAGAATAATATACTTATTTTCATTAGAATATGCTAACACAGCTGAAGGCAGTGGCTCATGCCTGTAATCCCAGTACTTTGGGAGGCTGAGGCAGGAGAATTGCTTGAGCCTAGGAGTTCAAGACCAGCCTGGGCAACTGAGCAAGATCCTGTCTCTACAAAAAAAATTTTAAAATAACCAGGCATGGTGGCACATGCCTGTAGTCCCAGCTACTTAGGAGGCTGAGGATGGAGGATCACTTCAGCCTAGTAGGTCAAGGCTGCAGTGAGCCATGACTGTGCCACTGCAAGCAAAAGTTCTTTGGAGTTGTCAATAAATATGAATGTGAAGACACCAAAATGTTTGAGAAACTGTTGCTACATAGCAATAAGCAAGAACACACTACACCTACATACAAGAATAAATGAGTCTCACAAATATATTATATATGAAAAGCCAGTCACACCTATGAAACGTCATAAACAGGCAAAAATAATCTACATTATTAGAAGTTGTTGGTTTCCTTGGAGGAGGAGATAATGTTCCCTTTCTTGATCCGAATGCTGGTTATACATTTTGTGCATTTTTTTCTACATGTTATACATACCTCAATATAATTTATTTTTAATTTATATTTTCCATATAAATATACACACATCTGCCTTATGCTCACCTACAGAAGTTTTGTTAACACTGGTCGAGAGTAGAACTGACACATATCTTTTTTTTTTAAACAGCTCCTCGGGTGATTCTAAAGAGTAGCCAGATACTACCTGTCTAAATAGGTTGAAGACTACTGATTAGGCTGGGTGCAGGCTCACGCCTGTAATCCCAGCACTTTGGGAGGCCGAGGCAGGCAGATCATCTGAGGTCAGGGGTTCAAGACCAGCCTGGCCAACATGGTGAAATCCCATCTCTACCAAAAATACAAACAATTAGCCGGGCATGGTGGCACGGGCCTGTGGTCCTAGCTACTCAAGAGGCTAAGGTAGAAGAATCACTTGAACCTGGGAGGAAGAGTTTGCAGTGAGCAGAGATCGTGCCACTGTACTCCAGGCCGGGAGACAAAGCGAGACTCTGTCTCAAAAAAAAAAAGAAGACTACTGATTTAACAGCTTAAAACCAGGAAGATTTATATGCAGTACAACAAAAAGAACAATGGCTCTGGAGCAAGGCAGATCAGGTTTTTAAATACGAGCTTTTCTTCTCTTACTAGCTATGTAAACAAATGCAAACTAGTTAATCACTATATGCCTCAGTTGCTTCAGTTTCTTCTTCTGTAAAATGATCACAATTCCTTATACGACACAAATATGAGGATTAAATTCTATCTATAAGGAAAAGAAAGCACCCAGCATACTGCCTGCCATAGACACTCAAATGTTAGGTACCTTTTGTCTTTCCCTGCTAATTCCCTACTTGTCTTATGGCCTAAGACAAATTACCCTCTTGAATCTTTTTATTCATTTATTTATTGAGATATAGTCTTGCCCAAGCTAGAGAGCAGAGGTATGATCATAGCTCACTGTAGCCTCAAATTCCTGGGCTCAAGTGATCCTCCCACCTCAGCCTCCAAAATAGCTATGAACAGAGGTGCACGCCACCACATCCAGATAATATTTTTGTTTTTTGTAGAGACTGGATCTCACTATGTTGATCAGATTGGTCTTGAACTCCTGGGCTCAAGCGATCTTCCCACCTTGGCCTCCCAAAATCCTGGGATTACAGGTGTGAGCCACTGCACCCAGCTACCCTCTTAGAGTCTTAATTTCTTCATCCTTAAAATGAAAATAATGCCACATGACCAACCTAAGAACTATATATAAAATGGCGCCATTATATTTGCATAAGTATAAATAGCATAGCTGTTATCTACTGATAGAGACATTTGCTATCAACTCAAAATAAAAGATAGAGGAAGACACATTAGAAAACTAAAATACTTAGAAAAATTATAAAACAGAGGCTAGAAAAGAAATACAAGTTAGCAGAAATCGTCAAGCTTGAGCGACATGATCAGAAGGCAAATCAAGATCATAATCTCAAGTAGCCAAGGATTGAAGTTTACTGTGAAAAATATATCATCTCAGGGTTCCTTCAAAATGTCTATATCTAAGAAAAAGCACAACCTATATCATCATAAAATAGGCATATTCTGAAAGGACCCAGACACCTGCCTAACTGGCAGGAGGAGGAGGTGTATTGGAACTTTATAAACTGAGGTTTTCTCAGAGTGTCTTCATACAGAAAATAATGGCTCATTTAATAAAATGTTAAACTTTTAGATAAACATAATTTGACAAAAAAATTCTATACCATTGTTTTCAATACTAAAGATATGCATAACTGTCCAAGGAAGTAAATTTAACAAAATAGAGAAAGAAATATGAACTTGGTTTAGTCTCTTTCCTCTTCAATATTTTACAACTTTGAGTTGATTTCTGTTAACGTACCAGGGGTCGGCCAGCTATGGCCCGCCCATGGCCTATTTTTGTATGGCCTGTGAGTTTTACATTCTTAAAACCACATAAAAGGAGGAGAAAGAGAAGGGGAGGGAGAAGAAGGAATGGGGAGAAGCAAGAGGAGGGGCTTCAGGAAGGAGAAGAACGGGGAGGGAGATGGGGAGACAAAAAGGAAGGGGAGTGGAAGGGAGGAGAAAGAACAACAGAGGCCATATGTGGCACAAAATATTTTCTACAAAAAGCATTTGCCAGCCAGGCATGGTGCCACATGCCTGCATTTGTAAGCACTTTGGGAGGCCGAGGAAGGAGGATCACTTGACCAGGACAACATAGCGAGACCCTGTCTCTACCAAAAAAAAAAAAAAGTGTTACTGGGTAATAGGACTAAAAACAATACTTATGCTTCTTTTTACTTTTTGTAATTTCTAGTTTTTATCATGAGCACACATTATTTAATGGTGGAAGAAATAAAGCTTTTTTAAAAGTTAAAAAATAAGAATAAGAATAAAGCAAGTCAGAAGAATATTTATCCTATAATTCTATTTATAAAAAGTTGCAAAGGTAAAAAATATACTGTTTAGGGATATGCACATATTTGGTAAAAGTATAAAGAAAAGCAAAGAAATGATTCACATAAAATTTAGGAAACTGTTTATCTCTGAGGGAGAGAGAAGATGGGAGATTCAATCAAGTAGGACCTCACAAGAGGCTTTAAAGGTACTAGAAATCTCCTTTTTGTTAAGCTGGGTAGCAAGTAGAAAAGCCTTCAATTTGTTATTCTTTAAGTTGTGGGTTTATGTTAAATATACTTTTATACATATGACATATTTTACAATTTAAAAAAAGGATATAAATGGGGATGACAAATTAGAATTTGGGGGCTGTAACCCAGACTTTTCCACTGACTGTGTAACCTTAAACAAGTCATTTAACCTCTCAGAGCATAATTTTTCTTCTTATTTTATTAATGAGGAAGCTAACAGCTAACATCTGTTTAGGACTTTGGCATTTAAAGAACTGTTTAAAGTTCCTAGACTGTAAACATGCAAATATGCATGAGATCATAAAACAAAATCATACCTCATTAATAAATACCACAATACTAAGAACTCATTGGTAGGGCACACAAGGCTATTCACCATTCTAGCCTCTGCCTATCTTTCTAACAATAAAGGCAACAACTAATTTTTTTAATGTGTACTATAAAACATATTGTGTGAAATGCTTTCCATTGATTATCTTATTTAATCCTCAAAACAATCCTATGATGTTAATTCTATTATTCGCACTTTACAGATGAGCCCATTGTGCCCAACGTCACACAGCTAATAGTAAGTGGTAGACAGACTTCAAAACCCACATTTAACCATAGCATTCATTTTGCCTCACTTTTCTCACCGTATTTGTCTATCTTTCCCATGACACTGAAAGCTCCTTGACAACTGCTTTCTGTTCATTTTTATTTCCCCTGGCACTTAGCAGACATTCATTAAATAAATAAATAGTGAACAGATATTTCATATATGTACAGTGTTTTCAGGACATGAACTGGTTTGTTCCCCTTGACAGCCTTGTGAAGTATGAAAGTTTGATTGTGTGACAGGGTCTCATTCTGTAACCCAGACTGCAGTGCAGGGAAGCACGATCATGGCTCACTGCAGCCTTGACCTCCCTGGCTCAAGCAATCCTCCCACCTCCCTCCTGAGTATCTGGGATTACAGGTATACGCTACCACACCCAGCAAATTTTTTTTTTTTTTTGTGGAGACGGGTCTCCCTATGTTGCCCTCACTGGTCTCGAACTCCTAGGCTCAAGCAATACTCCCAGCTCAGCCTCCCAAAGTCTGGGATTATGGGCGTGAGCCACTATGCCTGGCCAGTTTTTTTGGTTTTTGAGGTTTTTTTGTGTGTGTATTTTTACCTTTTTAACCAAAGTTAAGTGTACAATTCAGTGGTATTAACTATGTTCACAATGTTTTGCAGCCATTACCACTAAATATGAAAGGTTTTTTGTTTGTTTTTTGTTTGTTTGTTTTGAGACAGAGTTTCGCTCTTGTTGCCTATGCTGGAGTGCAATGGCGCAATCGTGGCTCACTGCCCACCTCCCCAGTTCTAGCAATTCTCCTGCCTCAGCCTCCCAAGTAGCTGGGATTACAGGCACGTGCTACCAGCTAATTTTTGTATTTGTAGTAGAGATGGGGTTTTGCCATGTTGGCCAGGCTGATCTCAAACTCCTGACCTCAAGTGATCCACCCACCTCGGCCTCCCAAAGTGCTGGGACTACTGGCGTGAGCCACCACGCCTGGCCATCTGAAAGGTTTTTAATGACTTGACTGAAATCACTCAGCTTTCAAGTAGTAGAACTGGGATTTGAATCTGGGACTCAACTCCTAAACTCATGGGCTATTCGTTCCACAAAGGCTTCTGTCTATCAATACCTCCATCTGCTCTCTTCTCACCAAGATATCGGGAGGATCAAATGAGGTAAAGATACAAAAACACATTACTACTACACAGGTAACCACGGCTGTGGAAAAAAAAAATCCACCAACACATTTCTCCCAGGCACTTTTCATTTTGGGCTTTCAAAAGCTAGGGCTTTAATATAAACATCCCACCTCTAGACCAAGCCTGCAGATCTGCAAAAACAACGTCTAGACCTCAGAGTAAAGTTATGAGAGAAATGCTCACATTAGATTACAGTCTCACTGAATTACAGGTAACTGCTCAAACCTGATCTTTATTATAATACAGAAAGCTTCCTCATTACAAAACACTTTCAATTCAAAGGATAAGTCCAACGTTCCATCATTCTGCCCATTTTGGAGCTAAAAAAAAAAGATTCTAAATGGTATTTTTATATGCTCAATCGTGAAAGCCAAGGAAAATGGTTTGTTTGCGAGCTAAATTCTGAAGCTTGAACAAAAATAAAAAGAATTATTTCGATCCCAATGGTGCCAATTTTATCTTCTTTACATCCCTCCTCATTTTTTTTCAGTCTGAGCTCTAATCAACAGCCACTTTATGTTTAACATATTATCACAGTTAATGCAATTAGGTCCATAGAACTGTTTCTCTAAAGATGTTCCCTCCATTTGCACTCCTGTGTACCTTCCATTATCATCGTTCTGCCCTAAGAATGAGCATATCGCTAAGGTTTAAATCGAATTTCTGATGAATAGGTGGAGATGCTGTTTCTGTAGTTAATACAATGCGACTACATCAACATCATTCCCCAAAAAATAAAATAAAAATGACTCAATATGCTTTATTTATTCACATCTGACAGAATTCTGATCACCTGAATTCCTTTGGAAGAAAATTCAATCTTTAGAAATACAGTCCAATTATTCTAAATCTTATCAATGTCAAAAGACAATCATATGAAAAACTCCATCAGTACCAAACCATCTCACCAATGAATATTTATGACATTTCCATATTTCCTGTCTTCTCTGTTTACATAAAGCGGTGGTGCCAAGACTCATCTCAGGATTATTAGCCTGCAATACAATGATGGGCCTAATTGCCTTGCAAACCAGGACACTAACAAATGGCGTCTTCAAGCAATCAATTTAAAGAGGGGGTAAAAAAGGCCCAAGCTCTTTTTGCCTATGTGCTTGTTACCTACCTACAAAATAAATTCAGTCTCATATTTTTCAGGCTCACTCATTAGTTCTCAAGCAAGGAATGCACCCTTAACAATCTCAAGCTCATCAAATCTATTTAAATTTCAAAATGCCTGGCTAGTTTTTAAATACACCAGGAGGAGAGGGGAAAAGAAAAGGCAGAGACATCATATAGAAAGATATCCATTACATTCCAGTTTATCTTCTCCCACCTTTAGTTTGGAAGTATGCTTTTTTCCCCCAACTTACTTTTTATGATATACAAATAACAGAAGACACCCTCCCCTCCTTAATTCTACCTTAACTAAATCCCCTTTCAACTTTACCCTTTGGGCTGACTTGACTTCCAAATTTTACTAATATAAATAAAACAAACAAAAACATCACCCGAACAGATTAAAATGGCCCCTAAGAATGAGAAGGTCTCTTCCGTGTCCCCTGCAAAGTCCCCTCTAACAGCCTTACTGCCTCTCACCCAACCACAGCCACCAAGGCTGTTCATTTAAGTATTCCAACCCTTAACCCTCATGTGTCTCTTGGAGGCCACCCCAATCCTTCACCACCAAAATAATCCAACCCAATTCCCCCCTGCTCTCCAGCACAGCTCACTGTCCCTCTCCATCCTCTCTGCCCCATCCATACCAACAGCTCCAGGTCTCCCATTCCTTAAATTTCCCCTGTGCCACCTCACCATCAGCAACCACCTCCCCAGGCCTACCAGCTCATCTCCGAAAGTCCTTCTCCAAAACTCCCTCTGCCACCTTGGCCAAGGGATATTTTCTTCAAGATACCATCCCCCAACTTTGCTCACCCCTGCCGCTATCCTTTCAATGAAAGCAGCCCAGTGATGTTTTATGTGCCCTCTGCCTTGACTCTGCAACCAAGGAGCCACCATGCCCTTTCCAGTGATTGTAAGATCACCCTAAATCCAACCCACTGTGCCCCACACTCCATTTCCATCCCTGTCCTCCCATTTCGGGCCTGACTTCCAATGTGGCCCCTTCCTGCCAGCTCACCATCACACTCCCCTCACTGAATGTCCCACCTCCACCAACTCCTATTCCAACCTCCATCAGCCCACCCCAGGAAACCCCCAAATTGCACTCTTCTGCTCTATCCTAACCCATGCTATTCCATAAGTCTCCACAAATTCCACCAGCCCCAGATGACAAACACCCACTTCAAGCTTGGGTCTCAACCCATGCCAAGCCCCTCACCCCCAACTCCTGCCACCTCCATCATCCTGCCCCAGGTCCACCCCAAATTCCACCCTTCTGAATTAACACTACGCAGGGCCCTAACCAACCCTGTACATGCCACTCACTCTCCGTTGAAATCATTCCCCTGCCCCTCACCCCAGCTCAGATCCCAAGCTGTCAACTGCTCCAGGCCAAACCCAAATCACCACCCTCATTCAGTCCCCTCCCCCATTAAAAGCCATCCCACCCTAGTCTCATCTTCCACCTCGCCCCAAGACCATCCCGAATTCCAACCCGACGCCCCCACCCCACTCTCCTGTCCCAGGTTGGGTTATTCTCCATCAAAAGTCCTCCTCCCTTGTCGCCCGCCCCCCAACCTGCTTGGGTCCCACCCTCACCCCACCCCCGGCCAGCGCCTGGACAAGTCTCCCCCGCCAGCCCGCCGTTCCATCGCGACCTCAACCCCCTCCCCCCAACCTGCACGGGGGCTCCGCAGCCTCCCCTCTCATTCTCGCCAGCGCCACCGGCCCAGACTCAGGACCAGCGGACCCTGTGGCGGGGGGAGTCTCCTCACCGGTGAGCAGCTGCAGGCGAAAACGGCGGCGGCGGCGGCTGAGGCGGCGATGCCCTTGTCTTCTCCGGAGGCTACGGCGGCGACGCTCTCGCCCGTGTCCAGTAGGGTGGCGGATGGCGCGCGGGGACCGGAGCCTCCTCCTCAGCGACTCGGCTCTGAATCCTCTGCAGTAGCCGCCGAGGAGCCCGACGGGTGGGGGGAGGGGACGCTCGGCTGCGGGCGAGGGAGGAGGAGGCGGAGGGAGGAGGCGGGGGACCGCTCAGAAGGGCAGGGAAGGAGGAGCCGGCGCGGCGCCGCGACACGTCCCACAGCCTCAGAGCGCCGGGACCACAACTCCCGGCATGCCCTGCTTTAGCCCGCGCGCGGCCTGCGCCTCCCGCCGCGAGCCCGGTGCAGAGGGGCCGCGCCCTCTCCGGTCACGGACAGTGGAATAAAGCCAACCATCCGCTGGCGAATTTTGTAGACTCAAAGACCACCTGTGAGGAAAGTCAGGTCGCCCGAGGCCCCATCCCCAAGGGGCCGTACTCGCAGCGTCTCCATCCTCTTTGCATAGACACCCCCCTCCCCCCGCCCACACACACACACACACTCTCTGTCTCTCCCTCTCTCCCTCTCTCCCTCTCTCCCTCTCCCTCTCGTCTCTGTCTCTGGACTACACCTCCCAGCATGCCCCTCAGCTTCCTATTCTCCTTCCGGACCCTTCTCAGACCCGGTACTACAGTTCCCAGGGAGTGTGGTCCCTGCGAAATGCTGGGAGATGGAGTTCTCGGTTCTTCCTCCATGTTAAGAAAAAGAAGTGAAAGAGAGGCAAAAGGGAAGGAATACGCCAGCCCACCGAGGATGGGCCTTGATGGGCTAGATCACCTGTGATTCTGTTCATCCCTCGCCATCTCCGTTTCAGCTGTCTCTCACCAGAACTAATGCCGGAGCTTCCTCGCTGGTCTCCCTGCAAATTTGAGGACGATTCGGCAACTTGAATCCAAACGACAAAGGGCATATCCTCTTCTTGACCCAGCTCCATTACTTTTAAGAATTTACCTTAAAAAGATGATCGAACAATTTCGAAAAGATGAATGCACAAAGTTGTTATATGACGTAGTTAATTATGAAGGGAGTAAATGTTCATCGATAGGGTGCTGCTTAAATAAGACGTGACATATACATACAATGCAATACTAAGGAGCCATTTAAAATGATATAAATCTATTGACATGAAAAGCTATTCACAATTTATTCTTCGGGGAAAAAGTTGATTACACAACAGCATGTCTACACGAGTGCATTTATGTGAGGTTTGACACAATATTCTACAAGCATGGAGAGATTTCAGGAAAGAGGTTCGCCAAAATATTAGCAATGATTATCTTGGGGGAAAGGGTGTCAGATTGCACGTAGGTTTTTTTTGTTTTTTGAGACGGAGTCTGGATCTATAGCCAGGCTGGAGTAAAGTGGGGGCGATCGCAGGTCACTGCAACCTCTGCCTCCCGGGTTCAAGCGATTCTCCTGCCTCAGCCTCCTGAGTAGCTGGGACTACAGGCGCGCGCCACCACATCCAGCTAATTTTTGTATTTTTAGTAGAGATGGGGTTTCACTATATTGGCCAGGATGGTCTCGATTTCTTGACCTCCTGACCTGCCCGCCTCAGCCTCCCAAAGTGCTGGGATTACAGGCATGAGCCACAATGCCCGACTGTAATTTTTGTTTTCATATTGTTTGAATTGTTTAAAAGGAGCACATAACGACTGTTTTTTGTTTTCTTTTTTGTTTTGTTTTAATTGTAAGAGACGTCGTCTCACTATATTGCCCAGGCTGGTTTCAAACTCCTGGCCTCAAGAGACCCTCCTGCCTCAGCTCTCAAAAGTGCTGGGATTACAGGTGTGAGCCACACTACACCTGGACAATTTTTTAAGCTGTGCTACTTCCAAAAAACATAATTTCCAAATCTAACAACCTTTCTTTGCTGCCTAGATGCTTTCCATGGCTTCCCATTGTCTCATTCATGCTTCAGCACTGTGCCTGCCTGGTTTTAATAGTTCCACTATTAAAACAAATAATAGTAGTCACTTCCAATTCATAAAGTTGGAAGGGAGAATTTTCTCAATTTTCAATGCGTCTTCTCAAAATTTTTCCATTTCTGGTCTTTCCACACCCATTTTCTCCTTTTCTCTTACTCATTCTTCAAACTCAAGCCAAAGTCCTACCTTCCCTAGAACATATTTTAGACACACTGGTTTTCCTTATATCTGAATTCTTTTTTGTTTGTTTGTTTGTTTGTTTGTTTGTTTGAGACAGAGTCTTGCTCTGTCAGCCAGGCTGGAGTACAGTGGTGCAATCTCGGCTCACTGCAACCTCCGTCTCCCGGGCTCAAGCAATTCTCCTGCCTCATCCTTCCGAGTAGCTGGGATTACAGGCATGTGCCACCATGCCTGGCTAATTTTTTTTTGTATTTTTAGTAGAGATGGGGTTTCACCATGTTGGCCAGGCTGGTCTTGAACTCCTGACCTCAGGTAATCCGCCTGCCTCGGCCTCCCAAAGTGCTGGGATTACAGGCGTGAGCCACCGCTCCCGGCTTATCTGAATTCTTATAGCAGTGGTTTCTAATCTGTTGGCCAGAGATCACGGTGGGGAGAGGAAGTGAAGAGAGAGGTACAGAGTTATTGTAAAGGGCCTATGCAGCTCTGCCTACACAAAGCTATATGTCTTGCACTTTAAAAAAGTTTTTCTCTTCTTCTGACCCTTGTGTCCAGCTCTTCTAGAATACAGAATGTAGTATCAGATTATTTTTGATTTCACGATTTTTTTCATTTAAGCCCTGTTTGACTTGATATTTTCTTCTCTTTTTTCATTTTTTGAGACAGAGTCTCGCTCTGTCGCCCAGGCTGGAGTTCAGTGGCATGATCACAGCTCACTGCCGCAGCGACTCCCTGGGCTCATGTGATCCTCCCACCTCAGCCTCCCAAGTAGCGGGGACTACAGGCACCACCATGCCCGGCTAATTTTTCTTTTTTCTTTTTTTTTCTTATAGAGACAGGGTTTCGCCATGTTGCCCAAGGTGGTCTCAAAGTCCTGGACTCAAGTGATCTGCCCACCTCGGCCTCCCAAAGTACTGAGATTACAGGCATGAGCCACTGCGCCCAGCAGAATTTGATATTTTCAATTTTATATGCCATTGTTCCTTGGTGTTCTGTAAGAACAACTAGGACACTTTAGCTCTGCTACAGGCCTACAGGAAAAAGCCCAGGTTGCTTAGCTCAGAGGATGACTTAGTCCCCATCCCGCTGCAGCGTCTCTAGCTTCACCCCACCTCACTCTAGTTAGACTCCTGTCCCTCAGGACTCACTTTCCCCAAATACATCAGGCACTCTCTTTTTCAAACTGCCCATCTCCCTTTACATCCTATTCTCCCAGCCTTAAAATCTCAGCCCCTCTTCTCCCTTTTCTGAGAATAATGAGAAAGATACCTATCATATGTTGGTGATATGTGACAAACAAGTCTCTTCCTCTTAGTGTTACACTGACCTTGCCCTCTTCTAAACCCCATCTTCTCCTCTTCCATTTCCCCACTTCTTTCTCCTAGTGGCACAAAGTAGGGGCTAGGCGGTCTACCTAGTAGGGGCTAGCTTGGTCTATCCAGCAAGTAAAGCATTGTCTGAGTTAGGAGAATAAATAGGTATGAGAAGCTTACTGGACTAGTAATCTGAGAATCAGATCCTAAATTAGAACTTGCCATAAACATGATGGGTGACATTTAGTAAGTCCCTTAACTTTTCGAAATCTCAGTTACTATAATACATCCGCAAAATGGAAGGAATGAGTCCCGCCTGCCCTGCCACCTCATAAGGTTATTAGGAGAATCCAGTGAAAGAATGGGTGTGAAAGTGCTTTAAAGACTGTAAAATACCACTTACAGTCCAAACCCTTCATCTAACCATTTGAGAATTCTCTCTCTAAATCCCTGCAAAATCATGATATGTAAACTTTCAACTCTGATTTATATCAACATTAATGAATTTATGAAAGTTTTAAAGAAATGAACTATATTAAACCAATTTAATTCCTGGATAAGTTTTTGATATAGCACAGTTAAGTGATTTCTAACTTTTAAAAATATTTTTCTATACTGAATTTTTATCAAGAGATATATATATATACTTTTTTTTTTTTTTGAGATGGAGTCTCTCTCTGTCGCCCAGGCTGGAGTGCAGTGGCGCGATCTTGGCTCACTGCAAGCTCTGCCTCCTGGGTTCACGCCATTCTCCTGCCTCAGCCTCCTGAGTAGCTGGGACTACAAGCGCCCGCCACCACGCCCAGCTAATTTATTTGTATTTTTAGTAGAGACGGGGTTTCACCGTGTTAGCCAGGATGGTCTCGATCTCCTGACCTCGTGATCTGCCTGCCTCAGCCTCCCAAAGTGCTGGGATTACAGGCGTGAGCCACCACGCCTGGCCTCAAGATATATTATTTAGCAGCTCGGTGCTGTGGCTCATGCCTATAATCCCAGCACTTTGGGAGGCCAAGACAGAAGGATCCCTTGAGGCCAGGAGTTCAAGACCAGCCTGGGCAACACAGTGAGACCCCATCTCTTCAAAAAATAGAAAAATTGGGCTTAGCATCATGCCTCACGCCTGTAATTCTAGCACTTTCGCAGGCCGAGATGAGCGGATCGCTTGAGGTCAGAAGTTTGAAACCACCCTGGCCAACATGGTAAAACCCCGTCTCTACTAAAAATACAAAAAATTAGCCAGGTGTGGTGGTGCGCACCTGTAGTCCCAGCTACTCAGGAGGCTGAGGCAGAAGAATCACTTGACTTGAACCTGGGGGTCAGAGCCTGCAGTGAGCAGAAATCGTGCCACTGCACTCCAGCCTGGATGACAGAGTGAGACTTCATCTCAAAAACATAAATAAATAAAATAGAAAAACTGGCTGGGTGTGGTGGCACGCACCTGTAAGTTCTAGCTGATCAGGAGGCAGAGGCGAGAGGATCACTTGAGTCCAGGATTTTAAGGCTGCAGCGAGCCATGATTGCACCACAGCACTCAAGCCTGGGTGACAGAGCAAGACTCTATCTCTAAAAAATAATAAAAAAAGATATATTCTTTATGAATTTTACAACAAAAAAATTTGATTCACCCAACAGTTTTATTTTTATCTATTTTTACTGATTATTGGTGGGTTATAATGAAATTTCTTTGTTAGTCATTATTTCTACCAAGTCCACCTTTTCCTGACAGTAATTTGAACCATTGTTGGATTTATCTTGTATTGATTATTTCTAAGTAGAATTTTCCCAGGGAACAACTTTGCAGATTGCAGTGTTACCAGCAAAGATGGGATCATTCAGTTTGCTTTTTTATCCATAGTAAATTTCATCATGTGTAGATTTAGCCATTGTCAGTTTAATTTTGTGTTGATTATTTCTACCATAATTTTTTTCTGCAACCCCATCAAAACAAACTCGAAGTCAAAATGACAGTGTCAAAACGCTATCCTTTGCCTGTTACTATCTGATTAACTTGTACTTTGCAAGGGTTTTCTCCCAGCTGTGTTAACATGCTTCTTTGCCACCTCTTTCTCAAAGCATCTCTTCGGGAGCTTTGGCACATATGCGTCAGCTTTACTTTAAGAATTGCTCTAGGCCAGGCGTGGTGGCTCATGCCTGTATTCCCAGCACTTTGGGAGGCTGAGGCGGGTGGATCACTTGAGGTCAGGAGTTCGAGATCAGCCTGGCCAACATGGCAAAACCCCGTCTCTACTACAAATACAAAAATTAGCTGGTAGCACATGCCTGTAATCCCAGCTACTTGGGAGGCTGAGGCAGGAGAATCGCTTTAACCGGGGAGGCGGAGGTTGCAGTGAGCCGAGATGGTGCCATTGCACTCCAGCCTGGGCAACAAGAGTGAAACTCCATCAAAAAAAAAAAAAGAATTGCTCTAGAATCACAGGAAAATGGACATTAGAGATCATGCTAGGAGAACTGATCTTGAATGAAGCAGGTATTATGCTGGTGTCTTAAGATCCATTATCTCATTAAATCTTTCAGCTTAAACATCCCTCACATGTCCATTTTATAGTAGAGGAAATTGAGACCGGGAGAGAGGAAGGGATTGGCCACACTAGGATTAGAACCAGGCCTTGGTTTAATCCTCAGTGCAATTGGAATGATTATAAATTCCAAAGTTATCTCATTTAATTTAAAAACTTTTGTAATGATCTTATTGGAAAATTAAATATAATTTTTCAGTTTAGCTAAGACTTAAAACAAGAGAAATCACATGAATATAAACAGAGCACTCTCAAAGAGCTTTTTGTCACAGCAAATGAGACAAGAGGTGTGAAAATGTTTTGTAAATGACCCAACACTGGGCAAATGGAAGTTATTGCCATTTATGCTGAAGACTATTATATAAACCTGCTATGCCTGCTTGCCAGAGTGTTAGAAAGCTAACAGCATACCATTAATATCGACAGATGAGTATCAAATGCCCATCCTAATATTTAATTATAATAACCAATATTAAAAGCAGAAAATTGCATCCTGCTTATCCTCAAGACCTAATTCAGACATCAAAAAGCATCTGCTGACCTCTGGCTAGGTTAGAAGTCCACTCTGGGCTCCCACAGCTCTGCTCACATTCTGCGATCATTGTCTATATGCTGCCCCCAAGGACAAGGCTTAAGGTGGTCTGATCCACCTCTGTGGCCCAGAGCTCAGTCCAGCTCAGGGCTTCTCACAGGGTAAGGGTTCAATAAATGGTGGTTGAATTAATGAATCAATCAATTAACATGACAAGTATATAGACTATATAATCAATTAGAATGACAAGGGAAAAGTACACATTAAATAAAGTTAAGGGCAAGAGTGAATCACGAATCTGCATGAACTGATTACAGACACTGAAACTCTTGTACAGCAGCAACTATACAAGGAAGGAGCCTTGATGTTCTAGGTTCAATTCCTGCCTCAGCCACTTCCTAGCTGGGTGTCCTCTGTCAATTCACTGCCCCGGATGTGCCTGTTTCCACATCTGTAAAATGATCAACCTGGCCCAGTGCAGTGGCTCACACCTGTAATCCCAGCACTTTGGGAGGCTGAGGCAGGCAGATTGCATGAGCCCAGGAGTTTGAGACCAACCTGGGCAACACAGTGAGACTCCATGTCTACAAAAAATACAAAAATTAGCTGGGTGTGCTGGTGTACATCTGTAGTCTCAGCTACTCAGGAGGCTGAACGGGAAGGATTGCTTGAGCCTGAAAGATTGAGGCTGCAGTGAGCCAAGATCATACCACTGCACTCCAGTCTGGGCGACAGAGCAAGACCGTATCTCAAACAAACAAACAATCAAAAGCCAACCTTGGAGACCTCCTAGGGCAGATAAAATTGTTAACTAAGGTAATAGATGCTTTGCATGTCATGAAGAGCTGATAGAGTGAGAATTGTTACTGACAAAGACCAGAAGATAATCTGGAGGGAAATGGTTGGAGTATAAGTCTAGCAGGATCCTTTACATAAAATCCCTCAAGTTCATAAAGTTGGGAAAAAAAAGTATACCAATTGTAGCAGGTTGAATTGTGTCTCCCCAGAAGATATTGACCAAGTCTTAACCCCCATATTTGTGAATGTGACCTCATTTGAAAGCAGGGCCCACGGTGGTCCGATGCATCTCTGTGGCCCAGAGTTGGTCTAGGTAGATATAATTAAGAAAGGATCTTGGGATGAGATCCTCCTGGATTTAGGTGGTCCCTAAATCCAATGACCGATGTCTTCATAAGAGAAAGCTCTGTGCCTGAGACATAGAGCAGAAGGCTATGTGAGAATGGAAGCAAAGATCAGAGTCAGGAAGCCCCAAGCCAAGGAATGCCAAGAATACTGGCAGCCACCAGAAGCTGAGAGGCATGGAACCGATTCTTCCTCAGCACCTCCAGAAGGAACTAATCCTGCAAACACCTCGGTTTCAGACTTCTGATCTCCACAGCTGTGAGAGAATACACATCTGTTGTTTTAAGCCACCCAGTTTATGGTAATTTGTTAAGGCAACTTTAGGAAACAAATACACCAATTAAGTTGGGTTAGGAAACTAATACACCAATTAAATTGGAAACCCATGAAATCAAATAATTAGCAAGTATTTTAAGCCCCAGATTCAGAGGAGCCTGTTTTGGTAAATGTTCATCAGTTCTGGGCCGGGCGCGGTGGCTCACGCCTGTAATCCCAGCACTTTGGGAGGCCAAGGTGGGCAGATCACCTGAGGTCGAGAGTTCAAGACCAGTCTGACCAACAATGGTGAAACCCAGTCTCTACTAAAAATACAAAAAAAATTAGCCAGGTGTGGTGGCTGGCACCTGTAATCCCAGCTACTCAGGAGACTGAGGCAGGAGAATCTCTTGAACCCAGGAGGCAGAGGTTGCAGTAAGCGGAGACTGCGCCAGTGCACTCCAGCCTGGGCGCCACAGAGCGAGACTCCGTCTCAAAAAACAAAAACAAACAAAAAAAATGTTCATCAGTTCCATTTAATTTGTCATCCCTAACAGCAGCTATGGAAAACTGATGTTAACATTCATTGTCTTTGAATCTGTGCCTTTTCTCTTTTTAAGTCCTATTGTACTCTTAGTTCTTGCCTTGTCTCCTGGGATAGCCAATATTTCTAATTAATGTGTGAAAAACTCTGATGTCATACAAAGTGCACAGAGACAGGGAGGCCAGACCTGGATTCATACCCCACCTGAGTAACTTACAGGCTGTGACACTGGAAAAATATCTTCTCCTTACTGGACCTCTATGTCCTAAATTGTAAGATGTGATTATCGTTATCTCCTTCACAGGATGAAATGAGTTAATTCATGGAAAACCCAGTGCCTAATCCAGGACTTTCATAACTTTGCCTTGTACAGAGAGCAAGAGAGATCTGGGGGCAGGGGACAGGAGGAGGTGGTATTTGCTTGTTTGTTTCTGGAGTTATGTTTGAATGATGGGAGATAGGGAACAAGGGAGCCACCAATTTTCATTTTAGCTAGAAGGTGGGAAGTCTCTCCCAAAAAAGGGTCAGAACTGAAGGGCTTTTATTCCCAGAAGAGCTGAGTTTCCTCCAGCTGGAAGGTGATGAACAACATTGAATATTTATTCATTTTTCACTCAGCTTAAAGTACGAACCAGGTCTTTTGCTGGTGCCAGGGGCCTAAGGCAGACTCAAGCGTGGCTTTGTCTCCAAGGAACTCACACTCTAAGGAATACACTGACACAATTACATCCCAGCGTAATCAACGCCGTGGCAGAAGAGAGCGAGGGGCTGCAGGAACCCAGAAGAAACACCAGGCCAAGCCCAGTGTTACCACCTGCACATTCTCCTCCAGCTGCTGTAAACTCCACAATGGCAGTGGCTCACACCTGTAGTTCCAGCACTTTGCGAGGCCAAGGTGCAAGGATCGCTTGAGTTTAGGAGTTGGAGACCAGCCTGGGCAACGTGGCAAAACACTGTCTCTACAAAAAATAAAAATAAAAAAATTAGCCAGGTGTGGTGGGGCACACCTGTGGTCCCAGCTACCCAGAAGGGAGGATCACTTGAGCCTGAGAGGTCAAGGCTACAATAAGCTATGATCGCACCACTGTACTCCAGCCTTGAAAACAGAGTGAGACCCTGTCTCAAAAAAATAAATAAGTAACAAGATTTCACTGCCAATTTAAGTTTGACTGCCAAAAGTTTATTGTAATGATGAGCACAAATAATATTTTGAGATATCTGCAACAATTGTGATATGAAAACACCTGTGATTTCTGTTAGTGACAAAGTCACAAGTACTGTGGCACTGCAGTTTGACTGTGGTTTGTTATGTATATTCAGAATTGGAGGAAATACTAAATTTCTGTAAATATAAATGAATGTAAAAATGTAACTTTCCCATCCAAGATTGTGGAGCCCCTGAGTTCTCTCTGTGGACTCTCAGATAGGTTCCAGGTAAAGAATCTCTCTCACAATTAGTTGGACAAGAGCAGGGTATCTGGGGAGGAATGACAAAGATTGAGGGTTTGTGCCTGTGACAGTGATTTTTAATCAGGTGTTACATTGAAGAGGTAGTGGGATAGAGTTGGCAGAGACTAAAGAGCCAGACAGAATTTAATTCCAATCCTCCTCCCAGTCTGTCCTTGCACCAAACCAAGCTATGTGATCTTGGGTATAAGTCATTTCACCTTTCTGAAAAATGCAGAGACTGACATATAACCTCATTTAAGAGAGTCCAATGTAAATTTCTCATCAACTCTAAAGCTCTGCACAGAGACAAACAAGACACAAATATTTTGTGTTTTGTTTTATTTTGTTTACATTTGTATTGTTTTGGTTTTTATTAAGGAAGTAAGCTCTAGAAATGTTGGCAGGAGGCACTTAAGGATGTCAGGGTGGAGTAGAGCAGAGTGGACAAGATCAGGAGAAGTTGTCTCAGGATGGAACAACCTAGCACTTCTCAGAGAATATACTCTAAGTAAGCAAAACAGTACAGAGAGCGGGGCTGAGGCAGGAAAGCCTCCCAGAGGGAAAAGCTGGGAAGCTGGAGCCCCCACAAAGGCCAAGGCTGTGTCCAAATACCTGTGTTGTTTTATGTTCTTGTTCATAAAATCCAATAGATAGGCCAGGCACAGTGGCTCACGCGTGTAATCCCAGCACTTTGGGAGGCTGAGGCAGGCAGATCACTTGAGGCCAGGAGTTCGAGACCAACCTGACTAACATGGTAAAACCCCATCTCTACTAAAAAATACTAAACTTATCCGGGCGTGATGGTGCGCACCTGTAGTCTCAGCTACTCGGGAGGATGAGGCACAAGAATCCCTTGAACCTGGGAGGCAGAGGTTGCAGTGAGCCGAGATTGCGCCACTGCACTCCAGCCTGGGCAACAGAACAAGACTCCGTCTCAAAAAAAAACCAAAAACCAAAAAATAAATAAAATAAAATCCAATAGATAGAAAAGTTCTATTAATTCCTAATGTTTTGCAAGAGTACTTCATTAAAAAAATATAAAACATTGCAGAGTGTTGAAAATCTCTGTTCCTCTGTATCCTGTATTAGCTGTAAATTGATAATTAGTTCAAGAGACTTGATTAAGGCCGGGCGCGGTGGCTCACACCTGTAATCGCGGTGGCTCACGCCTGTAATCCCAGCACTTTGGGAGGCAGAGGCGGGCGGATCACGAGGTCAGGAGATCGAGACCACGGTGAAACCCTGTCTCTACTAAAAATACAAAAAATTAGCCAGGCGCAGTGGCGGGCACCTGTAGTCCCAGCTACTCGGGAGGCTGAGGCAGGAGAATGGCGTGAACCTGGAAGGCGGAGCTTGCAGTGAGCCGAGATCCCGCCACTACACTCCAGCCTGGGCGACAGAGCAAGACTCCGTCTCAAAAAAAAAAAAAAGAGACTTGATTATTCTCAAGTATAATATGGGGAAAAGATACCCCATATGGTGTAGTATACTTTCATCAGAGGCAAATAATGTGAAACTGTTTCTGTCTTGAGGATGTTATCGTTCACTGATGATGATTCCTAGATCCAGTAATCTATTAAATGTTTCAAAATGGTGACATTATAATTCTATCATCTCCTCTTCCTTTACTAGCTGGAATTTTTCTTCTCTTCATCAACTATTTAATTACCCTGAAGTATGTAATTCATTCAGAAAAGACTACAATAAATGCTTGATACTTTCCTTTATTTGCCGATTTTCTGAACAATTAGTTCATAGCATTCTCTAAAGGTGACCAATGAGTTTTTGTTTTTGTAGTATCATTACGAATTCCTGGATTTAAATATGTGTAATGTATTTTCATCCACTGCAGTTAGTATTCTTGGCTCCAGCTAAGCTTAGCGGGAGCTTCTTCAATGTGGCTCCTGACACAACCCCCAATGGCCTTTGACAGATTCCTTGATTCCTGGTTCAGCAAGACCTTCCAAGCTCACTTTGCATTTCCTTCCCTGAATATAGAATCTAAGTAAGCAAAACAGTAGAGAGAGCGGGGCTGAGGCAGGAAAGCCTCCCAGAGATAAACCAAGAAGCCCTGGTTTATTTAATGGCACTTACAGTCTAGGTCTAAGTGCTTATTGTTATTGGTTAGTCATTGTTTCTGGGCTTTTCTTTTTAGTGGATGAAGTTGGGAAATAACTTGTTTTTTCGGCCGGACGCGGTGGCTCACGCCTGTAATCCCAGCACTTTGGGAGGCCAAAGTGGGCGGATCACGAGGTCAGGAGATGGAGACCATCCTGGCTAACACGGTGAAACCCCGTCTCTACTAAAAATACAAAAAATTAGCTGGGCATGGTGGCGGGCGCCTGTAGTCCCAGCTACTCGGGAGGCTGAGGCAAGAGAATGGCGTGAACCCGGGAGGCAGAGCTTGCAGTGAGTGAGCTGAGATCACGCCACTGCACTCCAGCCTGGGCGACAGAGTGCGACCCTGTGTCAAAAAAAAAAAAAAAAAGAAATAAAGAGAAATATGTAGAGAGAGTCCATTCTCTGTTCTTTTTTTACAGCTGCATCATATTGCATTCTATAGATGGATTTTTGCTAATTTTGAGAGTGAGAAATTGTTTCTCAGTGTAGTTTTACTTTGCGTTTCTCTTATTATGAGCAAGGTAGGTCGTCAGGTCGTCTTTTCATAAGCTTAAGGATTATTTGCATTTCTTTCTCGATAAACTCTGTTTCTGGTCTTTTTCCTTTTTCTTTTCTTTTTTTTTTTTCTTTTTTTTTTTGAGACAGAGTTTCACTCTGTTGCCCAGGCTGGAGTGCAGTGGTGCGGTGGCGCAATCTCGGCTCACTGCAACCTCTGCCTCCCAGGTTCAAGCGATTCTCCCGCCTCAGCCTCCCGAGTAGCTGGGATTACGGGCACCCACCACCACACTTGGCTAATTTTTATATTTTTAGTAGAGATGGGGTTTTGCCATGTTGGCCAGGCTGGTCTTGAACTCCTGACCTCAGGTGATCCACCCACCTCAGTCTCTTAAAGTGCTGGGATTACAGGCGTGAGCCACCTCACCTGGCCTTCTATTTTTTTGGGTGGGGGTGGGGGTGGGGATGGGGGTGGAGACAGAGTCTCGCCCCATCACCCAGGCTGGAGTGCAGTAGCACAATCTCAGCTCACTGCAACCTGTACCTCCTGGGTTCAAGCAATTCTTGTGCCTCAGCATCCTGAGTAGCTGGGACTACAGGCATGGGCCACCACACCTGGCTAATTTTTGTATTTTCAGTAGAGACTGGATTTCGCCAGGTTGACCAGGCTGGTCTCAAACTCCTGTCCTCAAGTGATCCACCTGCCTCAGCCTCCCAAAGTGCTGGAATTACAGGCATGAGCCACCACGCCTGGCCACTTGCCCATTTTTTTTCCTAAAGGATTGCTGCCATCTTTTTAAAGCTTTTTAGTCTGAAAAAATAATATACTTGAAGAAAGCTGCAAAAATAGTACATAGAAAAAAATAAACATAAGAATAAATAGTACATAGAGTCCCATGTACCCTTCATCCAGCTTCCACCAATAGTGACATCTTATATAATGGTAGTGTAATATCAAAACCAAGAAATTTACATTGGTAATTTTTTTTTTTTTTGAGGCAGGGTCTCATTCTGTTGCCCAGCATGGAATGCAGTGATGCTATCATGGCTCACTGTAGCCTCAATCTCCTGGGCTCAAGCAATCTTCCCACCTCAGCCTCCTGAGTAGCTGGGACTACAGGCACGTGCCACCACACCCGGCTAATTTTTAAATTTATTGTAGAGACAGGGTCTTGTTATGTTGCCTAGGCTGGTCTAGAACCCCTGGGCTCACGTAATCCTCTTGGCGTTGGCCTCTCAGAATACTGGGATTATAGTTGTAAGCCATCGTGCCTGGCCAGTAAAATATTTTTAACTAAACTACAGACTTGGTTAAGTTTTCACCATTTTTCACGTGCATTAATTTGTGTGTGTGTGTGTGTGTGTGTGTGTGTGTGTGTATAATTCGATGAGATTTCTTACATACAAATTCATGTACCGCCACCACAGTCAAGATACAAAACTGATCCATGCACTACAAAGGAACTCCCTTGTGCAGTCCCTCCTCCCTTGTCCCCTGGCAACTACTAGTAAGTTCATCTCTCTGGTTTTGTCATTTAGGAAATGTAACCTTTTGAGATTGACTTTTCATTAAGCACAACCCCCTTGAGATCCATCTAAATTATTACATGCATCAATAGTTCATTCTTTTTGATGACTGGATAGTATTCCATCATGTGGATGTCCCAGAGTCTGTTTAGCCATTTACTCATTGAAGGATATCTGGATTGTTTCCAGTTTTTTTTTTTTTGTATTATGAATAAAATAAAGCTCTATGCACATTCATGTATAGGTTTTTGTGTGAACAAAAGTTTTTATTTCTCTGGGATACATGCCTAACAGTATGATTGCTGGGTCATATGATAAGTGCATGTCTAGTTTTACAAGAAACTGCCGGCCAGGCGTGGTGGCTTACGCCTATAACCCCAGCACTTTGGGAGGCTGAGGTGGGTGGATCACCTGAGGTCAGGAGTTTGAGACCAGCCTGGCCAACGTAGTAAAACCCCATCTCTACTAAAAATACAAAAAACTAGTCGGGAGTAGTGACGCACGCCTGTAGTCCAAGCCACTTGGGAGACTGAGGCAGGAGAATTGTTTGAACCCAGGAGGCGGAGGTTGCATAGAGCCAAGTTCATGCCACTGCACTCCAGCCTGGGTGACAGAGCGAGATTCCATCTCAAAAGAAAAAAAAAACTGCCAAACTGTTTGCCACAGTGACTGTATCATTTTATGTTCCCACCAGCAATGCATGATGATTCAATTTCTCTACATTCTCATCAGCATTTGGTGTTATCACTTTTTTTTTAAGTCTACCTGTTCTAATAGCTATGTCCCGAAACCTCATTGTGGTTTAAAGGGTTGTTCTTTTTCCCTCTATTTTCAGAAAGTCTTTATATATTGTGAACAATCACCCTTTGTCAGTCAAAACTGATTTCAAAGAGGGTAAGAAGTCTGTGTTTCAGGCCGGGCGCCATGAGTCACAACTGTAATCTCAGCACTTTGGGAGGCTGAGGCTAGTGGATTTCTTGAGCTCAGGATTTCAAGACCAGCCTGCGCAACATGGGGAGATCCCATCTCTACAAAAAAAAAAAAAAATTCAATTTGTGGGGCATGGTGGCATGCACCTATTGTCCCAGCTACTCAGGAGGCTGAGGTGGGAGAATCACTTGAGCCCAGGAGATCAAGGCTACAGTGAGTTACGATCTCACCACTGCATTATAGCCTGAGTGACAGAGTGAAACCCTGTCTCAAAAAAAAACTTATACGCTACATAATCGACAGAAAAAACAAAAACTGAAAATGGCTAAATCATATACAGTGAAATTACTTATTGACTAAAAGTTGATGGAAAAATCAAAAAAATGTTGGCTGGGCGATGATGGCTCATGCCTGTAAACCCAGCAAGTTGGGAGGCTGAGGTGGGCAGATCACCTGAGGTCAGGAGTTCGAGACTAGCCTGATCAACATGGTGAAACCCCGTCTCCACTAAAAATATAAAAATTAGCCGGGCACAGTGACGCATGCCTGTAATCCCAGCTACTCAGAAGGCTGAGACAGGAGAATTGCTTAAACCCGGGAGTCGGAGGTTGCAGTGAGCCGAGATCACACCATTGCACTCCAGCCTGGACAACAAGAGTGAAACTCTGTCTCAAAAAAAAAAAAAAAAAAATCTTGACAAAGTGCAGATTTGCAAAATTCATCCCAGAAAAAGTGGACCTGATAGAAGATAGAAATAATGACCACAGGCCAGACGTGGTAGCTCACACGTGTAATCCCAACACTTTGGAAGGCTGAGATGGGCGGATTGCTTGAGCCCAGGAGTTCAAGACTAGCCTTGTCAACATGGTGAAACTCTGTTTCTACAAAAAAATACAAAAATTAGCTGGGTGTGGTGGCACACACCTGTAGTTCCAGCTACTCAGGAGACTGAGCTGGGAGGATCGCTTGAGCCTGGGAGGTTGAGGCTGCAATGAGCCATGATTATGTTACTGTACTCCAGCCTGACAGAGTGAGGTGAGACCCTGTATCAAAAAAAAAAAAAGACCACAAAAGATAACTTACAATGGCAAGAGCTATAATTATTAAGCTGTGACATAGATTTTTAAGATTGATGGATGACTCAAATAATCATAAAATTTATATTGAAAATCATTTTTCAGATGAAGATAATTGAGTTCAAATTAAATGAAAATGGATAAGTCAGAAATAGATTTCACAGGCTATGTAGAAAATCAAAGGTATTGAACTGATCTAATGGCATTTGTTCTGGTAAATATTCTCAGTGAAAAATAATCAATATGATGTAATTCTATCTAAAAGCCTATATTCATAAACACAAGACAAAAACATCTGTAGGGTCAAAGAGGAATTCAAATAGCCTGACACCCTGCTGGAACTCCAAAGAGAAAACAGAAATGGAGACAGTGGCCAAGCATTTCCTGATTTATGTTTTGTTTTGTTTTGTTTTGTTTTGTTTTGTTTTGTTTTGTTTTGTTTTGTTGAGACAGGGTCTCACTCTGTAACCCAGACCGGCATAATCTTGGCTCGTTGCAGCCTCAAGCTGCCTGGGCTCAGGTGATCCTCCCACCTCAGCCTCCTGAGTAGCTGGGACTACAGGTGTGCATCACCACACCCAGCTAATGTTTGTATTTTTTGTAGAGATGGGGTTCCACCATGTTGCCAAGGCTGGTCTGGAACTCCTGGGCTCAACTGATCTTTCCACCTTGGCCTCCCAAAATGCTGAGATTACAGGTGTGAGTCACTGTGCCTGCTGATTAATGTTTTGTCAAGGATATTTATTTGATTATTTCATCAAAAAAACTTTCACTGTATGCAGTTTTACTGTTGTAAGTTTCATTTTTTTCTGTTGATTATGTAGTGGTTACTGCTTACCTAGTAAAGGCCCCTACCTTGGGGCCCCATGTTTTAATACCTCCTTTGTCTATTCATCTCTCTGTCCATTCAGCAGATATTTAGCAAGTGCCTACTCTTTGCCAGGCCCTGGCAGAAGAATCAATCCAAATCCATGCCCTCAACTAATAACAGTTTTACTTACTTATCGATCGATTGATTGATTGATTGATTGATATGGGGTCTCCCCCTGTTGTCCAGGCTGGAGTGCAGTGGCACAAACATATTTCACTGCAACCTGAGGTCCTGGGCTGAAGGCATCCTCCTGCCTCAGCCTCCTCAGTAGCTGGGACTACAGGCGTGTGAGACACCGTGTCCAACTAATTTTCATATTTTTTGTAGAGACAGAGTCTCATTATGTTGCTTAGGTGGTCTCAAGCTTGTGGGTTCCAGCGATCCTCCTACCTCGGCTTCCCAAAATGCTGAGATTACAGGCACGTGTCATCATGCTGGGCTATTTGTTTTCTTTCTAATTCTACATCTTTTTTTGTCTCATTGAGGAGAGCCTCAAGTACAATGTTGAATAGAAGTGGTAATAGTGGGAACCCTTTTTCATTCTTTTCTTAGGTGTTTATCTCACCAGTATGATGTTTGATGTAGGTGTTTTGTGCAAGCTGTTTATTAGATTAAAGAAGTTTCCTTCTATTCTTAACTTGAAAAGAATCTTATAATAAATAGGTGGTGGCTGGGCATGGTGGCTCATGCCTGTTGGGAGGCCAAGTTGGAAGGATCACTTGAGCTCAGGAGTTTGAGACCAATCTAGGCAACATAGAGAGACCTCATCTCTACTAAAAATCGAAATAAATAAATAGGTGGTGAATTTTTTTTTTTTTTTTGAGATGGAGTCTCACTCTGTTGCCAGGCTGGAGTGCAGTGGCGCAATCTTGGCTTACTGCAACCTCTGCCTTCCAAGTTCGAGCGATTCTCCTGCCTCAGCCTCCCGAGTAGCTGGGACTACAGGTACGTGCCACTATGCCCAGCTAATTTTTGTATTTTTAGTACAGACGGGGTTTCACCATGTTGGCCAGGATGGTCTCATTCTCTTGACCTCGTGATCCACCCGCCTTGGCCTCCCAAAGTGCTGGGATTACAGGCATGAGCCACTGCACCCAGCCAGTGGTAACTTTAATCAAATGATTTTTCTGCATCTCTTGAGATGATTCTATGATTATTTTAAAATTTATTCTGTTAATTTGGTAGACTATGTTGATTGGTTTTCAAATGTTAAACCAACCTTGTATTCCTTGAATAAACACAACTTGGTTGTGTAGTATTATCCTATTTATAGACCTTTGGATTTGGTTTGCTGATATTTTGTTTAGAATTTTGCATCTTTGTTTGGCCTGTTATTTTTCTTCCTTATAATGTTCTTGTCAGGTTTTCGTATCAAGGTAATGCTGAACAGATAAAATGAGTTAAGAAGTATTCCCAGTTTTTCTGTTTGCTGGAAGACTTTGTATAAAGTTATTATTATTTCTTCCTTAAATGTTAGAAAGAACTCACCATTAAAACATCTGGACCTGGAGTTTTCTTTGTGGGGAGATTTTTATAAGTAACAGAATCAATTTCTTAAAACAGGACAATTAAGTAGGCTGTTGTTCTAGAATATGGTTGTTTTCTAGAATATAGTTGTTTATAATATCCTCTCACTATAGTTCAATAAATGTAGGCTCTGTAGTGATGGCCTTATTTCCATTCCGAAGGGATAGTTTTTTGTGTCTCCTTTTTCCTTCATCACTCTTGCCAGGAGTTTATCAATTTTGTTTTATTTTTTATTTTTATTTATTTCTTGAGACAGAGTCTCCCTCTGTTGTCCAGGAGTGCAGAGGCGCAATCTCGGCTCACTGCAACCTCTGCCTCCCAGGTTCAAGAGAGTCTCCTGCCTCAGCCACCTCAGCGTGCCACCACGCCTGGCTAATTTTTGTATTTTTAGTAGAGACAGGGTTTCACCATGTTGGCCAGGCTGATCTCGAACTCCTGACCTCTGGTGATCCACCCACCTTGGCCTCCCAAAGTGCTGGGATTACAGACGTGAGCCACCACACCCAGCCAAGTTTACCAATTTTAGTAGTCTTATCAGCTAATTACCTTTTGGTTCTGTTGATCCTCTCTTTCATATCTTGGTTTTCTGTTACTAAATTCCTCTGTCATTTTTTACTACTTTCATCCTTCTACTTTATTTGGACTTAATTTCTGTATGCTTTTCCTAACTACTTGAGGTAGACAGTTCGATAGTAGATTTTTCAGCCATTTTTTATTTCTAATATATGCATTTAAAGCCATAAATTTTACTCTAAGCATGGCTTTAGCTGCTTCTCACAAGTTTTGACTTATTGTATTTTCATTATTATTTGATTCAACTGGTTTTAAATGTTCACTGGGGTTTGTTTTTTGACCCATGGGTTATTTAGTAGTATACTGCTCAATTTCCAAACATTTTGGGATATTCTAGCTTTCTTTTTCTTTTTCTTTTTTTTTTTCCGAGACAGAGTCTTGCTCTGTCACCCAGGCTGGAGTGCCATGGCACGATCTCAGCTCACTGCAACCCCTACCTCCCGGGTTCAAGCGATTCTCCTGCCTCAGCCTCCCGAGTAGCTGGGACTACAGGCGCCCACCACCACACCCGGCTAATTTTTGTATTTTTAGTAGAGACGGGGTTTCATCATGTTGGCAGGCTGGTTTCAAACTCCTGACCTTGTGATCTGCCCACCTTGGACTCCCAAAGTGCTGGGATTACAAGCGTGAGCCACCACACCCAGCCGATATTCTAGTTTTCTTTTTGTTTTTTATTGCTAGCATAATCCATCTGTGGTCATTGAGTATATGCTATATTATATATTTCAGTTCTTTGAAATTTAGTGCTATTTACATTGTGGCCTAGCATATCAATAAGTATTCCAAGTGCACTTGAGTATATGTTCTATAGTTGTTGGTTTCAATGTTCCATATATGTCAATAATAAGGTCAAGTATGTTAAATGTGTTATTCAAATATTCTTTGCCCTTATTGTTTTTTTAATTTGCATATTCTATCAGTTACAGAGAGAGGTGTGTTAAAATCTCTCACATGTTATCATGGATACGTCTGTTTCTTCTTGAGAAATAGGTCCTGCCCTAGAACCTTGCACAGATGAGTGTGAGGGACTGACACATAATGAGACAATAACTGTGAGAATGTTTAGACATTCTGGCAGAGAAAAATCCAGTAAACACTCAAAGTTTTGTTCCTACTGAACTCCTGGAAGTTCCCTGAATGCAGATTTTGTTTTTCCCTATAAGACTATGGTGGTTGCTGGGTGCAGTTGCTCAGGCCTCTAATCCCAGTACTTTGGGAGGCCAAGGTGGGCAGATCACTTGAGGTCAGGAGTTTGGGACCAGCCTGGCCAATAAGGTGAAACCCCGTCTCTACTAAAAACACAAAAATTAGCTGGGCATGGTGGCACACACCTGTAGTCCCAGCTACTTAAGAGGCTGAGGCAGGAGAATTGCTTGAACCCAGGAGGCGGAAGTTACAGTGAGCCGAGATTGCGCCACTGCACTCCAGCCTGGGCGACAGAGTGACACTCCATCTCAGAAAAAAAAAATGACTATGGTGGTTAATTTTATGTGTCAACTTGACTGAAATAGAGGATGCCCAGACATTTGGCTAACCATTGTCTTGATGTAGCTGTGAGGGTTTCTGGAAGAGATTAACATTTGAATCCGAAAACTAAATAAAGCCCTAATGTCGGTGGGCCTCATACAATCAGTTGAAGACCTGAACAGAACGAAAAGGCTAAGTAAGAGGAAACTCCTCCTGCTTGACTACTTGAGCTGGATGGGTATCAGGTCTTTTCCTACCTTTGGAGACAGGCTGAAACTTCAGCTTTTCTTGAGTCTCAAACCTGCTGGCTTTCAGGCCACATTGGTGCTCCAGGTACTCCTGGGTCTTCATGTTCTGACTGCGGATTTTGGGACTTCTAAGCCTCCATAAGAGCATGAGCCAGTTCCCGTGTGTGTGTGTGTGTGTGTGTGTGTGTGTGTGTGTGTGTGTGTGTGGTGGGAGTGGTTATCAAAATGGACAGCAGAGTCAAAGCAGCAATGAGAATAGTCTGATGTGCACAGATCTATGGCGTTGGCTAGCTGAGCATGGTGTTCCTAGAAGTGAAATAGATAGGAAGCCTACTAAATTCTTACTTGATCTGTAGAAAGCAGAAAAGTACTAGGTTAAGTGGACAAAAGTCTAACTCAAATCATAAAAACAGAGAGCTGCAGAAGCTCAATCAATTCCCAGGCTTAAGCCAGTTTATAAGCCCAGAACCCCTTAAATGGAGGGGAGACCAGGTTCCCTTCAGGAACCTGAAGCCTGATATACAGCCCCAAATTTATACTGTCAATCTTTTATTTTCTTTTTCCCAATACACAGTGACCGTGGTGAAAGGTGAAAGTGACCCTTTCACCAGGGTCACTGTGTGTTGGGAAAAAGAAAATAATCAGACCTTTTGGGGACTCCTGGACACTGACTGAACTGGCACTAATTCCAGGTGGCCTAAAATGTCATGGTGGTCCATCAGTCAAAATAGGGGCTTATGGATGTCAGGTGGAATTTTAGCTCAGGTCCGTCTCACAGTGGGCCCAGTGGGTCCCCAAACCCATCCTCTGATTATGTCCCCAGTTCTGTGCATAATTGGAGTAGACTCACTCTGCAGCTGGCAGAATCCCTACATTGGTTCCCTAACCTATAAAGTGAGGATTATTGTGATGGGAAAGGCCAAATGGAAGCCACTAGAACTGCTTCTACTTAGGAAGCTAGTAAAACAAAAGCAATACCACATTCCTGGAGGGACTGCAGAGATCAATATCTCAATCAAGAACTTGAAAGATTAAGGCATAGTGATCTTCAGGGGTGGAGGTACCCACCAAATCCCCATTCAACTTGCCCATTTGGCCTGTGAGGAAGCCAGATAAATCTTAGAGAATGATGGTGGATTATTGTAAACTTAACCAGGTGGTGACTCCAGTTGAAACTGCTATACCAGATGTGGTTTCATTGCTTGAGCAAATTAACGTATCCTATATGTGGTACCTGGTATGCAACTATTATCTGGCAAATGTGTTTTTCTCTATCCTTGTGAATAAGGACCACCAGAAGTAGTTTGCTTTCAGCTGGCAAAGCCAACAATACACCTTCACTATCACACTTCAGGCGTACATCAACTCTTCAGCTCTATTTCATAATTTAATTTGCAGGGATCTTGATTGTCTTTCCCTTCCACGAGGTATCACACTGGTCCAATACATTCATGACAATATCTTGATTGGATCTAGTAAGCGAGAAGTAGCAACTACTCTAGATTTATTAGTAAGACATTTGCATGTCAGAGGATGAGAAATAAATCTAACAAAATTTCAGAGGTCTTCTATTTCAGTGAAATTTCTAGGGGTCCAGTGGTGTGGGGCATGTCAAGATATTCCTTCTGAGGTTAAACTTGTTGCATCTGGCCCCTCTTACAATGAAAAGCAAGCACAATGTGTAGTGGGCCACTTTGTATTTTACAGGCAACATATTCCTCATTTGGGTGTGTTTGGCCCAAATGAGGGACATTTACCAAGTGACCTGAAACACTGCAAATTTTGAGTGGATCCCACAATGAGAGAAGGCTCTGCAACAGGTTCAAGCTGCTGTGCAAGCTGCTCTGCGCTTGGGCCATATGAACCAATGGAACTTCAAGTGTCAGTGGCAGATAGGGATGCAGTTTGGAGACTTTGGCAGGGCCCTGTAGCTGAACCACAGTGCAAGCCCTTATGATGTTGGAGCAAAGTACTTTCATCCTCTGTGGATAACTACTCCCCTTTTGAGAAACAGCTCTTGGCCTGCTACAGGACCTTAGTAGACACTGAACACCTAACCATGGGCCACCAAGGTACCATCCAAACCGGGCTGCCCATTACGAATTGGGTGTTATCTGGCCCATCAAACCATAAAGCTAGGCATGTGCAGCATACTCCATCATCAAATGGAAATGATATATATAAGACTGGCCCTGAGTAGGCCTTGAAGGCACAAATAAATTAGACAAGGAAGTGGCCCAGGCAGGGGCGTGGTGGTTCACGCCTATAATCCCAGCACATTGGGAAGCCGCAGCTGGCAGATTACTTGAGGCCAGGAGTTTGAGACCAGCCTGGCCAACAAGGTGAAACCCCATCTCTACTAAAAGTACAAAAATTAGCTGGGCGTGGTGGCACACGCCTATAGTCCCAGCTTCTCAGGAGGCTGAGGCAGGAGAATTGCTTGAACCCAGGAGGCAGAGGTTGCAGTGAGCCAAGATTGCGCCACTGCACTCCAGTCTGGGCAATGAGAGCAAAACTCCATCTCAAAAAAAAAAAAAAGTGGGGGGGCCCAATGCCCAAAGTCCCTAGTATAGCACCTTATCTCTCCCAGCCTTCACCTATGGCTTAATGGGGCATTACCTACAATCAGTTGACAGAAGAAGGAAAAACTCAGATCTGCTTAAGAGTGCCAGAGCTGGTGTCCATGTTCATAATGAAGCATCCTAACTGATGAAACAAAAAGACAAGGCTGGGTGCGGTGGCTCACGCCTGTAATCTCAACATTTTGGGAGACCCAGGCGGGTGGATCACCTGAGGTCAGGAGTTCGAGACCAGCCTGGCCAACATGGTGAAACCCTGTCTCTACTAAAAATACAAAAAATTAGCTGAGCATGGTGGCACATGCCTGTAATCTCAGCCACTCAACAAGAGCAAAACTCCATCTCAAAAAAAAAAAAAAAAAAAGAAAAGAAGAAAAGAGAGACAGTAAGGAGAAGAGAGGAGAAAGTAACTCAGAGAAAACAAATCCACTCTGAAGCCGTTCTGAGAGTAAAGTAAACGCTCATTGAGTTTTTTTGTTTTTGTTTTTTGGAGACAGGGTCTCACTCTGTCACCCAGGCTGGAGTGCAGTGGCGCGATCTCCGCTCACTGCAACCTCCACCTCCCAGGTTCAAGCGATTCTCCCACCTCAGCCTCCCAAGTAGATGGAATTATAGACACACACCACCATGCCCAGCTAATTTTTGAAATTTTTTTTGGTAGAGATGGGGGTTTCACCATGTTGGCCAGGCTGGTCTCAAACTCCTGACCTCAAGTGATCTGCCCGCCGCGGCCTCCCAAAATTCTGGGATTACAGGTGTGAGCCACCATACCCACACCCAGCCCTCACTGAGTTTTGAGGCAACACATGGCATTTTTGTGGCAACTGACTAATATCAGCAATAGGAAATTCAGGAAAAGAAAGAGAGGATGTCACTGGGGAGGGCACACAGGGCTTCAGAGTATTAGTAATTCTCTGTTTTTCAAGCTGAGTAGTGAGTTCATAAGTGTTCATTACATACATCATTATTCTTTAAACTTTAGACATCTATTTTACATACACTGTTATTTTTTATTTTTTTAGAAAAAAGGTCTTGCTTTATCACCCAGGCTGGAGTGCAGTGGCACAATCACAGCTCACTGCAGCTTCAAACTCCTGGGCTCACACTGTCTTCTTGCCTCAGCCTCCCAATTATACATACTCTGTTATTTAGTAATTTTTTCAAAATAATAAAAAAAGAACGAGGGAGAAGTCCAGGCACGGTGGCTCATGCCTGTAATCCCAGCACTTTGGGAGGCTGAGGTGGGCGGATCTCTTGAGGCCAGGAGTTTGAGACCAGCTGGCCAACATGGTGAAACCCTGTCTCTACTAAAAATACAAAAATTAGCTGGGCGTGGTGGCTCATGCCCCGTAATCCCAGCTACTCTGGAGGCTGAGGCAGGAGAATTGCTTGAACCTGGGAGGCAGAGATTGCAGTGAGCCAAGATCACGCCATTGCACTCCAGCCTGGGCAACGAGTGAGACTCTGCTTAAAAAAAAAAAAGAAGGAGAAGTTTGGGACCCGGTGCTGAATGGAAGGTGGTTTGAGACAGGTGGGCAGATTTCAAGGGCTGGTGCAGAACAAGGATGGAAGGGCTAGAGTACAAAGATGGATAAAACCAGTGCAAAGTGGGTAAGACAATAGTTGGATCCAGGTGGTAGAATCTGAGGGGATTTTATTTTCTTCTTCACCTTTTTCTGGGCTTCCCAAATATTCTATAATGAACATACATGACTTCTGTAATCAGAGAAAAGGACAAAAAATATTATGATGGACACTATTGGTCACTTCCCAACAGGCATTTTCTTTCTTCCCTGTTGACAGCATGAGTCATGATTGGTCTAATCCAGCCCTGGTAGTAGTCTCCTTCCTCTGTCGTTTGTTAAGTGGTGTCTTTGGGTCCCAGTTCTGACCAATGAAATGAAAGGGCAAGTCTGCTGAGGGGCAGGATTTTAAGAAAGATTTTCTTACTTGAGAAAAAAAAAAGAAAAAGACAAAAACAGGAGAGACAAGGCAGGAAGCTCTTCTGATATTCCCATCTAGGTTTCGGGTGTTGTCAGGTCATGATATGATATTTGGATCTGCAGCCGTCATCTTGCAACCTTCAGGGAAGATGTTGCCACAGTGAGTGGCTGAGGGGAGAGATGGCCAGGCCCTCGATGACAGGTTGAGCCACTGAGTCAATCCAAGGACTATTCTGCTAACTTCTTGTTAAGCAAGGTACAAAACTTCAATGGCTCCAGTCACTTTTGGTTAGAAAGAGTCAGTTACAGCCAAAAATGTGCTACTTGACACATTTTTTTTTACATGTGAGAAGAGATACATCTGGATGTCCTTAGAAGTCAGTTTCACCTCCCCAGACTTCTAGTTCGGCAAGTCTGAATTAGCCCAATGGAAGAACTGGCTGCTGTTATCAGCCACTGGGTTCCAGGGGCTCCCCTTTCTAACAAGGTCACTCTTCTACAAGGGAGCTTCTAAAGTTACACAGTCACACAGCTGTTCCCTCCCCTCTGCTGATCCTATTTATAAGTTCCTTTTTCTATCATTCATGTCAGCAAAATATGTTCCTTCCCCATTTCAGCATTACGGAAAGTGGGGTAATGAGCGTTCCAGGGATTGCTTGTGCCCTACTTCTCTGCTTGCTCATTTCTCCCTATTAGATCCTATTTTATATCTGCACCACTGAGCAGAGCTAGTGGTGCAGATATATAACCTCTTTGCATGACAAAGTGCTATACAAAGAAGAAACCTTGGGATAGAGACAGCAGAATAGAAACAAACTCGAACTGACCAATGTCAATATCTGCTGATTGCAACTGGCTCTGTCCTCTCAACCAGATATGCTCCTCAGGATGCTTGCATGCATGCAGTGTGATAGGCAGGGGAGGGGCAGGGTCTGTAGCTCCAGCAGTGCCATCTACTCAGGAGTCCTCCCCAAGGGTCCACTTTCTGTGGCCCTTCATCCACCATGGCTCATCTCAAGAAATTAGCAGTCCCTCCCACCTCCCCAAAGAATGAGCTTTTAATAACATGATTCAGGCTAGGCATGGTGGCTCACGCCTGTAATCCCAGCACTTTGGGAGGATGAGGAGGAAGATCGCTTGAGCCCAGGAGTTCAAGATTGCAGTGAGCTATGATTGCACCACTGTACTCCAGCCTAGGTGACAGAGTAAGACCCTGAAAAAAAAAAAAAAAAGAAAAGAGAAAGGAAAGAAAGAAAAACAGAGAGAGAGAGAGAAAGGGAGGGAGGGAGGAGGGGAGGAGGGGAGAGGAGGGGAGGGGAGAGGAGAGGAGAGGACAGGAGAGGAGAGGAGAGGAGAGGAGAGAAGAGGAGACTTTAGAGGAGAGGAGAGGAGAGGAGAGGAGAAGAGAGGAGAGGAGAGGAACAACATGAGTCACATCATGTCAAACTCTCCAAGGCTTTCCATTGCAGTCAATATGTGTTTGCTCCTGTCTTCCTCTCTGTGCTTCCTCACACTGGTGGGTCACAGCCCGTGATCTCCACGGTACCTGTGGCCATGCCCCTTCCTTTTTGTGTTTTTTGAGACGGAGTCTCACTCTGTTGCCAGGCAGGAGTGCAGTGGCATGATCTCGTCTCACTGCAACCTCCACCTCCCGAGTTCAAGCAGTTCTCCTGCCTCAGCCTCCCGAGTAGCTGGGACTACAGGCACGTGCCACCATGCCCTGCTAATTTTTTTTGTATTTTAGTAGAGACAGGCTTTCACCATGATGGCCTGAATGGTCTCGATCTCCTGATCTTATGATCCGCCCACCTTGGTCTCCCAAAGAGCTGGGATTACAGGTGTGAGCCATCGCGCCCAACCTTGTCCCCTAGTTTTTATTGAAAACCCACATATGACACCTTCTCCAACAGTACCTGAGAGGAAGGAGAGGCTCTGGAGAATCTGGACTTCAAGACTTCAGCCATATGGGCAGGCCCAAGGTCCTCCCAAACACTGAGTTTTGAGAATGCCAAAGCCACAATCTGTAATAGCTGGTTGTTGGAGGGAACCTTCAGCTGCCCCTCCCCACTCCCCATCCAAACCCATCTCCTCTCCATGAAGGACAGGCTGTTGGTGGAAATCATCTACCAGGCACAGGGGTGACTTTATAAGTTCTAGCCAGGCTGGGGACTGTCAGATTACTTGGTCTGAAGAGCTGCTCTAAAATGCCAGCCCAGGGCCGGGCACAGTGGCTCACACCTGTAATCCCAGCACTTTGGGAGGCTGAGGCAGGCGGATCATGAAGACAGGAGTTTGAGACCAGCCTGGCCAACATAGTGAAACCCTGTCTCTACTAAAAATACAAAAATTAGCCAGGAGTGGTCACAGACCCCTATAGTCCCAGCTACTTGGGAGGCTGAGGCAGGAGAATCGCTTGAACCTGGGAGGCAGAGGTTGCAGTAAGCTGAGACCGTGCCATTGCGCTCCAGCCTGGGCGACAGAGTGAGACTCCATCTCAAAAAAAATAATAAAATAAAATAAAATGCCAGCCCAGAAGGAGCCTAGTTTATCTAGTTCTTCACCTTGGCTAACGCATTGTAAAGTCCTACCTGCTGGGTGCCTGGCTTGAGTGCAGCAACCAAATATGGCCACAAGGGGGAAGTAATGCCTCTCGCCTGCGGCAGGGGTTTGGCTTCAACCAGGAATAGCTAGATATTTTTATCCTATTAAAGCAGAAGAGCCAGATGGAGATCTGGGGGTGCCCTGGTGAAGACAAATAACTTGATGTACCATTAAAATAACATTCTTGGCCAGGCGTGGTGGCTCACGTCTGTCATCCCAGCACTTTGGGAGGCTGAAGTCGGGGGGTAGCTTGAGTTCTGGAGTTTGAGCCTGGGCAATGCAGTGAGACAAAAAAATTTAAAAATTAGCTGGGCGTCGTGGCGTGCGCCGGCGGTCCCAGCTACTCGGGAAGCTGAGGCGGGAGGATTCCTTGAGCTCGAGGCTGCAGTGAGCTGTGATCGCGCCACTGCACTCCAGCTGTGGTAACAGTGAGTCCCCCATCTCAAAAAAATAAATAAGTGAAATAAAATAACATTCTTTAAATACTCGTTCAAATGTACTTAGTGGGGACGAAATGAATACTTTTCTGTTAATACAACAGTATATTTAAATTAAAAACAATAACTGCAAATACATTTACTGTATGTAAATATATACAGTGGGGTTAGCGGTGGGTTCCAGGACCCCCATGGACACCAAAATCTACAGATGCTCAAATCCCTTATATAAAATGGCATTGGCCAGGCGCGGTGGCTCACGCATGTAATCCTAGCACTTTGGGAGGCTGATCACCTGAGATAAGGAGTTCAAGACCAGCTTGGCCAACATGGCAAAACCCCGTTTCTACTAAAACTACAAAAATTAGCCGAGAGTGGTGGAGGCATATCCCTATAATCCCAGCTACTGGGGAGGCTGAGGCAGGAGAATCACTTAAATCCGGGAGGCAGAGGTTGCAGTGAGCCAGATCGTGCCACTGCACTACGGTCTGGGCGGCAGAGCAAGACTCCATCTCAAAAAAAAAAAAAAAAAAAAAGTCAATGGTAATGATGGATCACTTAAAAATTGCACTCTTTATGTTCAAAATAGAGATGTATTTTACGCACTGAATGTAGCATACTTTTTTGAGGAGAATAAATAGTTAATACATTCACAAGGTTTAAAATTCAAATGATACAAAAGGGTGAATTAAAATCTCTCTCCTGGTCAGGCAGAGTGATTCATGCCTATAATCTCAGCACTTTGGGGAGGCTAAGGCGGGAGAATCACTAGAGCTCAGGAGTATGAGACCACCCTGGACAACACAGCAAGACCTCATCTCTACTAAAATAAACAAAATTAGCCAGGCATGGTGGCACACACCTGTAGTCTCAGCTACTCAGGAGGCTGAGGTGGCAGGATCGCGTGAGCCTGGGATATCATGGCTACAGTGAGCTATGATCCCACCACTCCACTCCAGGCTGGGTGACTGAGCGAGACCCTGTCTCAGAAAAAAAAAAAAAACTCCTCTTTCCCATTCATATTCTCCAACCATTGAAACCATTCAGTTCCGTCCCATAATAGTTATCTATTACTGTGTATTAAACCAACCCAAAACATAAAAGCATAGTGGCCTAAAGCAACAACCTTTTAAAAAACATTTTTTTTTTCTTTTGAGATGGAGTCTCACTCTGTCGTCCAGGCTGGAGTGCAGTGGCGCGATCTTGGCTCCCTGCAACCTCTGCCTCCCGGGTTCAATCAATTCTCCTGCCTCAGCCTCCCAAGTAGGTGGGATTACAGGCATCCACCACCACGCCCAGCTAATTTTTATATATTTAGTAGAGATGGGGTTTCACCATGTTGGACAGGCTGGTCTCAAACTCCTGACCTCAATGATATTCCTGCCTTGGCTTCCCAAAATGCTGGGATTACAGGCGTGAGCCACCATGCCCAGCTAAAAAAAATTTTTTTAACAGCCTTTTTTTTTGCTCAGGATTCTGTGGGTCAGTAATTTGGGCTGGGCTCAGCAGAGTGGTGCTTCTGCTTGTCTTGCCTGGGGTGAATCATGCTGCTTCAGTCCTCTGATAGATTGGTGGGGATACACCTACGATGGCCTCACTCACTAGCGTGACTGTTCACACTGTTCACGCTGGCTGGCTGCTAGGCCCCTCTCTCCCTGTGGTCTCTCATCCTAAGGCGGGTAGCCTGGACTTCTGTATGTGGCAGTCTCAAGGCAGCAAGAAAAAAAGGGTGGAAGTTGCAGGGCCTCTTCAGACCTAGGCTCAGAACTCTGACATCTCCCTTCACTTGCCTTCTGTTGGTCAAAGTAAGTCACCTGGTCAGCCAAATTTGAGGATGAGGAATAATATAGACTCCACCCCTGAAGAGAAAAGCAGCAAAGTCATATTACAAAACTCTGCTCATAGAGGGATTTTGTGTCTATCTTTTGCAATCTACTATGCCTCCCATGGAGTTTCTTAGGTGTCCTTCTATAAATATTTTGTACATATTTAAATATTCACAGACAAATGACTCCACTTCAAGCCAGAAACCTGAGTGTCTTTCCTAAATTCTCCTTTTCCCTCAAGATCTACACCCAATCCATCAGCAAGTTAGCAAAATCTCCAAAATGCATGCAAAATCCATCTATTTCTCACCATCTCTGTTGCCACCACCCCCCTTCCAAGTCACATCCATCTCCTGCCTGCCTCCTAGTCTTCCTGCTTCCACTGTGGTTGCACTTAAAGCCATTCTCACACAGCAGGTAAAGGGAGCTTAAAAACAGAAATCACATCATGTTATTTCTTTGCTGAAAACTCTCCAAGCCCTTCCATGCATTCAATATGTGTTTGCTCATGTTTTCCTCTCTGAACAATCTCATTCCACTCTCCCCCTTTCTTTTTGAGATGGACTCTCGCTCTGTTGCCAGGCTGGAGTGCAGTGGCATGATCTCAGATCACTGCAACCTCCGCCTCCCGGGTTCAAGCAATTCTCCTGCCTCTCAGCCTCCCAGGTAGCTGGAACTGCAGGCACACGCCACCACGCCCAGCTAATTTTTGTATTTTTAGTAGAGACGGGGTTTCACCATGTTGGCCAGGATGGTCTCGATCTCTTGACCTTGTGATCAGCCCGCCTCGGCCTCCCAGTGTAGGGGTTCAATCAGGATGGTGGGAAAAATTGTAAAATAAACACAAACCTTGGAAGGCCAGAAGGTTTTTGCAAAAGCCTCAGGATAGAGTTATGGCTGAAGGCAGCCTAATCCTCTTTGAGCTATAGCAAGGGTAATTAACATAGGAATGTAGAGGAGTCTATTTAAATAGCTTGTTTACTCATGTGGTCCTAAGACTAACCTTTGACCATCCACGGGTCCATGATTGCTGTCTACTCTGGGGGTCAGCAATGGTAATTACCTTCTAGTGGTGTTTACTTGAGACTTTTGTCATTTAATGTGTGCTGAATAAATGCTGGGAGGGCCAACGAGTAGGGGCCGCAGTTGCAACTCTTTACAGCACTCTCCTGGGAGTCTGTAAGCGGCCCAGACTCTCAGCCGGACTGACAAGCATAATATCTGTGTCAGTGTATGTTACTCATTCATCATTGGGTTAGGGTCTGCAGGATGGACCCCCACATCCCAAAGTTCTGGGATTACAGGTGTGAGCCACCGCGCCAGGACACTCTCCCCTTTTTTATTCACGAAGGTACAGCCTCTTTGCTCTCATTTGAGAGCAGGCTCTTCTCTGCCCCAGGGCCTTTGGAACAGCTGCTTCTTCAGACTAGGCTCCTCTTCCTCTTGGGGTTTCACTCCTTTTTTTCTCCTTTGTGCAATTGCTTAGATATTATTCCTCAAGAAGGGCTTCCCTGACCATAATTTCCCCTGCCTACTGTACCATCATTTCTATTACAACATGCTGTTTATTTCCTTTAGTATTCATCATATTATCTTGCTTAGGTATTGGTTGTCTTCTATTTTTCCTCTCTCCTCTTTTCAGAACTTAAGGACTTTGTCTTTTCACTGATGGATACTCTGCACCAAGTATAATGTCTAGTATACAATAAGGGTTCAATAAATGCCTGTGGATGGAATGAAGATTAAAGAAGACATGAACGGCTGGGCATGGTGGCTCATGCCTGTAATCCCAGCACTTTCAGAGGCCAAGGTGGGTGGATCACCTGAGGTCAGGAGTTCGAGATTAGCCTGGACAACATGGTGAAACTTCGTCTTTACTAATAAGACAAAACTTAGCCTGGCATGGTGGCATGCACCTGTAGCTCCAGCTACTCAGGAGGCTGAGGCATGAGAATCGCTTGAACCTGGGAGGCGGGGGTTGCAGTGAGCCGAGATTGCGTCATTGTACTCCAGCCTGAGTGACAGAGAGAGACTCTGTTTCAAAAACCAAAAAAAAAAAAAAAGGAGGACATGAACAGTGACATTACCTTATGGTATAATAAAGGGAAGCCCTTGACTATGGGAGCCTGGAGGAAGCTCATAGCACGGGCAGAGAACCCTGGGGATTCTGGCAGGACTTCCTGGGGCTGTGGTGTTAGAGCTGTGTTCAAAGGGATGCATCTGAGGATGTTGGGCTGCAGGCAGTTGGGATGCCAGGCAACCTCCAGAAAACAGGGTCGCTTTAATAAGTGGAGCAGATATCATAGTGCTTATGAGCACCAACCCTAGAAAAAGATATTTTAGGCCAGGTACAGTGGCTCACACCTGTAATCCCAGTGCTTTGGGAGGCCGAGGCAGGAGGATCACTTGAGCCCAGGAGGTCAAAACTACAGAGAGCTATGATCGTGCCACTGCACTCCCAGCCTGGGGGACAGAGCAAGACTCTGTCTTTTTTTTTTTTTTTTTAAAGAAGAAAAAGAAAAAGAAAAAAAAGGGGGGCATTCTAATGTGGGATCCACTGACTCATGTAATTATGAGGTCTATGAACTTGGATGGGGAAATAATTACATTTAATATTCTCTAACCCTTTTCAACTTAAAAAAGAAGAAGCTGAGGCAAAATGAGTAGAGAAATGGGCCAAGCTTGAAACTCGGGAGCATAGATTAAAGTTGCCCTGAATACACACTCCAATTAGCAGCAGTTACAAGTGGATTTTTTAAGGCAAAAAAAGGGGACAGGAAGTGTGCAGATGCAAAGTTGTTTGTCAGGAATTCTCATTGGATTACAGAAATAACATCGATTAGCAATTGGCTATACATTGTTAAGCTATAGGGTGTGGGTTACAGGGTCCAGTGTAGTATTATTAGGTTAACTTCTAGCTACTTGTGGCAATAGCAAGCAGTTCTAAGAGATGAATACATAGCTCAAGGGGGAAGTAGGATGAGATTCCTGTCTCTTTCTTTTTTTAATTTTTGTGGGTACATGGTATGGTTTTTTTTTTTTGTTTTTTTTTTTTTTTTCCTGAAATGGAGTCTTGCTCTGTCACCCAGGCTGGAGTGCGGTGGCGCGATCTCAGCTCACTGCAACCTCCATCTCCCAGTTCAAGCGATTCTCCTGCCTCAGCCTCCTGAGTAACTGGGATTACAGGTTTGCGCCACCATGCACAGCTAATTTTTGTATTTTTAGTAGAGGCGGGGTTTCACCACGTTGGCCAGGCTGGTCTCGAACTCCTGACCTCAAGTGATCCGCCTGCCTCGGCCTCCCAAAGTGCTGGGATTACAGGCATGAGCCACCATGCTGGGCCTGCTGTCTCATTTTAATGTCTCCCTGGATCTGATAATTTAAAAGGACTCACATTCCTCAGATAAAAGTTATTTTCTTTTCTCACCTATAATGAAAATTAGCATTTCCTTCGATTACGAATGTAGACAACTGCAGTAGTATTAGTAGTAACTGTGACTATGTCATTAACAGAATTCACAGCTATTTTCACACTACATTACAGTTGTTCCACATATCTTTAAATATCCTTCATTCTCATTATTCCTTCAAAATTAGGATTTATCAGACCTGCTGCTAGGTCTGGTTGTTGAACGTGTGAAGGAAGAAGCACATATATTACTATATCTCAAGTATGCTTTTAAAAATAGCTTGATAATTAAATTTCAGTCATATTAGTTTTCTTTTGTTGAAGTCAAAATAAAAATGTTGAGACGGCCCAGGCTTGGTAGTTTATGCCTGTAATCTGAATACTTTGGGAGGTGGCCAGAGGATTGCTTGAGCCCAGGAGTTTGAGATCAGCCTGGGCAACACGGGGAGATCTTGTCTCTACAAAATAATAATAGTAATAATAACAATAATTAATAAATAAGTAGAGACAAATCTCTAAATTTAAATTTTTATTTGAGAAAAAAGAATTGCAATTTGGGGCATGCATGCAGACTGGGTGCTCTTTAGTACGACCAAAGAGCAAACAGAAGGTTGGAGGTTTTATAAAAAAAGAGAAATGTTACATATTGCTCTCTGAGAAAGTTCCTTGGCACGAGGAAGGTTCTGGGGAGTTGGCAAGTTCTGATTGGTAAGCGATGGCGGTGGGCAAAATTAGTCCTAGAGTTTCAGGAAGTTATCTCAGCAGTTATAGATCAAACTGGTCTCAGGTTATAGCAGGCAGTTTCAGCAGCCAGGCTTGCAGGAAATTATATTCTACTGCAATGTAATGTGTCCTAAATGTTTTCTCCCCCTGGCTTCTTGACTCTGTTTTAGTTGGGTCTGATGAGAATGACCCAATTTGCATGATCAACTTCCAAACTTTTTAATCCTATGGTTTTTCATACTTAAAGACATGCTTCTGGGCCAGGCATGGTGGCTGACTCCCATAATCCCAGCACCTTTGGGAGGCCAAAGTAGGAGGATCCCTTGGGCTCAGGAGTCTGAGACCAGCCTGGGCAATGTAGTGAGACCCACGTCTCTACTAAAAATAAAAAAAATAATAATTAACCAGGCATGGTGGTACATGCCTGTAGTCCCAGCTACTCAGGAGGCTGAGGCAGGATGATCACTTGAGCCTGGGAGATCAAGACTGCAGTGAAGCTATGATAGCGCCATTGCCATTGCCATTGCATTCTAGTCTGGGTGATAGAGTGAGACCCAGTCTCAAAAACAAAACAAAACAAAGCATTATTCTGAAGAGGGGTCCATTGATGGACACTTGGGTTGCTCCCAGCTATTGGCTATTGTGAATAATGCTGCTATGAACACGGGTGTACAAATATCTGTTCAAGTCCCTGCTTTCAACTCGTGTGTGGGTATCCCCAGAAGTGGATTGCTGGATCATATGGTCAATTGTTTTATCTCTGTTTTATAGCAGGGGTTTTGACATATCTCTCTTGGTCACCAGACCTAGAATTGTCCAAGAACTCTGGAGGCGTATTTCACACAAAGAGGATAGTCCTGCTCCCAAATTCCACCAAGTGCAAGGATCCCTGGACCATGGCTGATTCACAGCCCTGAACAGACCACAGGGGCTCTTCCAACTCAGGCCCTCCTGCCGAGTGCTGCCCCCAGCCAGATAAGCAGGCTGGATTCTCTGAGTTCCTTTCTCCTGTTCAGTCACTGCATGTATTCTCAAAACATAGAAATTCATTCTTTCTGGAGGGAGCCATGAGCTGAGCATAAGCAAGGCTATGTTTCCAGTATTCCTTACAGCGAGAGACTTTGAGGCCTTTCGCATCTTTTCCTGCAGGCTCAGCTAGTACCAGATCAACCAAGAATGTTATAAAAATATGACCTCAATGTTTCTGGGAGGCTCACTGGCTGAAACGTAAAGTTCTCTACTTCCTTCCCAGGGACCAGATCAATGGGTAAGAGGAAAGGTCTTCTTTAAGACACCAGAGGCCTGTATCACCCTTCTCCCAAAACACCGGTATCAATTTATGCTATATTTACATAACCAAAGTAGCCATTCAAGTAACTCCTCAATAAAGTTCTGCTCCCTGGAGCCTTGCTGTCTCTGCTCAAATGTGTAGGCTATTGTTTAAGTCCCCCCAGCAGCCCTTCCTCCCCTCCTACCCTTTTGTAGGAAACAGGACCTGCCCATTGGCTAGAAGATAAGCACATGACAGACTGGGCAAGGTGGCTCACACTTGTAATCTCAGCACTTTGGGAGGCAAAGGTGGGTGGATTACTTGAGGTCAGGAGTTTGAGACCAGTCTGGCCAACATGGTGAAACCCCGTCTCTACTAAAAATACAAAAATTAGCTTGGCATGTTGGCACACATCTGTCATCCCAGCTACTCGGGAGGCTGAGGCAGGAGAATTGCTTGAACCTGGGAGGCGGAGGTTGCAGTGAGCTGGGATTGCGCTATTGCACTCCAGCCAGGGTGACAGAGCAAGACTCCATCTCAAAAATAACAACAACAAACAAACAGAAGATAAGCACATGACAGAAGCTGGGCCAATCAGTATCCTTCTGTGGGATTTTTTTTCTCCTAGGGCTGGTAGGTAGGAGAGAATGAAGCAGACACAGGAAGACCAGGGGCAGAGAGAGAGAACATACTTTTTGCTTAAGCGAGACCCAACTTCCTGTGTGTACAACCAAAAGCCCTGCTTGATACAGGCTGTTTCTGAGAGTTCCTCCTGATCAGGCATATTTATCTATAAAGAGTTGGGATTTGTGCCATGTTATGACCTGAAGACTAGAGTTCATGTCTAAATTATTCATACCCCTACTTTTAAAGCATAAAACTAAAAACATAATCTCAAACATGCTTGCTGTTATCACCAGTCATTGATGTGGAATGGGTTGCTTGGGTGGCACATGGAGTTTTTTGCACTGTGTAAAAGGGCCATGCATGGGCACAGTGGCTCATGCCTGTAATCCCAGCATTTTGGGAGGCCAAGGCAGGAGGACTGCTTGAGCCTAGGAGTTTGAGACCAACCTGGGCAAAATAGTAAAACTTCATCTCTACAAAAAAAAAAAAAAAGTTTAAATAAAAGATTAGCCAGGCATGGTGGCACATGCCTATATTCCCAGCTACTTGGGAGGCAGAGGTGGGAGGATCACTTGAGTCTGGGAGGTGAAGGCTGCAGTGAGCCATGATTGTACCACTACACTCCAACCTGGGTGGCAGAGCAAGACCTTGTCTCAGAAAAAAAAGTAAAATAAAATAAAAGGGCCATGGCTTAATAGATTGCAAGCGACTGCCTTGCACAGTCCAATCTTGGGGATAATCTGTCTGAGGACACCAGGGCCATGAGTCCCTCCAACCCATGCAACCTATTTAACCAGTGTATTAGCAAATGTCAATGGCAGACCCAGATACAGGGATGAGCTGGGAAATCCAACAAAGCTGACATATCTAGGACATAGAAGGAAGCTGGTGCAGCCAGGATACCCAGAAGTGAGATCAACAACAGCGGGAGAGGTGGGGCCTTTGGATCCCTTCAAAAGGCTTCCCCAAGGAGACACAGCTGTGGATGATGAGTCTGAGTGGGTAGGGGTCCTACCACCACCCCCTCTAAACTCTCAGCTGTTGCTCCTCCCTTTACAACTGCAACCCCAGTACTAACCCCATGCCTGGTACATGGAAGCATTTGGTTAAACTAATGAGTAAGTCAACAGTCCTCACTTAATTCCTAGATGGGCCACATTGCTGAGAAGCAGCACACAAGCCATCCATGAAGAATGTTCCCTTCTTGGGAAATTCACAGGCACCCAAGTTCACTTACTGCTGGGGCAGGTTTGAGAGCCCAAGGAGTGTTTTGAGGGTTGAGCAGTCACAGGCTCTTGCAGGCAGAGTTTGGGGTTTCATTGATAGCACTATTCCTTCAAAAATGTCATAGGCCTTTAATCCATTTTGTTCTGGTCAGTTCCAACGTGAATAATTGTAGCCAAAAATCTTATCTAGACATGGTTTCCAAGCCTGAAAACTCTGATCTTTTACTTACCAGCCATTCCCCAAACTTAATGATGGTTTTCTTCAAGCCATCTGAAACAACCGGCTTGAGTGGGAAAGCACCATCCTTAATTCCTTCTTTGCCAACAGGCTCACAGCTTTTCTAAAGAGGGCACCAGTCTTAATTCCTGCTAAGGCTACCACTTTGCAGTTACCACTTATAACTGCTTCGGTGCAGAAGCAATGGCTTTTTCAAGTCTGCAGAACTCAAAATTACAGGATTCTCAATCAACCCAGATTATAGGTTATAGCAAAGACTTCCTCCCTTGGCAAAGCTATGCAAAGAAGCTAACTCTAGCTTGATTTTCTCTCTCACAGGACTTGCTAAAAGTAGCAAGAAGAAGCCAGAAAACAGGAACATTCTGAATTTCCGTATCATTTATTTTTTATTTTTTTCTTGAGACAGAGTCTCACTCTTGTTGCCCAGGCTGGAGTGCAGTGGCGCAATCTCCGCTCACTGCAACCTCCGCCTCCTGGGTTCAAGCAATTCCTCAGCCTCTGGAATAGCTGGGATTACAGGCACGTGCCACCACACCTGGCTAATTTTTGTATTTTTAGTAGAGATGGGGTTTCACCATTTTGGTCAGGCTGGTCTCGAACTCCTGACCTCAGGTGATCCACCATCCTTGGCCTCTCAAAGTGCTGGGATTACAGATGTGAGCCACTGCACCCGGCCCTGAATTTCCTTATCATTTCTACATGGCTGCATTGCATTGCTACAACCTCAGTCAGTCCATGATCTGCCTTCCAAGGTGAGGTAGCTATTGTCTGAAGATTGTCCCTAGAGAGCCATGTCACCAGTATTCACAGCCTTGTGTAGTATCCTCCCTTTACATCTGGGCTGGGCCTGTGACTCACTCTAACCAATAGACTGTGGCAGAGTGACACTTGCCGGTTCTAGGCCTAAGCCTTAAGAAGGTCTTCCACTTTCGCATTCTTGGGATCCAGCCGCCATGTTATGATGCCCAGGCTAAGCCACGTGGAAGGAGAGGTCACAGCTTTTGGCCATCCTGGTGCCACACATGTGACACCAAGGAGGTGTCAACTTGCATATTCATCCCCAGCTTCAATCTGACTGTAACCTCATGAAATACCCCTGTGAGATCCAGAAGAACCACCCAGCTGTCACCGTCAACCCACAGAATGGTGAGAGGTAATAAAACACTTGTTGTTCTAACCTATTAAGTTTGGAGGTGGTTTGCCACACAATAATAGTTAACTGAAACACAAGGTTTTGATCAAATGTTTGACCACTGCATAACAAGGATCACAAGCTTCCCAGTCAGCAATGTCTGAGTCTTTGCCATCTGCCACCCACCTGCATTCATTAATTAAGCATTTAGGTTCTGTCACTTGTAGTAGTCTTTTTCCAGGTGCCAAATTTTATATCAATTAGAATCAGCTTTGCCTGTGATTGACAGAAAAAATAAAGTAATAGTGGCTTAAACTAAATAAACGTTTATTTCTCTCTCTCATAAATGAAGTCCAGAGATAAGTCCTGTGTCTCTTCCACAGTTTCAGGGACCCAGGCTCCTTCTGTCTTGTTGTTCTTCCACCATCAACATATAGCTTTTCTCTCCCAGTCCAAGATGGCTGCTCCAATTCCAGCCAAAATGGCTGCTTTCCAACCAACAGAAGGTGAAAGAGACAAAGAAAGATGTCTCTCTCCCTCTAAGGACATTTTCTGAAGTTGCACAGGACACTTCTGCCAGTATTTCATTTGCCAGAATTTACTCACATAGCCACACTAAGTTCAAAGATAGGCTAGGAGATGTGGTCTTTATTCCAAGTGGCTATGTACCCAGATGTAGATCTAGGGTTCTAAGGAAGAATGAATACTGAGGATAGACTAGCAGTCTCTGCTGTCAATTGCTCTGATTACACTGGTTTTCTGATCAATCCTGATTTCTGGAGAACAGGTCTCCTCCTCTGTTCTTATTTTTCATACTTTTGACAATTCTTTTTTTAAAAAGAAATTTATTAATATTCTAGCTGGAACTACATGAAATTTATATAGTAATTTTAAAGAGTTTTTATGAATTTATATCTTTTCATACAAAAACATGATGTGTCTTTTCGTTCATTCAAATCTTGTTTTATGTCTTTTAATAAGATTTTGCGGTTTTCTTTTTTTTTTTTTTTTTTTTTTTTGAGACGGAGTCTCGCTCTTTCGCCCAGCCAGACTGCAGTGGCGCTATCTCGGCTCACTGCAAGCTCCGCCTCTCGGGTTCAAGCCATTCTCCTGTCTCAGCCTTCCGAGTAGCTGGGACTACAGGCACCCGCCACCACGCCCAGCTAATTTTTTGTATTTTTAGTAGACATGGGGTTTCACCGTTTTAGCCAGGATGGTCTCGATCTCCTGATCTTGTGATCCGCCTGCCTCAGCCTCCCAAAGTGCTGGGATTACAGGCGTGAGCCACCGCGCCTAGCCGCGGTTTTCTTTTTATGGGTTCAATACTCTTCTAAAGAAAATGTATTCTGAAGTATTTCATAGTTTTGGTTTCTATCATAAGTATAATCCCCACCACCATTTTGTTTCCTGGTATTCATTTTAAGAGTAAAAAGAGACTGACACTTTTGCTTCCAAGTATAATACAGCAGCCTTTGGCATTGAGTGCTCCTGCTGAGAACGACAAGAAACGCCAGATAAAATAGCCTCTCACAAGAACCCCACACCTTGTCCCAAACCAAATATATAAAGGCAATGAAGATCTGCTGAACCAACCAGGCCTAGGGGGCCAGTGTTCCAGAGGAGGGAATGGAGGGAAGGGGAGCTAACAGTCTGCAGCTGCTTTTTATTCCTCATTGTAAAGTTTTCTTTAAAAACAAACAAACAAACAAACAAAACAGGTTTTTCGCTTTTTTTTTTTTTTTTTTTTTTTTTGAGACAGAGTTTCACTCTTGTCGCCCAGGCTGGAGTGCAATGGCACGATCTTGGCTCACAGCAACCTCCACCTCCCAGGTTCAAGCAATTCTCAATTCTCTTGTCTCAGCCTCCCAAGTAGCTGGGGTTACAGGTGCCTGCCACCACTCCCAGCTATTTTTTTTTTTTTTTTAGACGGAGTCTCACTCTGTCACCCAGGCTGGAGTGTAATGGCACAATCTCGGCTCACTGCAACCTCCACCTCCTGGTTTCAAGCAATTCTCCTGCTTCGGCCTTCCAAGTAGTTGGGACTACAGACACGTGCCACCATGCCCAGCTAAATTTTTGTATTTTTAGTAGAGATGGGGTTTCATCGTGTTAGCCAGGATGGTCTCGATCTCCTGACCTTGTGATCCACCTGCCTCAGCCTCCCAAAGTTCTGGGATTACAGATGTGAGCCACTATGCCCAGCCCTAATTTTTGTATTTTTAGTAGAGACGGGGTTTCACCATGCTGGCCAGGCTGGTCTTGAACTCCTGACCTCAGGTGATCTACCCACCTCAGCCTCCCAAAGTGCTGGGATTACAACCGTGAACCACCGCACCCAGCCGGTTTTTTGCTTTATATATTTATCTTATATGCAGTCACCTTGCCCAATTCTTTTATTAATTCTAGCAGTTTTTACTAGAATCTCTTCTGTTTACTAGACATATTATTTCTAGCAGTAAAAAGAATTTTATTTTATTTTTTTAAGTTTATAGCAGCTATTTTATTTTCTTATTTTCGTATTTTGAGATCTGGCTCAACCTGGGTAAAATAACCAAACATTTGACCAATAGAAAGAGTTGCTGATGTCTTGGATAATGGAATAAAGAAGTTCACTAAAAGGTAGTGAAGCCCTTACCTGCTGGGCTCTGTGTCATCCTCCTAATCCTCCCAACACTCACATGAGGAGGGCAGTGCTCTCTCCACCTACAGAAGAGGAAAGGAGACTTAGAAGCGTTCAGCAATTTGTTCAAATCTCATAGTGGGGGTGGCAAGAGTGGGTGTGGGGGGTGGGGCAAGAGGGAGAGAGGAACCCAGGCCAGAGTTGCCACCACCTCGTCTTCTCTCCACCGTCCTACACTGAGTTCTGAAAGGAGTTTTAAGTTTTCCTAAAAGAATTATCTGTCAATTCAACAAAGTATTATATGTGAATCTTCATAGATGACAAATGATGGCTTCATTCACTCCCTCATTCATTTGTTCTTTTTTTTTTCTTTTCTTTTTTTCTGAGATGGAGTCTCACTCTGTCGCCCAGGCTGGAGTGCAGTGGCGGGGTCTCGGCTCACTGCAACCTCCACCACGAATCTGTACCATGGACAAACCTAGAAGATGCTGCAGCAGAGTTCTTTTTTTTTTTTTTTTCTAATGAGACAGTCTCACTTACTCTGTTGCCCAGGCTGGAGTGCAATGGTGCGATCTCGGCTTGCTGCAACCTCTGCCTCCCAGGCTCAAGCAATTCTCCTACCTCAGCCTCCTGAGTAGTCTCCTGAGTAGCTGGGATTACAGGCATGCACCACCACGCCCAGCTAATTTTTGTATTTTTAGTAGAGACGAGGTTTCATCATGTTGGCCAGGCTGGTCTCAAACTCCTTACCTCAAGTGATCCACCTGCCTCAGCCTCCCAAAGTGCTAGGATTACAGGCATGAGCCACCACCCCTGGCCCACTGCAACAAAATTCTATGGAGAAGTATCTGACAATGTAAGACTAAGATTTACTCTCCTGGGGAATTAATGGGAGAGAGTTAATGTGTGTTGTGATACTACATGTGTTAATAGTAATCTTGGTTTGGGGCAGAATTTTTCTGTTTGTTTGTTTATTTATTTATTTTGAGACAAGATCTCTTTTGCTCAGGTTGGAGTACAGTGGCGCTCTCATAGCTCACTGCTCCCTTGAACTCCTGGGCTCAAGCAATCCTCCTGCCTTAGCCTTCCCAGTAGCTAGGACTATAGGTGCATACCACCATGCCTGGCCTAAAGATAAAAGATGTGATAGCTTCCCTTGGAGAAGAGAACATGGGTAATAACTTAGAATCTGCAGGTGAAGAGAGTATTTATGACCAGACAAGAGGAGCCAGGAAGAAATTAATGTTGAAAAGTCAAGTGTACATTTAAACATCCCAGATGGGAGAAAAATCAATTCTACATCAACATTGCTAAAGAAGAAAACAGAAAAGCCAAGACAGATCAGGTGAAAAATCTTCAGGCTGAGCAAACCTCGACTGAAAGTGCAGATCAAAATCTTCTGCAGAGAGGAAATGAAGTGACTGAACTTTGTCAAGACAAAGCAGTGTCGTCTCTTGAGAAATGATCTGTCTGGGAAGGTCATTATTGGAGCAAGAGGAAGAAAGTTCTGAAGCAAATGCCAAGATGAGCCTGTTATAAAGAGCTGAAGACCTTCAGAAAGCAAGTCAAAGACCTTGTAGCACAGTGCAACAGGATCATTTGTTCTTCTCAAAACCAAGTTATTTCCCTTGAACTAAAAGCTCATGATTGTTAGTTGAGAGTACAGGAGGCTGAAAGAAAGCTCCTCATCTCAAAACTAGAGATCACAAAGATGAGATAAAGAATAAAGAGGCTGGGCATGGTGGCTCACACCTGTAATCCCAGCACTTTGGGAGGCCGAGGTGGGTGGATCACCTGAGGTCAGGAGTTCAAGACCAGCCTGGCCAAAATGGCAAAACCCTGTCTCTATTGAAAATACAAAAATTAGCCAGGTGTGGTGGTGCGCACCTGCAGTCTCAGCTACTGAGGAGGCTGAGGCACGAGACTCACTTGAACCCAGGAGGCAGAGGTTGCAGTGAGCCGAGATCGCGCCGTTGCATTCCAGCCTGGGAAACAAAGCAAGACACTGTCTCAAAAAAACAAAAACCAAAGAATAAAGAAAACAGTGATTAAACTTGAGCTTCTAGAAGTCCTTATTCATCTGATGATCCAGATGGAGTATTGTTCAGGTAACATTTTCACCACCTCCCATCTCTAGACATGGGGTACCGTTTCCTCTAGACGGGAGGCTCTCAACACCCTCCCCTCAGATCTCCTTGTCTGCCAGGCCTTCCTCCTTCATTCCCAAACCTGGTGTTTCCAATTGATTCAAATTGGGAGTTAATGGAAGGAAGACATCCTCTTCTTCCCTGCATTAGTCAGGGCTCTCCGGAGCAACAGAAATAGTAGGAGATATATACATATACAAAGAGATTTATTTTAAGGGATTGGCTTATATGATTGAGGGGGCTGGCAAGTCTAAAATCTGCAGAGCAAGCTGGAAACTCTCAGGCTGGGGCTGAGGCTACAGTTCAATCCACAGGCAGAATTTCTTCCTTCTCAGGGAAACCTGTTTTGCTTGTTAGACCCTTCAACTGATTGGTGAGGCCCACCAATTATCAAAGATAATTTCCTTTACTTAACTTCAAATGATTGTATAGGTCAACCAAATCTACACAATATTTTTACAGCAACACCTAGATTAGTGTGTTAGATTGAGTAACTGGGGACTATAGCCTAGCCAGGTTGACACATAAAACTAACCATTACACTTCCTGGCTGGAGTGCAGTGGTGCATTCCATCTCCTGAGCTCAAGCGATCCTACCACCTCAGCCTCCTTCGTAGCTGGGACCACAGGTGCATACCACCACGCCCTAGCCTTAAAAAAAATTAGAAAAATATTTTATTAGTTTTAAAAACTTTTTACATCTCAACAACAAAAGCCAAATAACCCAATTAAAAAATGGACAAAAGATTAGAATAAACATTTCCCCAAAGAAGGTATACAAATGTCTAATAAGCACATGAAAAGATAACCAACATTGCCAGGCGCGGTGGCTCACGCCTGTAATCCCAGCACTTTGGGAGGCCGAGGTGGGCGGATCACAAGGTTAGGAGTTCGAGACCATCCTGGCTAACATGGTGAAACCCCATCTCTATTAAAAAATACAAAAAATTAGCCGGGCGCGATGGCGGGCGCCTGTAGTCCCAACTACTCAGGAGGCTGAGGCAGGAGAATGGCGTGAACCCAGGAGGCGGAGCTTGCAGTGAGCTGAGATCGCACCACTGCACTTCAGCCTGGGCTGAACAGAGCGAGACTCCGTCTCAAAAAAAAAAAAAACAAGATAACCAACATCATTCGTCATTAGGGTAATGCAAATAAAAAACACAAGGAGTGAATACTTAAGACAGACAATAACAAGTGTTGGCTAGGACATAGAAATATCGGAACTCTTAGAGGTTGTTGATGGGCGTGTAAAATGGTGCAATCACTTTGAAAATAATTTGACAGTTCCTCAGAATGTTAAACGTAGAGTTACCACATGACCCAGAAATTTCACACCCAAGAGAAAATAAAGCATATATATGTCCACACAAAAATGTGTACACAAATGTTCACAGCAGTATTATAATAGCTAAAGAGTAGAAATCACCCAAATATCTATCAACCAATGAATAGATAAATAAAACACGATATATCCATAAAATAGAATATTATTCATCAGTAAGAAGGAATGGGCCAGGCGCAGTGGCTCAGGCCTGTAATCCTAGCAGTTTGGGAAGCTGAGGAAGGAGGGCTGCTTGAGCCTAGGAGATGGAGACAAGCCTGGGCAACATAGCGAGACTCGGTCTCTGCCAAAAATACAAAAATTAGCCAGGTGTGATAGCATGTGCCTGTAGTCCCAGCTACTTGGGAGGCTGAGGTGGGAGGATTGCTTGAGCCAGAGAGGTTGAGGCTACAGTGAGATCGCACCATTGCACTCCAGCCTGGGTGACAGAGTAAGACCTTGTCTGAAAACAAAAACAAAAACAAAAACAAAAAACAAGGAATGAAATACTGATAACATGCTACAACCTGGATAAACTTTGAAAACATTATGCTAAGTGAAAGAAGCCAGTCACAAAGGGTCACACATTGCATGATTCCATTTATTTTTTAAAACTATTTATTTATTTAGAAACAAGGTCTCACTCTGTCACTGAGTCTGGAGTACAGCAGTGCAGTAACAGCTCACTATAACCTCAAACTCCTGGCCTCAAGAGATCCTCCTGCCTTCACCTCCCAAATCACTGGGATTATAGGTGTGAGCCAACTGCGCCTGGCCCATGATTCCATTTATATGAAATGGCCAGAATAGGCAAATCTGTACAGAAAGAAAGCAGATTAATTTTGCCAGGGACTTGGGGGGAAGACAGATTGGGAGTAACTGCTAAAGACTATAGGGTTTCTTTTCTTTTCTTTTTTTTTTTTTTTTTGAGATGGAGACTCGCTCTGTAGCCAGGCTGGAGTGCAATGGTGTGATCTCGGCTCACTGTAACCTCTGCTTCTCGGGTTCAAGTGATTCTCCTGCCTCAGCCTCCTGAGTAGCTGGGATTACAGGTGCGCGCCACCACGCCCAGCTAATTTTTGCATTTTTAGTAGAGACAGGGTCTCACCATGTTGGACAGGCTGGTCTCGAACTCCTGACCTCAGGTGATCCGCCACCCTTGGCCTCCCAAAGTGCTGGAATTACAGGCGTGAACTACCATGTCTGGCCTAGGGTTTCTTTTTAGGGTGATAAAAATGTTCTGAAGGCCAGGTGCGGTGGCTCACACCTGTAATCCCAGCACTTTGGGAGGCCGAGGCGGGCAGATCACGAGCTCAAGAGATCGAGACCATCCTGGCCAACATGGTGAAACTCCATCTCTAAAAATACAAAAATTAGCTGGGCATGGTGGTGCACGCTTGTAGTCCTAGCTACTCGGGAGGCTGAGGCAGGAGAATCACTTGAACCTGTGAGGCGGAGGTTGCAGTGAGCCGAGATCACACCACTGCACTCCAGCCTGGTGACAGGGCAAGACTCCATCAAAAAAAAAAAAAAAAATACCCACTGAATTTTTTACTTTAAAAGGGTGAATTTTATGGTAGGTGAATTACATCTCACTAAAATTATCACTTTGGCCGGGCGCAGTGGCTCACGCCTGTAATCCCGCTCTCAGGGAGGCAAGAGGCGGGAGGATAGCTTGAGCCCAGGAGTTCGAGACCTGCCTGGGCAATATGGCGAGACCCCGTTCTCCAGAAAAAGGAAAAAAAAAAAAAGACAAAAAAAAGCGTAAAATTATCACTTTAAAGTGTTTTCTTTTCTTTTTTTTTTTTTTTTTTTTTGAGACGGAGTTTAGCTCTTGTTGTCCAGGTTGGAGTGCAGTGGTGAAATCTCGGCTCACCACAATCTCTGCCTCCCGGTTCAAGCAATTCTCCCGCCTCAGCCTCCCTAGTAGCTGGGATTACAGGCATGTGCCACCACACCCAGCTAATTTTGTATTTTTAGTAGAGATGGGGTTTCTCCATATTGGTCAGGCTGGTCTCGAACTCCCGATCTCAGGTGATCTGCCCGCCTTGGCCTCCCAAAGTGCTGGGATTACAGGCATGAGCCACAGCGCCCGGCCATTTAAAATGTTTTCATAAGCACTTTTACTTTTGCTCAAATTGCATCTTGATATAAACTTCAAGTTTTTTAAAATAAAGATAATATAAATTATTCTCATTATATTATACTCTCTAGAAAATGTAAGTAGTAAATTTGAATTTGATGAGCCAGTCCACTATTTCCTAAACAATGTATTATCTGTGGGCTGTTCATTCACCAGGGACACTTGAAATGGCAAAATCTTTTCCTCTCTGCCAATGGTTCTGTGCACCATAGCCACAAAGAAATGTAAAAGTTACTTGTTGGCTTATTAGTCTCAATAAGTTTTAGTTGATTGAACAAACAAAGTCTCTCACAGCCAGGACTGCTGCGGCTGGAATTCCTGACATACTGTCATACCTCTCACTCGTCAATCTACACTCTCCTCCCATCTACACAGCTCTGGAAATTAAAAACAATCCAACCATGACTATCATGGCTTCAGAGGTCTATGAACTCCCAGGAATTATACGCAGATTTTTTCCTGAGGACAGTCTACACTTCCTTATTGGCTTCTCAAAGAGGGTCACTGACCAGCTTTTAGAGACATGGGCCAAGTCCGGCTACGTTTAGATTCGGTAGTAGTGTCTGTGGTTTTAGTTTGCCACGTCCTTTCCTCTTTTTTTCGTCATAGTGCCCGCTCTTTGGGAGGTAGGGGAGAGTCTTCCCCTGAAGTCTCCACTGCTGCTGGAGAACCTTCCTTTTTCATCTGGTTGCTAAATCCAGAGAATGAAATCTAGGAGATGATTGCACCGTCCCCGCCCCTCAACATGAAGGATGCCCCACTGCCCATCGGGGAGGGGAGCAGGGAGAGCTGGAGAGAGGCTGGGTCGGGGCAGGACCCAGGCGCAGATCCTCCGAGGCCAGCTGCAGCCCTACCTACCTGCCTTCCCGTCTTTCCCCTCCCTTCTTTTCTCCTTCTGTCTTTCCTTCCTTCCATATCTCTTTCCTTGCCTCTTTCCCCCTCCCACTGCTTCCTTTCTTCCTTCCACTGTGGAGGTGGAAAATTTAGCTAGGAGAAGCTGGGACTGGGACGTTCCAGGAACCAGACAGAGAGTGAGTTAAAGGCACAGAGATGAAAACGCGGTATGGGAGAGCTGGTTCTTGAGTCGGCTAAGAGGGGATGAACTCAATGGTTAATAGGATTGGCCATGGCGAATCCCTCAGCAGGGCACGCACCGCACAAAGGGCCGAGGAGCGAGGGTAGCTCGAGGTCAGGATTACAGAGACTCAGGAGCAAGAGAGGAAGGCTTAAAGAGCCAGACTGCGCAGCCAGGACTGGGGTGATGGGCGCTGTCCTGCCAGGCCAAAGAATGAAGATGTAGCCCCGCCCCCAACCTAGGGAGGAGGACCAGCCCGGTTCCTGTCCTGCCCCCGCAACCTCGCCCCGATTCCACTCCGGGAACCTCGGCGATGCTGAGCCAAGACCACTTCTGAATCAGGGATGACTTGTCTAGTGAACCTAGGGTCAGAGCCATCAGTTGGAAAGGCTGGGAGGAGCCTGGAGAAAGAGGGCGACCTTCCTTGGGATCTGTGCGCTCCCTCCTTGCCTCCCCCTCCAGCCTCCCACTTGGTAGCACCTTCCTGATCCCCTTATCTCTAAGGCGCTCAGGGAAATGCCCCGCTGCGGGAGCCTTCTGGGAAATGCTGCCCTGGCCACCCAGGAACCATGAGCCCTGCAGCCCCGGTAAGGAAGAGTTCTCTGGGACAGGAGGAAGGGCCCAGGGCAGGGTGGGCACCCTTGCCACATAGGGGACGGGACAGAAGTCTTTTAGGCCCTGACATCCTCTGGTCTCTGAATGACATCCTGTGGCTGCTGGTAGGTGAGGGTTTGCGGGGCTGAGCTATTGAAGGAAATGATCACAGTCCGAGGTGATAGATACAGAAAGTCTTCCTTTCTCCAGGTGGGCTCCCGCCAGTCCATTCTTCACTGTGCCCTAGAGGGGCCTTTCCGACCCCCTAATCACACACCTCACTCCTCATCTTGAAACTCCCACCCCCAGCTCCAGTCACTGCGTCCTAACATCCAAGCTCTCCGCCTGTCATGCAAGGCCTCTGTGCTATTTCTTTCCAAACCCTGCAGCTCTATCGCCTGACACTCCCGATGCCCTCCCCACCCCTGCGCTTTATGTTCTAGACACACGGAAATGCTGGGCACTCTTCAACATCCTGACAGTATTCATAGGGGAAATTTCGGGTCGCCTAGGAAACTGCCCCTCATCCTCCAAGGCCCCTTTCAGCCTCCTCTGGGAAGCCTTCCTGAACCCCTTGAGAAAAGTCAGGCTCATCTTTTCCATTGTTAAATCACACCTTGTGCTCCAATTGTGTGTTTCCATGTAATCTCCCTCACTAGACTGGAAGCTGGGGATGGAAAGGGGAAGCATCAAAAAAACATGCAAAACTAGGAGCTTGGCTTCTCCTTGCAACTTTACTTTTTCTTTTTTTCTAGGAACTGAGTTCAATGATTCTTAAGAAAAAGTATTTCATGATAAATGAGTGAACAAATGTCTTAATAGAAAAGTAAAATTGCAGGCGGGGCTGCTTCTGCCCAGCTCTACAGGGGTAGACTACAAGTCCCAGTACGCCTCGGGTCAGCATCTCTTCACGTCACTCCCCCTCCCTGGGGTGGGCAGGTCCGGAGGGCGGGGCCCGGGGGCAGCTGGGCTCTCAGGCGCTGCGGGAGGAGAGAAATGCCCCAGGCTCTCCGGGGCACACAAAGCGCAGGCGCAGCGGGTTGGGTGGCAGCAGCATCGAGTAGCGGCCGCTTAGGCAGCAACATCCGCAACAAGTGTAGACAAGGTGGGTGCATCAAGGGGAGGGGCTGGAAAAGGAGTCTGCACCTGACCCTCTTGTCTGATCTGTGTCAAGACCGTGGAGAGGGGAGGGAGCGGCAAGAGGAACAGACAAGGCTGGGCCTTCCAGCCCAGGTGTGCCAGCCCTTGTTACGCAGCAACAGGTGTGAGCAGGTGGGGGAGGGGCGGAGGCACCCGCTGGCAAGTGAGTCGCCCTCAGGAACAGAGGGCACCTACCTGGATTCCAGTGCAAGCTACATCATGTACATGGATGAGTCATTTGCTAACCCTCAGTTTGTCCATCTGTAAAACAGGAGTAAGGATTCCCTTCCTAACAGGGTTAGAGTGGGGACAAGGTGAGGGAGTAGAATGTGCGGTGACGTCCAAACTTAGCTGTACATTGGAATCATCTGAGGATCTTTGAAGAGTATCAGGGCTTGCCTCCTGCCCTCAGACATTCTGATTTAATTGTTACGGAGTGTGGCCTGGTATCGGAAGTTCTCAAAGCTCCTGCCGGCATAACGGTTTGAAGCCAGGACTGCTGGGTGTGAGTCTGGGCTCCATTGCTTACTAATCAAGTGGCCCCGTGCAACTGACTGGACCTTTCCGGCCCCCGTTTCCCCATCTCTGAAATAGGAATAATAAGGACTGCAGGGAGGCTTAAATGAGATAATGGATGAAAGCACTGATAGGGGGTACCCGGACAGAGTGCTCGGTCCATCACAGCTGCTGTTGAACTGCTCTTTGAAGCACTTTGTAAACAGCTCTAGTGGGGTCCAAATAGGAGGGAGCTTTTCCCTCATCCATTGCCGTGATTCTAATATTCTGCACTTCCACATTACAGAATCCCAAGGTTTCTAATACTTTAAGAGTCTCATGCTCCACCGACTGAGCTAGTCAGGCATATTCTAATGTTTCAAGAGCTCCTCCCTCCAGCCTCTGCCTGCCTCACAGACACACTTCTACAGATCTAGAAACTGAGACCAGGACAGAGGGCCAGGGAGGAGGGATATGGCCAAAGTTACCAAGCTGAGGCTGGAATCCAGGCTCCTGGTCCCCACCCCCACCCCACACCAATGGCTGCCCTGCTGACCCCACAGTGACAGTGCTCCCATTCTCTTCCTGAGCAGAGAATGGGGAGGAGGCCGAGGCCGCCTGGCCCTTGTTTACTAACCCTCCCTCAAACGTTTCCTGGGTGGCTCCCCAGGGACGGCAGGGCTGGGGGCTTCTCTCCAGGGAGCTGCTGCTGAGGCCTGTGTCTCCCGTGGCTCCTCTGACAGGTCCCGCCTGACTCCGCTCTGGAAAGTCCTTTTGAAGAAATGGCCCTGGTGAGGGGCGGCTGGCTGTGGAGACAGAGTGAGTGATCCTGGGCCCCTGGTCCTGGGGCAGGGTGAAGGAAGTGGCTTACTGGGCTTGCCACGGGGAACACTTCTCTCAAGAAACCAGGACCTTTTCATCCTTCCCTTGTTTGTCCATGCTCTTCCCTCTGCCTGAAGGTCCTTCCCATTCCCGACTACATGGTTTAAACTTCTATTTGTTCATCACGACCCATCTCAGATGGGCCCCTCTCTGAGGAGCCTTCTCTGGCTTTTCCTCTGGCCCCCACCCCTGCTCCTGCAGTAGCGTCAAGCTGGATTAGAGGCTCCCTCCTCGGTTTTCACGGCGCCTTACAGTGATCTCCTTAGAACAGAACTGTCTATCTGTGGGTATCCCCACTCCCTGACCCCAGACTGGCCCCAGTCTGCGAACTCCTCAAGGACAGGGGCTGGGTTTGACCCTCTGTGTGTCCACAGTCCCCCAACCCCGGGCTGGACACAGAACGAGGCACAGAACAAAGTGAAAAATGCCTTTGTGCTTTGGAATCCACAAAGCCCTAAGAAGCTCTCTTATGTCTTTGCCCTTCCCTGTTAAGATTTCCAGTTGCAAAATGTCAGAAGCTCGGTCTCGGGCTTCTAGACCCACCTCTGACCAGAGTCATGACCTGAGCAAGAGCTATCCTGGGGACCCCTGGGACAAGCAGCCCCATGCCCCATACCCCTGCCCATTCTCAGTTCATTTAGTTCAGCAAACACTGAGCCAGGTCTCCCTGGGTGCCAGGACCTGCGTGGGGAGCCATAGCCCCCAGAGTGGTACAGGAGGCAGATGCTACACAAATAACCATCACACAAGTCAGAGATGAGAGATAAGAGGCCGGGCACAGTGGCTCATGCCTGTAATCCCAACACTTTAGGAGGCTGAGTTGGGAGGATTGCTTGAGCCCAGGAGTTTGATACCAGCCTAGACAACATGGTGAGACCCACTGTCTCCAAGAATACCTACCTGGCTAATTAAAAATTAGCCAGGTGCAGTGGTGCGTGCCTGATGTTCCAGCTATTTGGGAGGCTGAGATGGGAGGATCACTTGAGCCCAGGAGGTTAAGGCTGCAGTGAGCCATGCCTGTGCCCCTGCACTCCAGCCTGAGTGACAGAGCAAGACCCTGTCTCAAAGACAGAGAGAGAGAAGATGCAGGCTTAAGGTAGGGAGAGGTCTTTGCCCTTGAAGAGACCTGGGGCTTGGCCTTAGAAGCTTCCAAGTAATGGGCCCAGTCACTCATTTCCCTGTTCAGCACGTGTATCGAGCTTCTGCTATGCATCAGACCCAATGGGAGGCAGGAGGTGAACAAGACAGAAAGAGGTCCTGCCCTCATTTCAGGGGGTAGACAAGAAAAAGGTGGTTGTAACACTAGGGACTGAGGCTGAGGGGACTTGGGAGTCTGTCTGGGGCTTCTATTCCCAGCAGGCTCTGGGATCAGCCTGCCTAGTGCATCTGGAATATCGTACAGGCTCCATCCTCCGCCGCTGGAAGCGGAACTGGTTTGCCCTGTGGCTGGACGGGACCCTGGGATACTACCACGATGAGACAGCGCAGGACGAGGAGGACCGTGTGCTCATCCACTTCAATGTCCGTGACATAAAGATCGGCCCAGAGTGCCATGGTGAGCAGAAGCCCCTTCCTCTGTGGCACCGTGACTGTGGGCAGAGCCTCCCGCTGTCTCCGAGAACACTTGCTGTTGGAAGTCTTTTTGCAGCTTTCAGAGGCATTTCACAGACATTGCTTCTGAGCCTCTGTCAACTCCAATTCAGTTTGGTGTGAGTTAAGAAATAGGTCCTTGGCTGTGTGTGGTGGCGCATGCCTGTAATTTCAGCACTTTGGGTGGCTGAAGCGGGCGGATCACTTGAGGTCAGGAGTTCTAGATCAGCCCGGCCAACATAGCGAGACCCTGTCTCTTAAAAAAAAAAAAATTGGTGAGATGCGGTCACATATGGCTACTGGGGAGGCCGAGGCAGGAGAATTGCTTGAGCCCAGGAATTCAAGGCTGCAGTAAGCTATGATCCCAGTACTTTGAGAGGCATGTAGATTACTTGAGTCTAGAGTTCAAGACCAGCCTGGGCAACATGGCAAAACCCCGTCTCTACCAAAACAAAAACAAACAAAAATTAGCCGGGCATGGTAGTGTGTACCTGTAGTCCCAGCTACTTAAGAGGCTCAGGTGGGAGGATTGCTTGAGCCTGGGAGGCAGAGGTTGCAGTGAGTGTTCATGGCACTGCACTACAGCCTGGGGGACAGAGCTAGACCCTGTCTCAAAAAAAAAAAAAAAAAGAAAAAGAAAAATCAGTCCTTTAGTGCCTTTCTCCTCTGTGCTGTCTCAGAGGTGAGCCAGGCACAGTTCCTGCCCTCCAGGCGCTCGGTACTGGATGAAGACGAAATGAAATTAGGAGGCCCAGAGAAGCGAAGTGGCCCAGAGTCACAGCAAATCTCCACATTCCTCCACCAAGGCCCAGGCCACAGTTCTAACAGGGTAACTGGGAGGTGTGCTGAGGGAAGCCTCAGCATGGAAAGGTTGGAAAGGTTGGAAACGTAGAGTGGAATCCCTCAGAGAGTATATGGGATCAGAGGAGGTTGGCAGTGGCCAGTAAACAGAGCCCAGAGAAGTCAATTCCTATTCCTGTCCCTGCTTTACTGGGGGGACCTGGGGCTTGTGCCTGTGGAAACCCATATATGTGTGTCTGCTTCCAGATGTGCAGCCCCCAGAGGGCCGGAGCCGAGATGGCCTGCTGACTGTGAACCTACGGGAAGGCGGCCGCCTGCACCTCTGTGCGGAGACCAAGGATGATGCCCTGTGAGTCACTCCCAGGAGAGGATGGGGTGGAATCTCGGGGAAAGTTACCATGTGCCCCCTTCTCATTGGGCCTTCTGGTTCTCTGACCGTAGGAAGAGGGCACTAAGGCCAGTCAGCAAGGGAGTCTTATTGGAGGCGGGTGGAGTGGATTTGAAGGGCTTGTGGTGACTGGCATGGCACACAGTGAACTCCTCATGTGGTCTACAGTGAACTCAGGATTGCTGAGGGGGAGGTGTGCACACCTGCCTCAGGTATCTGGTTCCTGGTCTTTAGCGGCCTCTGAGGTGAGCCCTCACCTGAGGGTGATGCAAAGCAGCAGAGCAGCCTAGTGGCACCCTTGCTCCCTTCTTAGAAGATGCCCTGGTGGGGGACTCTGATCTGAGGGGTAGCCCTGGACCTGCCTACAAAGGCAGTCAGCTGCGTCCCAGGCAGGGGCACCCCAATGTCAGATGCATATCCACGTGGCCAGCCTGGGTGTGTCCTTCTCAGGCACCATCTGCTGGCTCACATTCCGTCCCTTCCTACCCTCTGGCTAAGGGGTACATGGCCTTTGCGCTGGAGGAGAGTGAAAGAGATGGGTGTGTGGGAGTGGGGGAAGCTGAGCTCCAGGCAGACAGCACAGAGCCGCCTTGTCCAACCCAGCCAGGTGCCATGGCAACCAACAAAGGCCCCATTGTCCCGTGTCTGCTGGGCCTTCCTGAGGCTCTGGGGTCAGAGCTTTGGGGAAGTGTTTTGTTTGTAGATTTGGGATGTGGAGGGGGACTGGGCTACAACACCCACCCAAGAGTGTCAGAATCTGACATCCCCTGAGAGACCACCCAAGCCCAACCGTCCACTGTATAGATGAGGAAACTGGAACTTCTAGAGGGGACGAGAAGAATGAATTAGCCTAACTTAGTGCTCCATCCATGTGACTGGGGCAGGGGAGGGGTCACTTTTGTCTTCCTGAGGGAGACAAGAGATCTCTCCTTTCATGAGAGACTTGGGCTTGAGGCTGGGTTGGAGAGGAAAGTCTAAAATGTGGGGGCCCAATTCACCCACCCCCAAACTCCCTCCTCATGGTCTGGTGGGATTTGCTTTGCAGAGCATGGAAGACAGCACTGCTGGAGGCAAACTCCACCCCGGTGAGTCTCCCGTTCTCTCCCCCTTTCCCCACCACCTCCATGTGCCATGGAATCATGAGTGACTCAGACTCGGTCTCCACCTGCCAGAAGTTCTCAGTCTTATGTGGATAGGTTTCTGCAAACTCTGATGCCTGAGTCCCAAGTGTTCGGGGAAAGGATAAGGGAGAGCCAACTGGTGCTCAGAGGAGAGAGAGAAGCCTCCATGGAGATTTGCTGGAGGGAGTGGCACATGAGCTGGGGAGAAGGAACTGTCTTTTATCGAGCAACTATTATGTGCCAGGTGTGGTGCAGGTATCATTCCAGCTGCTCCTCACAACAGTCCTGTGAAGTTGGGGTTATTGTTCTCTCTCTGCAGATGATAAGACTGAAGCTCATTCATCCGCACAACAAATATTTACTGAGCTGCTACTATGGGCCAGGTGGTGTGCCAAGTGCCAGGGATCAGAGGTGAACCAAGGAGATATGGGCTCTGCCCACCTGGACTCAGCCTAATGAGAAGCCAGACATGGAACAACTAATTAATTATTCCATTTCAATAGTAATAACAGCTCTGACAGAGATTTGCAGTGTCTGGCCCTTTCATCCAGGTGGTAGTTCAGGCAAGGCTTAAACCGAGGACTGAAGGATAAACAGAAATTGACTGGGTGAAAGGTGTGGGGATCGGGTAAAGGGCACGGCATTCCAGGCAGAGGGATCAGCATGTGCCAAGGCTCTGAGAGAGGTTAAGACATTTGGCAAGTTGAGGAACAGAAGGACAGCTGGGGTGGCTGGTGCTTAGGGAGTGAGTGGGTAAGGAGGGAAGGAGGGTTGGCACGACCAGGTCTTGTGGGCTGTATGAAGGATGTTGGTTTCTGCTAAGAGCACCAGGGAGCCATGACAAGTTTTTGAACAGAGGGATGGCATGATCAGATCAGGTTCAATTTATATTTTTAAAAAGATAATTGTTGTAACGTTGGGGCATGTAAAAAAAAGGGGGTAGTCTGTCAGTTTATGAAATTTTGTTGTAGAAAAAAGGAAAAAAAAAAAGATAGTCTGGCTGGTAGGTAGGGAATGGATTATAGAGGGTAACTGCAGACACCCAGAGGCCACTTAGGAGGCTGGGACAGTGTCCGGGCAACAGACTGGAGATCTGGATTAAGGCCTTGTTGGCCGAGACAGGCTGATGAGTACAGGACATATTTAGGAGATGGAGTCAACAGAGCTTGTGACTGATGGAAGTGGCGGTTTGAAGAGCCGCCCAAAGCCCAGCTTGGCCTCCACCCCCATCTGCCTGACTCCAGAATCTGTGCTTGCTCTTTCTCTGTATGGCACAATGGAGCCCCCTCTCACCTATAGAGAAAGTCCGTTGGGAAGTAGCAGGGGAGACCTGGATGCATTTAGAAACCTCCTCAGGCATCCACGTCCTGAGTGCCAGGCATCATGCTAAGCCCCTGGCAGCAGTGACATCATTTCATCTTCCAACAACCCTGGCAGGGCAGCTGGGTGGGGGTTGGTATTATTAGTCCCATTTTACAGATAAGGAAGCCGAGGTTCAGAGAGGGGAGGTGACTTGTCCAAAGCTTATACTCTTAAGTCAGTGGAAAAGCCTACCATGGAACCTAGGTCAGTGAGATTTTGAGAGGAGGGCGTTATCTGCAGAAGTAGCTGCATGAGCAGAGACAGAGAAGTGATGTGTGCACATGTGTGTGTGCACAAGTGCTTATGCACATATGCATGCGTCTAAGGGCCCAGAGTCTGCCTGGCTGGAGAGCAATTCATGAGGCGAATGAAACAGGAGAGATGACCTCTGAGGTCATCGGGGCCAGCTCATGATGGGCCTCAAAGTCCAGTTGGAAGAAATGGACTTTCCCTGAGGCCTGTAGGGAGCAATAAAGGGCATTCAGCAGCGAGGGCTGTGGTCAGATTTTGGGGAGCAGACTCAGGCTTCCAAGTGGCGGGTGAATTGGAGAAAGCTGGGAGTAAGGAGGCTACAGCAGTAGTCTGCAGGGTGGAGGGACCCAGGTCAGGCTACCCTGGCTCTGAGCTCCAAAGCCTCTTTATGTGGGGCAAGTCAGTTCCACCAAAGAGAGGCGGAGGGAAGGAGGCAAGGGTGACTGTCTGCACTCTGTGACTCTATGAAGCGGCCTCGTCCTTCTCTGCCTGTCCATCTCCTGTGGCTCTGCTGACCCTTCTCTCTGCCCTGGCCTCTATTCTACCTCCCACTACTCCACATATACACGTCCTTCTGTGCCCGGGCTTACTAGAGTCGGGGTGTATTTGTGCCTGTGTCTACCTATCTTTGTGTGTTCACCTCTGTTTATGGGCTTCTCTCTGTAGCCTGTGTGGGAATGACCTGCCCTTTGTCCTCCGACATGCTGGAGTTCATACCTCACTCCAGGTGGAGGCTCCAGGAGCCCCTAACACCAGCTTTACTGGGAACACAGGGCCTGGGGGCACAGCTAGGGACGAGGCTGGGGTGAAGCGGACCAGGTGGGCTAGAGGACAGAAGGGAGTCGCCCTGTCCTCCCTGGAGACTGGGAACCCCAGCAGGATGAAATAGGGGAGGGTGGGCTAATTCTGGAAAGAGACTACTTGTCCTTCTTTTCTGCGTAACTTTGGCAGTCATCAGCATTCTCTGAGCCTCCCCCGTTACCATGAGCTGAGGAGAAAGAGGATGCTCCCTGCCACAGCCCAGCTGGCGGAGGGCTCTGGTAGGGTCTGGAAAGAGCTCTTGAGTCTCTTTAGGTGTAGAGGGCCTCTGACACCCCCTCCCTCCCTCCTCCTTCTTGGGTTTCTGTGGCTTGAGCAGGCCCCAGCTGGAGCCACCGTCCCTCCCAGGAGCCGCCGGGTTTGCTCCAAGGTCAGGTGTGTGACCCGCTCGTGGAGCCCCTGTAAGGTTGAGAGGCGGATCTGGGTAAGTGCTGGCTCGGCCCTCCCTGCCTCCATACTGGCCACCAGGATGAGCCTCCAAAACCAGGCCCAGTCCATCCCTTCCCTGTGACAAACATTCCATGGCTCCCTATCACCCACAGGACACAAACCAGCTGCTCTGCTGTACCCTCTGTCCCCAGCCACACCAGACCTTTTCCCTCTGCCAGCCTTCGCACATGCTGTTCCCTCTGCTGACAAGACCTCAGTTTCCTCATTCACCTGACAAACTGATGCTCATCCTGTAAGGCCCACCTCAAAGGCTGCCTGCCACCTACTCAGTGGGGACTTCCTAGACCACTAGGCATCGTCATTCCCTCCCTCAGCCTAGCGGCACCAAGGCTTAGTGCTTTCTTCATTCTGCCTGGTTTCAGAGCTGGTTTATTCCTGTCTGTGTAGTCTTCCATGAGGCCTAGAACTTCCTCCAAGGCAAGAATGAGGCCTGATTGCGCTGCCTCTATGGAACTTGGCACAAGGCTAGGTAAATGGCACATGCTCAATTAGTGCTCGATGATGGGGAGTCTATGCTGACCTTTCTTACACAGTGGGGCTCAGGGAATGTTCACTGAGTGAGCAAAGGAAGGAAGGAGGGAGTGAAAAACTTCCTTTATAGCAATACTACTACATAGTCTAATTTAGTCTAGGTCTGTCTCCCCTCACCCTCAATGTTTCTTGAAGGCAGGATCTGGCCTGAATCTTTTCTCTGTCCCCAGAACTCAGCACAGGGCCTGGCATGGGGTGGGTGGCAGGAGGGGGCTTGAGTGAGAGTACCTGTGATCTTATAGTCAACTCTGAGCTCATCTTACACAGTGGTGCTCAGTGTGGCTATGTATCAGGATTGTTTAGGAACTTACAAGCACTAATAACAAGTATTCATGTTCCACCTCTGGATGTTTTAATCTGGCATGGGGCCTAGGCCTAGGAAACCTGTAGTTTAAACCTGTCTCCTGGCCAGGCCTGGTGGCTGACACCTATAATCCCAGAACTTTGGGAGGCTGAGGCGGGCAGGTTGCAAGGTCAGGAGTTCAAGACCTGCCTAGCCAACATGGTGAAACCCCATCTCTACTAAAAGTACAAAAATTAGCAAGACATGGTGTAATCTCAGATACTCAGGAGGCTGAGGCAGGAGAATGGCTTGAACTCAGGAGGCGGACGTGGTTGCAGTGAACCAAGATCACCCCACTGCACTCCAGCCTGGGCAACAGAGTAAGACTCCATCTCAAAAAAAAAAATTGTCTCCTGATGACTCTGATGTGCAGAATCACTAAGCCTAGAAGTGCCTGGGCCACCAAATTGTATAGATGTGGCACTGTTAGATCCTCAGTGGCTTGGAGAGGTTACCTAACTTGATCAGGGTCACTCAACTCATCAATGGCAGGTCTGGGACTCCCAGCCCATCGTTCTGAGGTATTTTCCATGCCCAAACTAGGATGCAAGTTTGTTTAAAGTGGGGATGTCAAAAACTAGGATTTAACAGACTGTAAACCTAATAACACAACAGCTCAGCTAAGGGGAGTCATTTGCATGTGACCCCCTGATTGGTCAACACTGGTTGTACCCACAAAGTAGCTGGGCCTCTGGAGAGGGAGAGGCAGGTTCAAACCCTCAGGTTCTGCCCATGGGTCTCTGGGCTGTCCCTATTTGTTGCCAGGTGACTTATAGGAGTTTACTTCTGGGCCTCCCAGACGTGGAGAGTAAAAACAGGTGCCCTCGAGGGATATGGGGTGCTCCACCCTCTCCAGGGCCTCCCAAGGCCACTGGCTCACTGTGTAGCAGCAGGGCAAGGTGGAGGCTGTGGACCTCAACTTCCCCACCAATAAAATTGGACCTGAGAGCTTAGATCCCTCCAACCCCTTTTGGGCCTGGAGCCTGGATCTTGGCACTGCCTACCAGAAATCCCTATTGGATCACTGATGGGGAGGGAGCACCGTAGAGTTCACTGACTTACGACATTGCTTGTCTGAGCCTCTTGCATTGTCTTGGGACTATATGTTTTCCCTGACTTGAAACTGAACTCAGAGTTGGGCAACCTTAGTTCCAGTCTGGCCCTGTATTTGATTCACTGGAATGAATTCAATAAACATTTATTAGGTACCTGCCATGTTCCAGTCAGATCTGATTAGACCCAGTCTCTGCCCTCAAAGGCATCTCCAAGTCTGATGGGAGAGACACAGGGAAACAACGTGAAGACAGCATGATCGGTGCTGTGATGCAGGGACATCCAAGGGCTGTGAGTGTCCAGATGGGACCCCAACAGAACCTGAGGTTCAGGGAGAGTGATGCTTGAGTTGAGTCTGAAAGACAGGTTGAATGAGGTGAGAAGCATATCCCTAGCAAAGGAAAATGGCATGGAGATTTGAAATCACAAGGTGTGCTTGGAGACCTTCCCCTTACCACCAAACTTCTTGAAAGAGATGTCATGACATGGGGATTGCATCCTTCACCTCTCAGCCTTTCTTCAACCCTCCATAGCTTGGCTTTTCCTACTCAGCAACTCCTCTGAAAAGTTTTTTCAAGGTCACTCACAACTTCCAAGTTGCTAAAACCAGTGGCCTATTATCTTGGAATTGGCCAAAAGAATGGGCAGAAGAACACATTTAGAAGATAAAATCACGAGACCTGGTGGCTGATGTGTGGAAAGCAGATGTGTGAAGACAAGGGCAACAACCTGCTTTCTTTCCTTCTTTCTTTTTCTTTCTTTCTTTCTTTTTTTGAGACAGGATCTCCCTCTGTTGCCCAGGCTGGAGTGCAGTGGTGCAAACACTGCTCACTGCAGCCTCGATCTCCTGGGCTCAAGTGATCCTTCTGCCTCAGTTTCCCAAATAGCTGGGCCCACGGGCATGCATCACCACACTCAGCTAATTTTTTAATTTTTTGTAGAGACAGGTTCTTGCCATGTTGCCCAGACTGGTCTTGAACTCCTGCATTCAAGCAATCCTCCCGCCTCAGCCTCCCAAAGTGCTGGGATTACAGGCATAAGCCGCTGTGCCTAGCCTTTCTTGATTTGAGTGCATGGTGATGGCATGTACTGAGAGAAGCATTTATGGGGCTGGGTACTTTGGGAGGCCAAGGCGGGCAGATCACCTGAGGTCAGGAGTTCAAGACCAGCCTGGCGAACATGGTGAAACCCTGTCTCTACTAAAAATACAGAAAAATTAGCCAGGCGTGGTGGCAGGAACCTGTAATCTCAGTTACCTGGGAGGCTGAGGCAGGAGAATCGCTTGAACCCGGGAGGCGGAGGTTGCAGTGAGCTGATACCATGCCATTGCACTCCAGCCTGGACAACAAGAATGAAACTCTGTCTCAAAAAAAAAAAAAAGATTTATGGGAAAAGCAACAGTTTTAGCAGATGGAGAAATGTTGCAATCATCTTGAGATGAGTGGAGTTTGAGACACCTGGACTTCTAAGGGGAGCTGGACTGTTCAGGTGTGAATCCCAGTTAGAGAGAGATACAGGGTGGAATGGGGCTAAGAGGAAAGATCCAGAAGAGAAGGGGATCCTGACCCCTCTCCAGGTCTGCTCCCCCATGGGTAAAATGAGGGGTTTGGAGTTTCCATTTAATTCAGCACATAGTTCTTGGTTCCTGGTATGCACTTGGCCCTGCTGGTGACACAAACAAATCAGAGTCCTTGTCTACAAGCAGCTCACATTTGGGCTGCAAGAAAGGCCAGGAGAAAGGATAGCAACAAGAGGCACAAGCAAGATCCACAGAATTCAGGGAAAAAAAAAATTCTTCCTGAGACCAGGAGAGCTTCCTGGAGTGGAGTGGGTGACCGTTGAGCTAGGCTTTGAAGGGTTGGCAGAAATCTAATGGGAGAGAGGGGAGGGCAGGGAATGCATTCCAGAGAGAACACTGACCATTCTCTGAGCCTCAGTCCCCAACCCTATGGTCATGTGGAGCTAATACCTGCTTTAAGGATTAGAGGTGGTGTAACACACGTGATCACTTCCTTCAGGACCTGGTACATAGTAGGTGCTCAATAATCGTTACAGCCTAGTGCAGCCTAACAATTTTGGGTCAATGATGGACCACATATACAAAGGTGGTTCCATAAGATTATAATGGAGCTGAAAATTTCCTATCACCTAGTGATGTTGTAGCCATGATAATGTCGTAGGGCAATGCATTACATTTTCTACATTTATATATGATTAGTTAGATAACAAATACCATTGTGTTACAATTGCCTACAGTATTCAGGGCAGTAGCCTGCTGAACAGGTTTGTTGGCTTGGAGCAATAGGATATACCATATACTCTAGGTGTGTGCCACCTAGGTTTGTTTGTAAGTACACTCTATGATATTCACATAACTAAAATTGCCTAAGGACGCATTTCTCAGACTGTATCCCTGTTGTTTAAAAGACGCATAACTGTATTTTAGTTACTTCTCATCCCTATCCTTCCTTTCCCTTCCTTCCTCCCCAACCCCTGTTTATTTCCTGGGCCTGGGGCTTGGCCATGTTCCCCTCCTTGTGACTAGTAGAGCTGGGTCTTTCAAGTGGCATTATTGTAGAGCTGCTAGCAAATATTAGACTACCTATAAGGAGAAATTGGGAGCCATAGAGAATTTTTTGAGCTAGGTGGGAGGCCAGAGTTGGAGAATGGGTGTCACTGGGAGCTGGATGTAGGGCAGAAGTTTTAGAGGACCGTGGACCTTGTGGGGAGGGCAGGGCCTTTCTCCAAGAGCTTGCTAGTGGCTGGAGGCCCATTTCTAAACTTGGGGAGGTGGCTCCATGGATCCCAGAGAGGCCTGTGCCAGGCGTGGGGGTAGGGGACCAAATCCGGGCCAGGGAGTTCCTGGGCACCTGACATGGTTGGATTCCCCAGGTGCGCGTCTACAGCCCGTACCAAGACTACTACGAGGTGGTGCCCCCCAATGCACACGAGGCCACGTATGTCCGCAGCTACTACGGACCGCCCTACGCAGGTAAGTCTCCAGCGTGCCCCGGGGCTTGCCTCGATCCAGCACCGATTCAGCGCCAGGCCCAGCCCACGGTCCGTAAGTCCGGACCAGGCTTCATCCTTTTAGCGTGCACGGATTTTCCCAGGCAGAACTCTCCGCAAGCCCCTCTCCATCCTGAGACTGGGAGAGCTCTGGAACCAGCGTTCGTCTCGAGCTGACCTCACCCTTCTGGGATGGCTCCTCAGCCCTGCGGTCGGCAATACCCATTCCTGAGCCGGTAGCGGCCCCTGGTGGCTACTGCGGGAATGCTGCCTCCTCCCCGCTCTGGGGCCTGGCGGTTGGGAATGCCCATCGTTAGGCGCCTGGTGGTTGTGCTTAGCGATCTCAGGGTTTCCTCGCTGCTCCGCCCTAGCCTGCCGTAGCGGACCCGTAGGTTCCGGGACATCCGTAGCCGATCCAAGGCCTGGGAGCCGTAGGGTGGAGCTCTTCCCGCGTCTAGATCTGTTCTTTGACTGGGGAGCAGGAGAGTGGGTTCGGCGCCTTACACTGGGTTGGGCTGGAGTGATGCAGGAAGGGTACGAAGATCACTCTACTCCCTCCTAAGTCGCTGATCCTCATGGGCTGTCTCCCTCTGCAGGCCCTGGCGTGACGCACGTGATAGTGCGGGAGGATCCCTGCTACAGCGCCGGCGCCCCTCTGGCCATGGGCATGCTTGCGGGAGCCGCCACTGGGGCGGCGCTGGGCTCGCTCATGTGGTCGCCCTGCTGGTTCTGAGCCCTGGGACTCGGAGCACTGACCCCTGCGCTTGGATTGCTAGACTCCTCTTCCTCCTGGACCCCATCCTCTACCATCCAAGCCCTGTCCCACTTTGGCCCTATCCTCTCCATTAGCTCCTTCCGGGTTTGGACCATTCCCCCCACTCCCTACCCTTAATCCCCACATGGGAAGAAGCTATCATCACAGGTACAAACATCGCTTGAAGTCTTCACATCTACCACTAGACACCCCCAAAATCTGTTATAGACATTTATGGATACATTTCCTCTAAACACAACAGGGCACAGCAAATACGACTTCATTTGGCTTCGAGTTCCCCAGGCGCTGTAGACACAACATGAATCGGGCTCTCTGCTCTCTCCTTAGGGAGCTCGAGTCCTGGTGGGGAGAACAGGAGTAAACAAGGACTTGACAAAGCTGAAGAGTTATCAGTCCTTTGACAAGGACAGGTGGGGCAGGGAGCAAGACAGGTAGGCTGGAAGAACAGTTATTGGCAAGTATGCAGAGCCGTGAACGTCATGGCATGTCCAAGGAATTAAATGGGAGTTCATTTGGGCTGGGGTGGAGGCTGGGATCAGACCGTGGTGGGCCTTCAAGCTAAGGAGCTTCCTAGGTGAAAGGGGAGATGTGAGCCTTCTCTGGAGGGAAGTTTCATGATTGCATCTATAATGAATATATTGCCTGTTTTGTGAATACTGACACATGTCCATACCTAAAACACTCCTGAGTCAAGTCCCATCCTTCCCACAAACAGCTTCCTGGCTGGTACCCATGATAACAATTGAGCTGAACCTGGGGACCCCTGGTTGGGGAACAGGTGAGTTCTATTTGAGACTTCCAGCCCTAGAAAGCTGCCTCCGTCCAGAAATGCCTCTCACACCAGGAGCTCGGCCCTCTCTTTGTAGCTGTGACTGTCACCCTCTCAGGCTTTGTCTCATCCTTCATTCTGAATAAGATGGCAGTGTTCTCCTCTGGGGCCTGATCCACCTCTACACCAGCCCAGGAAGCCCCATCTGTGCCTGCCCTCAGGTGGTCCACCAGTCTCCCCCTTTGGTTCCCTTCCAGTCTCTTCCCCCTTTCTATCCCAATCACCAATAGAAATGCTAACATCCCTGCCTGGTAGCCAGACTAGCCCACTAAAGCTCCCCTGTAAATGGGGGCTCCATTAGTTCTGCTGCCGAGACTAATAAAGATTTGGTTGGCTCTAGCAGTAACTGTGGCTTGCTTTGTTCCCCCAGAAGGCCCTGTTTCCCTCTCCATGATCCAGCAGCTACTAGTGCCTTCACTGGTCTAGTGAAAAAGAGTGTGGATTCTGAGATCAGTTGGAACTGGTGACAGCATATTAGCTGAGTCATTTGGGGCAAGTCACTTAACCTTTCTGGATTTTGTTTTCCCTACACTTAAGGTAGCTGGTTGAAGTTGACCATTCCTGAGGGCTCAAGAGGAGGGACTGCCTTGGAGTCTCTGTTGTCTGAGCTGATGGATGATCCAAGCCAGGTCCTGCCTGCTTTCTGAGAATCCTGTTCATGTTGGAGTCTTTTCCAGTAGGTTCCCATCCTTCTAGAGTTGAATCAATGAATTGTTCTCATAGAAAACCAGGTGGTCAGGAAAGGAAACACCATCATCCTGCATCAGGCTTCTTGGGGCTGTCAGATAGAAACTCCCTGTTCAAACTGATTTAAGCCAAAGGGAAAAGGTTAAGCCACATAACTGAGAAGTCCAAGAGCTGTGTGATCCAGGGGCTCAAAGAGTGTCACTTAGACTTTGCTTTGTTTCCATCTTTACACCTGCAGGGCTGGCTCATTTGGAAGCTGCAGTGATGTTCAGCAGCTCCAGGCTAATGCCCTCCTGAGTTCAAGTCCAACCAAGAGAATTTCTCTTCCTCTAACAGTATGACTGAAAGTCCTGGGCCTGGTAGACATCAGTCTAAATTGGGTCCTGTGGCCATCCCTGCATCAACCCCAGTGGTCTGGAAACGGATGGTCTAAAATAACAGGGCTTACAGCAGGGGTGGGATGGTGTCCCAGAGGAAATTCAGGGCACTGTTCCCAGAAGTAGGATGAATAGATGAAAGCTGGTTGGCAAAAATATCAGGTATTCACCTCAGCCACAGTTCCAGAGACACCAACTTAGAGGTGAGACATGTATAAAAACAGCAATGATTGAATGAAGTTACAGAGGAACGTGGTGCAGTTGGAGCTCTGAAGAGGAGGCATGCAACTCTGCCAAGGGAACTAGGGAAAGCTTTGGGACAGGAAGTGGAAATTTATTTTGAACCTTGAAAAATGAGTAGGAGTTTGCCAATCTGAAAAAGTTGGGAGAGCTTTCCACACAGAGAACAGATGGAAGAAATGGTATGAGCAAAGGCATTAGAGGCTTGAGAGCACCCTGAAGTTCAGGAACCAGTCTCATGCTATAGCAGGTCGCATGGTGAGAGGTGGTGGATGAGGTCAAACTATAAGGAACCTCTTGGGCCAGGCTACTGAACACAGGGCATAGTCCAGTATGTGGCCCCGGCTTAAGGACAAGCATGGATGCAAGAGGAGCCTCTTGAGAAAACCAAGGTCTGTTAGCATTTGTGCAGTCAGAGGTTACATACCCTGGGTATCCTAAGGCCTGTACTGTGTTCAGGGGACCCAGCAGTGCATCAGACCCAGTCCATGCTTTGGAACTTCAGCCTTAATTTTTTCTTTTGTTTTGCTCCCCTCCTTTCTCCTCCTCACAGCCTTAATTTTTTCTATTTTTGTCTTTCCTCCTCCCCTCCCCTCCCTTCCCCTCCCTTCCCCCTCCCTTCCCTTCCCTTCCCCTCCCCCCCTCCCCCTCCCTTCCCCTTCCATTTCCTTCCCTTCCCCTCCCCCACTCCCCCCTCCCCCTCCCCTTCCCCTTCCCTTTCCTTTCCTTCCCTTCCTTTGCAGCAGTGAGAAGTGGGGAGAGAGAACAGAGTTTGATCTGTAACTGACTATGAACAGTCAATTGAGATAACTCACTACCTTCAGCCCAGCCTCAGCCTTAATTTTCTCCCAGATGGACCCAGTTACCCTGTCAGTCCTTTAGTGGCATCCCCATTACGCCATCTCATTAGAGGGTGTCCTGCATGCTCCTGCAGGGACATCTCTGAGTTTGGCTCTGGGAATGACCTTTCCTCTTACTCTCCGGCACAGTCTCAGGACTTTTAGAGATCAATATGTAGGAAGAGCCCAAGCTATCTAGAGTCCTTTCCCAAGAATGTGGGTTAAACAAGGATCAGGGAGCTGGCTGGGCAGGGCATTTGAGATCAGACAGAGCTGGGGACATTGCCATTCATTGCCCAAAGCTTCCCCTGCTTTATCTCATAGGTCTTTGCAACAACCCCATGGGCCTGGTGTTACTATTCTTATTTTACCTACAAAGAAACAGATGCAGAGAAGGAAAGTAGATTGTCCAAGTCATGCATGCTGTGTCAGAATCTGGATTCAAATGCAGGTCACTTGACCTTGTCTACCACACCACACTGCTTCTGCACTATAAATCCTGTGTGGCTCATTACCTGGCAGGAAAGTAATTCCCAGAGAGGAGGTCAACTGTATAACACAAATATCTCTTCTCTTTTCCTTTAGCAAATGCTTTCCTGAGAAGTTTTGTTGGCAGACAGGGCTGAGAGCTGGGTACTGGAAGATGAATGAGATTTGGGCCCTACATTCAAGGAGTTTGTGCATGTGCGTGCGTGCGTGTGTGTGTGTCTGTCTGTCTATCCCAGACATGGGCACAGACTATGACAACATGGGCTGTGGGAACTGGTAGCCCTGAGGCTGTAGGGTCACAGAGAAAGCAGCCCTTAACTCAGGTATGGGTGGAAGTGTCTTAAGCTAGATGTAAAGACAAATGCTCTTCCAACTATCGTCTTGTGGGAGTTGCTAACTTAGATGAAGAGGAAACAAGAACTAAAGCAGCACTCAGTGCCGAGAGTTCTCTGGGTGAGGCTGGATCTGCAGTGTGATGGGTGGAAACGGGGGTCAGCAAGGTCAAACCGTCAGGGGCCTTGGATGCCAGGGAAGGAGCTTGAACTATATACTAACTTCCAGGCCATGGAATGCCTCCAAAAAATTTGAAGCAAAGGAAGGACATGGTTGAACCTGGAAGTTCGATCTCACACACACAAAAACAGACATTCATTCTCATAGACAACATGGTCTCAACCCAGACAAAACCATCTCTGCAAACTGTCTGAGCAGCCCAGGTACTGCCTGGCCACTCATAGCCAGCTCACTGGGGGTGCTCAACTCCACATCCATTCCTGAGACCACCTGCCTCCATCAGCCCCTACTAGAGGAGATTCTGTAGATAGCAAGGGTCTGTGGCACTCTGAGCATCCTGGCAGTGAGCACTTCTCCAAAATCAGGTATATGACTCAGTCTCAGAACTAGAGCCCTACATTCAGAATACCTGGCTGGATATGACCCTCGATGCCCTCTAAAATGGATTTGTCTCCCCTTTGCCCCACCTGAAAGGGACCATGCTACTGCTTTCTGCCACCCATAGGGACTGGGAGTACTCTTACCCTTTCCCTTTCCTGCCCTTGTGGGATAGCTCAGTCTGTGAGACCTCCTTCCTCAGGAGTTGAGATCTACCTCCTGAGAACTCCCAGGGTTGGGTCCCAGATTTACTTCTGACCTCAGATCAGTGTTCCCCAACCTTAGAATTTCCCACAGAGGTTTGCAGATATCTTAAGTGGTCATCAGGAGACTTCATTGTCAGAATCATGGTCCAATCAGTCTATCACCCTTAAACCTGAAGCACAGAACCCTGAGGTTTGACCCTTTCTAGGTTGGTCACAAGCCTTGGGGATGGAGAGGGGTAACAAGCTAAGGCCAGGATATGCTTAGGCAGGAACATATACTGAATATAGAAAGAGTTCCAACTACAAAGCAGATGTCAGCCTCTGTCCTCTCAGATTGTCACCATCTGGCTGGGTGTGGTGGCTCACGTCTGTAATCCCAGCACTTTGGGAGGCTGAGGCAGGTGGATCACTTGAGGTCAGGAGTTCAAGACCAGCTTGGCCAACCTGGTGAAACGCTGTCTCTACTAAAAATACAAAAATTAGCCGGGTGTGGTGGCAGGCACCTGTAATCCCAGCTACTGAGGAGGCTGAGGCAGTACAATCGCTTGGACTCGGGAGGTGGAGGTTGCAGTGAGCTGAGATGGCGCCACTGCACTCCAGCCTGGGCAACAGAGTGAGACGCCTTCTCAAAAAAAAAAAAAAATCACCTTCTTCTAGTATATCGGGGAGGAAGGAGGCCTTCTCCACTGGCCAGCTGCTCTCCCCCACACCTTAGTCTGTCTGGACCCACTGGTTACCATTTGAACATCTTAGTGAGATTCTCTCACATGGATGCCTGTTCTCTCTACCTGGACACCAATTATGGGATCAATGTGGGGTGGTTTTCCTTTACTGCCCGAGTTTTCATTCTCCATGTCATCACCAGCCCCAACAAAGCACGTGCATCAGACTTCATAGAAATGGTGGAGTAACAAAGGAAAAAGAAGGAAATGAAAAAATAAAATGAAATTACTCTTTATCCCCCCAGTAAGGGGACAGGTTTTTAGTTCACTTGCAGAAGTTCCTACTTCCTCACTTCAATCCCCTGTCCTCTGTTCTGGCTTTCTCCAAAAACCTCTCCACATTTGTGCTTTCCAGTCACCCCAATGAACAAAGCAATGAGTGCAAATAGATGTTCCCGATGCAGTTTGCTTCAAAATCTCTCCACTAGTAGGACTGCAACATGAATTTTTAATTCTTCCAGCTGTCCAGTAGACAATTTTTAAATTATTCACACACACATTAAGACAGACATTAATCCTCATAGACAAAACACTCTAATCTGGAGGTGGCCTATGGACGACATCTGGCTCACAAATTGTTTTGTCTGGTCAGCACATAGTTTTTAAAAAGTTTTGAATTAAAATGGGCAAAGATGAAAGAGACAGATGACATTAAGTACTGACATGGAGTCTCATACACTTCTGGAATAACTGTAAAGTTAAACTGGTACAATTGCTTTGGAAACTGATTGGTAAGGCCAAGTATATGCATATATTATAACGAATCAATTCTACTCCTAGGGTGCACCCAACAGAAATGTGTACTTACCTTCACCAAAAAGTAGGTAGAAAAGTGTTTATAACAGCAATGGAAAAAACTTAAATTCTACAGGATAAATCTACTGGTAATATTCACAAAATGGAATAATAGTCAACAGAATTAATTATTCACAAGTATATGCAAAATTATGAATGTAATAAAAAATACACCAAAAAAGCAGAGAGGACAGGGAGTGGGGGTGGGACAGTAGAATGATACTCTGGTAAATTTCCTTTCACAAAATACCTTATGTGAAGTAGTACAATATTAAGTATATGCTGATAAGTCAAAGATGCACATTGGAGTCCCTAGATCAACTGGAAGCCAGGTTTCTCAGTGGTGAAGTAGAAATTTACAGATAAGCAAAGGGAGGAAGCTAGAATGATTCATGTGGTAATGGATTACAGTTGGAGACATCAGTATGAACTCATGTCTAGCTTGACATAGAGACGGGATTATATACAGAAATATTTACAGATATGTGTATATACACATCAGTACATACATATATTTCCTTCATCTGCCAGCTGAGAGAGCCTCAAAGAAATGAATACACCTAGGCTGGGCACAGTGGCTCACGCCTGTTATCCCAGCACTTTGGGAGGCCAGGTGGGTGGATAACCTGAGGTCAGGAGTTCAAGACCAGCCTGGCCAACATGGCGAAACTCCATCTCTACTAAAAATACAAAAATTAGCTGGGCGTGGTGGCATGCGCCTGTAATACCATCTACTAGGGAGGCTGAGGCAGGAGAATAATTTGAACCTAAGAGGCAGAGGTTGCAGTGAGCCGTGATCGTGCCACTGCACTCCAGCCTGGCTGACAGAGCGAGACTCTGTCTCAAAAAAACAAAAAATAGCCGGGTGTGGTGGTGGCACGCACCTATAATCCTAGCTACTTGGGAGGCTGAGGCAGGAGAATCACTTGAACCTGGGAGGCAGGGGCTACAGTGAGCCGAGATCACACCATTGCACTCCAGCCTGGGCAACAGAGTGAGACTCTGTGTCCAAAAAAAAAAAAAAAAAGAAAGAAAGAAAAGAAAGAAATGAACACACCTAGCCCCACATCTTTTGTGTTTGTTTGTTTTTTGAGACGGAGTCTCGCTCTGTCACCCAGGCTGGAGTGCAGTGGCATGATCTCAGCTCACTGCAACCTCCGCCTCCCGGGTTCAAGCAATTCTCCTGCCTCAGCCTCCTGAGTAGCTGGGACTACAGGCACGCACCACCATGCCCAGCTAATTTTTGTATTTTTAGTAGCGACGGGGTTTCACCATGTTGGCCAGGATGGTCTCGATCTCTTGACCTCGTGATCCGCCCGCCTCAGCCTCCCAAAGTGCTGGGATTACAGACGTGAGCCACCACACCTGGCCCCACATCTTCATGTCTAATACCAATTCTCCAGTCAAAGAAATCAGCGATCCTTGGAGAAATGGCTGATTACAGGACTGGATAAAGAAGTATCCATGATGAGCCTGGAGCATCATATACTGCCATAAAGAAGAACTCAAAAGACCAAAACAAATGCACATCGATGGGGGTACATCGAAGGGGCAAAAGAACTGAAAGAGCTGGAACAATCTGGGCAACCAAATAAAGTAGTATTAGATTATAACCCAACGTATAAAATAAGTATCCATGAGTCCATACTGATATAAATTACTGAACATTTGAATAAATAAATGGGGGAGAAGAGACAAATCTCCCTTGGAGAATTACAAACAATTTACATAGATATTCCCCCCTAAAGAAGAACAAATCCCAACTCCTTAAGTATGGACTGCACATAGAGATATCCTTTAAAGAACAGAGATGGAGGCCGGGTGCGGTGGCTCACGCCTGTAATCCCAACACTTTGGGAGGCCGAGGCGGGCGGATCACGAGGTCAGGAGATCGAGAACGTCCTGGCTAACACGGTGAAACCCCATCTCTACTAAAAATACAAAAAATTAGCCAGGTATGGTTGCAGGCGCCTGTAGTTCCAGCTACTCAGGAGGCTGAGGCAGGAGAATGGCCTGAACCCAGGAGGTGGAGCTTGCAGTGAGCCGAGATTGCGCGACTGCACTCCAGCCTGGGCAACAGAGCGAGACTCCGTCTCAAGAAAAAAAAAAAAAAAAAAAGAATAGAGATGGAAATGCAGTAGGTGAGAAGGTGACTTTTTTTTTTTTTGGAGATGGAGTCTCACTCTGTCGCCCAGGCTGGAGTGCAGTGGTGTGATCCTGGCTCACTGAAACCTCCGACTCCCTGGTTCAAGCAATTCTCCTGCCTTAGCCTCCGGAGTAGCTGGGATTACAGGCACGTGCCACCACGTCCACTTAATTTTTGTATTTTTAGGCGAGAAGGGGTTTCACCATGTTGGCCAGGATGGTCTCAATTTCCTGACCTTGTGATCTGCCCACCTCAGCCTCCCAAAGTGCTGTGATTACAGGCATAAGCCACCGCGCCTGGCCTATATATTCACCTTTTAATGGGCATTTGGGTTGTTTCTAGTTCTTGGCAATACTAGCTACTATGAATTTTGTGTACAAGTTTTTTTGTTTGTTTTTGTTTTGAGACAGGCTGGAATGCAGAGGCAAAATCACAGCTCACTGCAGCCTCGATCTCCCAGGCTCAAGCAATCCTCCCACCTCAGCCTCTCAAGTAGCTGGGATCACAGGTATGTGCCACCACACCTGGCTAATATTTTTATTTTTGTAGAGATGGGGTCTCCCTATGTTGCCCAGGCTGGTTTCAAATTCCTGGGCTCAAGTGATCCTCCCGCCTCAGTCTCCCAGAGTACTGGCATTATGAGCATGAGCCACCACGCTCAGCCTGTGTACAAGTCTTTGTATGGACACATGCTTTCATGTCTTGTGGGTAAATATTGAGGAATGGAATAAATGGGTTATATGACAAACATATTTAACTTTAAATGATGTCAAGCAACTTTTTTTTTTTTTTGAGACACGGTCTTGCTCTTTCACCCAGGCTGGAGTGCAGTGGCCTGATCTCGGCTCACTGAAACCGCCTCCCAGGTTCAAGCGATTCTCCTGACTCAGCCTCCTGAGTAGCTGGGACTACAGGCGTTCGCCACCACGCCTGGCTAATTTTTGTATTTTTAGTAGAGATGGGGTTTCACCACGTTGGCCAGGCTGGTCTCAAACTCCTGACCTCAAAATGATTGAGCTCCACTGCACTCCAGCCTGGGCAACAGAGCAAGACTCTGTCTTAAAAAAAAAAAAAAAAATCATCCCTCAAAGTCTTAACTCTTCTAGCATCAACTCAATCAAAAGTCCAAAGTCCATAGTCTCTTCTGAGACTCAAGGCAAGTTCCTTCCTCGTATGATTTTCTGTAAGATCAAAAACAAGTTATTGGCTCACACTTGTAATCCTAGCACTTTGGGAGGTTAAAGCAGGTGTACTGCTTGAGCCCAGGAGTCCAAGACCAGCCCAAGCAACATAGTGAGACCCCATCTCTACCCAAAATACAAAAATCAGCCACGCATGGTGGCACGTGCCTTGGTCCCAGCTACTTGGGAGGCTGAGGTGGTAAGATTGCTTGAGCCTGGGAGGGAGAGGTTGCAGTGAGCTATCATGCCACTGCACTCCACCCTGGGCGACAGAGCAAGATCCTGTCTAAACAACCACCACCACCACCATCAACCACCCCCCGACCAAAAACACAAGTTATTTACTTTGAAGACACAAGGGTGGTATAGGCATTGAGTAACATTCCCATTCCAAAAGGGAGAAATCAGCCAAAAGAACAAGGCAATAGGCCTGAAGCAAGCCTGAAACCCAGAATGACAGACATTAAACCTTAAAGCTCCAAAATAATCTCCTTTGACTCCATATCCCACATCCAGGGCACATTGATGCAAGGGTTGGCCTCCCAAGTCCTTAGGCAGCTCCACCTCTGTGGCTGCTGTCACAGGTTGGAGTTGAGTGTCTGTGGCTTTTCTAAACTCAGGGTGCAAGCTACTGGTGGCTCTAGCATTCTGCAGTCTGGAGGGCAGTGGCCCCTCTTCCCACAGTTCCACTTGGCATTGCCCTGGTAGTGACTCTTTGTGGGGGCTCCCATACCACATTTCCCCTCTGCACTGCCCTAGTAAAGGCTCCGGTGGGGGCTCTGCCCCGTGGCAGTCTTCTGCCTGGGCACCTAGGCTTTCTCATACATCCTCTGAAATCTCAGTGGAAGCTGCCAAGTCTCCTTCACTCTTGCATTCTTCACAGCTGCAGGCTTAACATCACATGAAAGCCACAAAGGCTTATGGCTTGCGCCCGCTGGAACACCGCCTCGAGCTATATCTGGGGCCCTTTGAGCAGTGTCCTGAGGCTGTGCAGGCCCTGGGCCTGGGCCCTGAAACCATTCTTTCCTCCTAGGTCTCTGATGGGAGGGACTGGCCCAAAGACTTCTGAAATGGCTTTGAGGCCTTTTCCCACTGTCTTGACTATTAGCACTTGGCTCCCTTTTAGTTATATAAATTTCCCTAGCAAGCTGTTGCTTGTATTCCTCTCCTGAAAATGCTTTTTCCTTCTCTACCACAAGGCTAGGATATACATTTTCCAAATTTTAATGCTCCTCTTCCCATTTAAATATATCTTCTAACTTTAAGATATTCCTTTGCTCCCATATCTGATTGTAGGCTGTGAGAGGCAGGCATGGCACATCTTGAATGCTTTGCTGCTTAGAAATTTCTTCAGCTAGACACCCTAGCTGAAGGTCATCACTGTTTTTTTATTTTTTTGAGACGGAGTCTCACTCTGTCGTCCAGGCTGGGGTGCAGTGGCACGATCTTGGCTCACTGCAACCTCTGCCTCCCGGGTTCAAGCGATTCTCCTGCCTCAGCCTCCCCAATGAGAGTAGCTGGAATTACAGGTGTGTGCCACCACACCCAGTTAATTTTTGTAGTTTTAGTAGAGATGGGGTTTCACCATGTTTGTCAGGCTGGTCTCGAACTCCTGACCTCAAGTGACCCACCTGCCTTGGCCTCCCAAAGTGCTGAGATTACAGGTGTGAGCCACCATGCCTGGCCAGAAGGTCATCACTCTTAAGTTCAACCCTCCACAAAGCCCTAGGACATGAACACAATGCAGCCATGTTCTTTGCTAAGGTGTAACAAGGGTGATCTTCACTCCATTTCCCAATAAATTCCTCATTTCCATTTGAGACCTCATCAGCCTGGTGTTCACTGTCTATATTTCTATTAGCATTTTGGTCATAACCATTTAACCAGTCTCTAAGAAATTTCAAAATTTCCCTCATCTTCCATCTTCTTATGAGCCCTCCAAACTCTTTCCCAACCTCTGCCCATTACCCAGTTAAAAAGTCTCTTCCACGTCTTCAGGTACATTTATAGCAATGCCCCACTTTTCAGTACCAATTTTCTGTTAGTACGTTTTGCATTGCTATAAAAGAATATCCAAGGCTGGGTAATTTATAAAGAAGAGGTTTAAGCTGGGCGTGGTAGCTCAGGTCTGTAATCCCAGCACTTTCGGAGGCTGAGGCGGGCAGATCATTTGAGGTTAGGAGTTCGAGACCAGCCTGGCAAACATGGTGAAACGCTGTCTCTACTAAAAATATAAAAACTAGCTGGACGTGGTGGTGTGCGCCGGTAATCTCAGCGACTCGGGAGGCTGAGGCAGGAGAATCGCTTGAACCTGGAAGGCAGAGGCTGCAGTGAGCCGAAATCACACCACTGCACTCTAGCCTGGATGACACGGCGAGACACCATCTCAAAAAAAAAAAAGAAAAAAAGAAAAAAAGGCTGGGCATGGTGGCTCACGCCTGTAATCCCAGCACTTTGGGAGTCCGAGGCAGGCAGATCACGAGGTCAGGAGATTGAGACCATACTGGCTAACACGGTGAAACCCTGTCTGTACTAAAAATACAAAAAAATTAGCTGGGCGTGGTGGCAGGCACCTGTAGTCCCAGCTACTTGGGAGGCTGAGGCAGGAGAATGGCGTGAACCCGGGAGGTGGAGCTTGCAGTGAGCCGAGATCGCGCCACTGCACTCCAGCCTGGGCGACAGAGCAAGACTCAGTCTCAAAAAAAAAAAAAAAAAAAAAGAAAAGAAAAGAAAAGAAAAAAAGGTTTAATTGGCTCACAGTTCTATGGGCTGTACAAGAGGTATGGTGCCAGCATTTGCTTCTGGTGAGACTTCAAAAAGTTTACAATCATGACTTACAATCATGGCAGAAAGCAAAGGGGGAGCTTTGCCCTGCTTTTTGTCACATGGCAAGAGGAACAAGAAAGCTATTTCTGTTTTCCTTTTTTTTGAGACGGAGTCTCACACTGTTGCCAGGCTGGAATGCAGTGGCGAAATCTCAGCTCACTGCAACTTCCGCCTCCCCGGTTCAAGTGATTCTCCTGCCTCAGCCTCCCAAATAGCTGGGACTACAGGCACGCACCACCACACCTGGCTAATTTTTTGTATTTTTAGTAGAGACGGGGTTTCACCGTGTTAACCAGGATGGTCTCGATCTCCTGACCTCGTGATCTGCCTGCCTCCGCTTACCAAAGTGCTGGGATCATAGGTGCCTGGTCAGCTATTTCTGTTTTCTGATGAATGAGTTCCTCAATTTCATGTTCCAGCTTACCAACTCCATCCTAACTAACGGAATCCATTCTACCATTTATCTCACCTATGTGTTCCTTATCTTTCCTTTAAGAAACAGGGTCTTGCCTTGTTGCTCAGGCTGGAGGGCAGTGGTGCGATGAGAACTCACAGCAGCCTTGAACTCCTGGGTTCAAGCAATCCTCTCCCCTCAGTCTTCTGAGTAGCTGGGACTGCAGGTGTGTACCACCATGCCTGCCTAATTTTTAAATTTTTTTGTAGAGATGGGGTCTTACCATATTGCCCAAGCTGGTCTTTAACTCCTAGGCTCAAGCTGTCCTCCCACGTCGGCCTCCCAAAGTGCTAGGATTACAGGCATGAAACACTGCACCTGGCTGTGTTCCTCATTTCAACAATTAAAAACTTTTCACACTTAATTTATGATTCCAAATTGTTTCATATCTTATCTCCTTAATATTTATCATGTCATCCTTAAATTATTCGTTCTTTCCCAAAGTATTTCTGCTTTAGATATTTACTTTTACTTTTGAGGCAGTTTTTAGGTATTCAACTATATTGCTGTGTGAGTTCAAATTCCCCTCAGGGTATAGGCTACTAGTCTGGAAGGCACAAGGGACAAGACTGTCAAGGAGAGGAGGGGACAAACTTTGGGGCAAAGAGTTCTAGGAACTATAAGCCCACATGTAATCACTCCCATTCAGTATCAGTATCATCCCCCAAAGCCACAACTTATTTCAGGGCCTTGCCTTTATTTCCATCGGCTTATTAGTGCTTTTGTACTGCCTTAATATTACTCTTGCAGACACCTGCACTAGTATTCTGGCCTGTGGCCTTCATTTTACAGTAAGGGGTTCAGCTATGGTTGTCCCAAGGCAGGGGTTGCCCTTTTCTCTGTAAAGGGCCAGATAGTAAACAGTTTTTTGGGTTTTAGGGCCATAAGGTCTGTGGCAGCTATTAAGCTCTGCCATTATAGTGGGAAAGTATGGCTGAGTTCCAATAAAACTTAATTTTTAAAACTGGTTCCAGGCTGCATTTGGTGGGAGGGCCACAGTTTGCTGGCTCCTGTCCCAAGGCAAAGGTATAGTTAGGAGTGAGGACGCAAAAGCAGAACTTAAGATGCTTTTCTTAATATGTCCTATTACTGCCTCCACCAGGGGATGTATCTTTCAAGTTGCAGCCCCTCTCCCCCACCCCCCAACAATACCCCCATCAAAAAAAGAGTCTTTGACTCCCTAGGAGTTCCTCACATTTGTTGTTGTTATTTTTCTGGATTCTGTCCATGTCTGCTTTAAAGGTCTTCCCAGAGAGGGAGAAGTAAATGCTAATTCACCATCTTGGCAGGAATGGGAAACCAGGTCAATAATTGTTTTCTTTCGTGTTTTATTTATATATTTTTGGCAGCAAAATTGTGTTTATTAAAAAAAAAACCTGGACTATGAACACACTTCAATGCTTTGAAGAACTCCAAGCCAAATAAAAAGACCAATCAATATTAAAAGCAGTATAACTGGTTACTTTCTTAAAAATACATAAAAAGAATCAAATGCAACAGTGTAGGAAGACAATCACACCCATGTCAGAAGTCACAACTTCTTCCAAATAAAGAATATGACCCATCTGCCATATTGAATCAATATTTATTTCAGGACATGCCATGTCAAAATAAAACAAAGAGTCAACCCTTGCCTTTAACAATTATATTGTATTATAAAAGCACTTTACAACTCCATCCCATCTTTAAGTATAAGTTACTGGTATGTGGGCTAATGATTATCTGTAAGCATTTCTCTATTCAGATCCATAATCCAAGTGCTCTCTGAATATTACAAGGTGACAATAAGTGGGAAGTGGAGGAGGAAGAGGAAAGAGAGGGGACTAAGGTTCTCCCAGTTTAAGGTTTTGTTCCAATGAGGGGATGAGGAAGTATGAAGATATTTTTGTTGTCTTTTCATCTTTATACTGTGTTAAGTAATGCTTACAACATAAATTCAGCAGGCTTTTCCTGAGCTGTAACTCAGAAGTTTTCGTCCTGCAAACAATGTATTTACAAATGTGTTTATTAGCTTACACAGCAATCTCACAATAACTAGTAAAGATTAAAAGGGCACACTCCTAGTATATTTGTTTGCAGTGTTTTAAGGGAAATACATATTGCCATGGTGAAGCTCTAAATAGATTCAACGAAACATCTGAAGATTGAAAGTTGTTAAAAAAAAAAAAGGCAAAGAAATAAATATCACCAAAGAAAAAAGATTAATTGTAGCTTAAATATAAAACTAAATCACCAGTTAATTAAACTATACAGATCTAATACAAACCAAAACCAGCCTGAAAGACCCAACCTTAAAAAATGCTAAAAAATAAGGCATAAATCTGCATAATATTGAGTTTTATTTCCATTCTCTCCTTTCCCTCTACTATGTATGCTTTACCTGATCTGCCTCTAGGGGCTTACAAGAAAACGGTTTCCGGTTTCCGTCTTCAATTTGACCTCAAATGTCCTGAGCAAAGTTTTTGTTATTCTGCTGAGGGTTCTTTTGTTGGTAAGCTTTAGACATCATTATTTCTACTAATTCAGTAGTTTTGATCGTAGCGCCAAATTTAAATTCTTCCACTGGTTCTTCTGGAAGGAATTAAAACTTTTACAGTGCCTTGCCTGCACAGTATTATGTTTTTAAAAAAGAAAACCCAAGCAAAATCTATTGCTTAAAGAGGTTTCTTATTTTTTAAACAAACAGAATAACTCTTGACAATTTTAAAACCTTGGGAGAAACAGTTCATTAGAACTTCATTTTCTTACCGTGAAGAATTAAATACTAAAAACCTGTTCTGAAGCACTTGGTTAATTTTCTCTCCCAGAGTCTAATAAAGCACATGTGAAAGAGCCATTTGTTTTAGTCAGAAATACATCTTATGTTCTTCTACTTCTAAGTACTCAGTATGTTCTTTAGGACTCATTTTGAAGATGCACCAGGAGCCTTTTCTCATTCAAGCACTGCCTACCATGATGGCTGAATTTTGACCTCAAAGAAGACCGTAATTTATATCAGTGCTCAAGAATAATTTTGGACATCTTGGTCCGTAGCCTACAGCAAGTGGTATCTGTAAAATTAAAGGATAATTCCAATGGGCTTGGTAGAACTGCTGCTTTGCCATCTCTTGTTTGTTTTGAGGAAGTCGGGGGAGGCTAGGTAAGAATAGGGTAATAGGGAATGGGGGTAAGTGAGAGGTGAGAAAAGCAAGGAGAGATAAAGTAGGCTGTGAACATACCGCTCGTTAACCAAGCCATACTCATACTGTTGAGATTTCCATCATTTTGAAGTACATTATCATAACATTAAAAAAGAAAAAAATGTTAAGAAAATGTATCTAATTTTTAAAGTTATCACTGGAATATGCTGAAATATTTTGGCTTTTTGTAAAATATAAATAATGAAGACACTGACTTTTGTTGTGCTTGTGAAGCTAATAGATCATCTCCACGAGACAGGCAGCAATGATGAATTGCAATACGTTATTACTGAAGGGAAAAGGTTCAAGCCAATATTCACACTGCAGTCAATGAAAGAGTAAGGGGGCCAAAGCAGTGAGCTTCTGAAGAAGGTTGAAGATGACATGGGAGATTAGCAGGAACAGCCTCCTTCACTGACTGGTTGCTCCTGAGGCTTTTCCAGTTTTATGTCAATCACTGAAACAAAAGTTAAGAAGCCATAAATGGGAAAGTACAATTTCAATTCTTCCAAACACTAGCATTTCTGGGATGGCCCTTATATTCCTATCTGTCTTCAGAGCCTACACACTCACTATTTTCTACATAGCCGCCTCACCATATAAGGTGCTCAAATGGAATAAACTTGTTTATATCTACTATATGCAACAAGGGTCAGAATGAGGTACAAGCTCTATTTATGGGTATCTATCCTAAGGAACTTATTCTACAGTGGCAAGAAGTGATATGAAGATGATGTTCCTCATAGAATCATCTATAATATAAATCTGAAAATAGCCTACAAGATAGTTCCAACAGCAGAGGAAACATTTAGTAAATAATGGGACTTCAGGCCGGGTGCCGTGGCTCATGCCTGTAATCCCAACACTTTGGGAGGTTGAGGCAGGCCGAACACCTGAGGTCAGGAGTTCAAGACCAGCCTGGCCAACATGGCGAAACCCCATCTCTACTAAAAATATAAAAATTAGCTGGGCATGGTGGCTCATGCCTGTATTCCCAGCTACTTGGGAGGCTGAGGCAGGAGAATCACTTGAATTCAGGAGGCAGAGGTTGTGGTGAGCTGAGATTGCGCTGCTGCACTCCAGCCTGGGCGACAGAATGAGACTCCATCTCAAAAAAAAACGGCGGTGGGCGCGGGGACATACTTCAACTCAATAGAACATTTTTTGTTGTTGTTGTTGTTTTGTTTTTGAAACATATTATGTTTTATGTTGTTGTTGTGTTTTTTTTTTTGGGGGGGGAATGGAGTTTCGATCCTGTTGCCCAGGCTGGAGTGCAATGGCGTGATCTCGGCTCACTGCAACCTCTGCCTCCTGGGTTCAAGCAATTCTCCTGCCTCAACCTCCTTAGTAGCTGGGATTACAGGCGTGCACTATCACGCCCAGGTAATTTTTTTATTTTTAGTAGAGACAAGGTTTCTCCATGTTGGTCAGGCTGGTCTTGAACTCCCGACCTCAGGTGATCCACCTGCCTTGGCCTCCCAAAGTGCTGGGATTACAGGCATAAGCCACCGCGCCCGGCCTGTTTTATGTTTTTTATGAAAACATATAACATTTACAAGTGGGAAGAGCTGAATACAAAGTGCTACAAACTATATGGCTTAATAAAAATGCCTGCATATGGAAATACACTAGAAGGTGAATATGAAACACTGAAAACATCAAATTAAAAATCCTTAGAATTAACTAATATTAGATGTCCCAATCCTTGGAAATGAACTAATATTATGTCCTGTTTCTGAAAGCAGAGGCTACAATAAAGCTCCACTCTATTTCTTGCCTGTGTCAAGTAGAAAGCTCAAGTGTTAGAAAAAGAAATGAAAATTTGATATTCCATGAGGAAAAAGCCTAGAGTCAATGGGACTCAAAATGAAGAGGCAAGGACACAGGGATTCTAAGAGTTTCCTGCTCATTTAAAAGCAAGCAAACAAACACAAAACCTCTCACTGATTAACAACGAGAAGCAGGCTGCAAAGGGTGCACTTGGATAACCAGACCTCATTTGCTATAGAAAACAAATGAATTTCTATGCCTTTAAGTCATCAGTTCCTGGTTGTAAAAGGCAATGGCACAATATTCTTTAGCCAAGCAAGCAGGGCTCTAAAGACTAGTGTTAATAATGAAAAATTTCCAATGAAATAAAAAGGATACTATCTTCTCTGCTTCTGTCCTGTGTGCTTTCCATTCCCGGCAAAGCTGCTGCTACACGTCGAAAGAGCTGTGGGAAAGAGAGAAAAGTGATAACTGAGAGGGAACATTTAGCAAAGGGTACTGAGGTTTATGATCACTGTACAGTGAGCTGTCTAATGCTGGGCGCAGTGGCTCACACCTGTAATCCCAGCACTTTGGGACCCACCCGAGGTGGGCAGATCACTTGAGGTCAGGAGTTTGAGACCAGCTTGGGCAACATGGTGAAACTCTGTCTCTACAAAAAAAAACACAAAAATTAGCCAGGCGTGGTGGCACACGCCTATAGTCCTAGGTACTGGAGAGGCTGAACCTGGAGGACTGCTTCAGCTCAGGAAGTGGAGGCTGCAGGGAGCTGAGATCACGCCACTGCACTCCAGCCCGGGCAACAGGGCGAGACTCTGTCTTTAAATAAATAAATAAATAAATAATAAAATAAAATGTCTATTCATTCTATAAACGAGTATTATATAAAAAGCAATATACCAAATACAAAGAGGTATAAAGACATGATTCCTGTTTTTTTAACTGGTGGGATAAGACAAAAGTAAACAGCTATGAAATAAGCAGCAAAAATGTCATTTGAATAATAAAGTATTACAGAAACGCAGAAAAAGGACAGATCATTCATTTAACAAAACTGTATAGTAGCATTCCTATCTTTCATATAAAGAGTGAGGTTCAGGGCTGGACGCGGTGGCTCACGCCTGTAATCCCAGCACTTTGGGAGGCCAAGGGGTGTGGATCACGAGGTCAGGAGTTCAAGACCAGCCTGGACATGGTGAAACCCTGTCTCTACAGAAAATACAAAAATGAGCTGGGTGTGGTGGCACATGCCTGTAATCCCAGCTACTTGGGAGACTGAGGCAGGAGAATCACTTGAACCTGGGAGGCGGAGGTTGCAGTGAGCCAAGATCACGCCACTGCATTCCAGCCTGGGCGACACAGCAAGACTTCTTCTTGGCGGGGGTGTGGGGGGGAGAGTTAGGTTCTGAAGTCAGTGTATAATATATTGTGAAACTCAGTCCAGTCAAAATTATCCTTCATCGTTCATTAGAAAAGCACTATGTTAGAGATTAATACACCACCCCTCAAGTCCAACACAGCTGGCTTTTCTTCCATCATTGGAATGAGTGTCAGTGGGAGTGGCTGGCTTGTGTTTGAGGTATGAAGCTATGAAAAGTTATCTTCAACAGGAGAAACGCACTCAAGCCTGGTGAGATGTTTACTTTTGAGAGGCATATGAGAACAGATACTGGAACAACAGTTTATACTTCTTATATTGTCCCAATCTTAGGCATACACCCACTGGGTACAACAGCCAGTGAAACTGCCTGATTATTTCAATTATTTATCTTTTAATTAAGCACACAGTGTAAACCCATAAATTAAATGCATATGTGCTGTAACTCCTTTGTACCAAGTACTTGCTTACTTGAGGCAGTGTATCAGGCAGCCTCATTCTGTGTCTTTGAGACACAGAAATGAACAAGAAAAAACAGTTTTTTAATTCAAGGAGCTCAAAATCTGGTAAAGGAGATACTCAAACAATTCTTTATATTACAATGTGATGCTACAAACAAAGTAAGTTTAAAATGCTCTGAGAATACAGATGTAACAAGGTCCAACTCAGGAGGCTGAAAAAAATCTTTTAGGAGGTAACATCTGAGTTGAGATTTAAAGGCAGTCTTAAAACCTCACTTGGCTGAAATACATGCATAAAATGCTCAGGGTTTAAGTGCTCTATAAGTATTACTGAATTAAACGAAGAAAGAACAGAATGCCTAGAAGGACAGAGATAAGAGACTGGAACTACAACTAATATGTTTAAAAATGTATCAGGCCAGACTTGGTGGCTCACGCCTGTAATCTCAGCACTTTGGGAGGCCAAGGAAGGCAGATTACGAGGTCGAGTTTGAGACCAGCCTGGCCAACATGGTGAAACCCCGTCTCTACTAAGAATACAAAAATTAGCCAGGCGTGGTAGCGCATGCCCGTAATCCCAGCTACTCGGGAGGCTGAGGCAGAAGAATCGCTTGAACCCAGGAGCCGGAGGTTGCAGTGGACCAAGATCTTGCCACTGCACTGCAGCCTGGGCGACAGAGCAAGACTCTGTCTGGAAAAACAACACAAAAAAAATGTATAAAGGAGCAAATTGTAAAATTTTGATCTGGTAGACAAAAGCCTGATAGGGTAGGTGCAGGGATATGAAAATGGGGAAAACTCTAATTGTCTTGTTTCTATAAGGTTCAGTAGCTTTTTTAGAGATGTACCAAAATTAGGCTTTACCCCAATATTCAATCCACATCAGCTGTAAGACTTTGAATTGCGGAACACTTACCTTAACATCATTTCTGGTACACCATCAAAGATCATGTAGCTGTATAAATTACCATCATGTCAAATCAATATAACATTAATTATATACGGTGGGTCCATCTGGATTAATATGTGAATATTAGGTTTGAAACATAGATAAATATTCTAGCTGAGTGTGGCGACACGAGCTTGTAATCCTAGCTACTTGGAAGCCTGGGGTGGGAAAATCAAGCAATTGAGCCCAGAAGTTTGAGACCACTGGCAACACAGAGAGACCTTGTTTTAAAAAACAAACAAAAAACATTCTAAGAGTGAATGCTGCAACAATTAATGACTGTGAAAGCTGTTAATTTTATGAACAAAAAAATAAGTAGGCCGAGCATGGTGGCTCACGCCTGTAATCCCAGTACTTTGAGAGGCTGAGGCGGGTGGATCACGAGGTCAGGAGATCGAGACCATCTTGGCTAACACAGTGAAACCCCATCTCTACTAAAAATACACAAAATTAGCTGGGCATGATGGCACATGCCTGCAGTCCCAGCAACTAGGGAAGCTGAGGCAGGAGAACTGCTTGAACCCGGGAGGTGGAGGATGCAGTGAGCCAAGATGGTGCCACTGCACTCCACCCTGGGCAACAGAGCGAGACTCCATCTCAAAGAAAAAAATCTTTATTTGAGAAGGGTCTTGCTCTGTCACCCAGGCTGGAGTACAGTGGCATGATCATAGCTCACTGCAGCCTTGACCTCCTGGGCTGAAGTGATCCTCCCACCTTGGCATTCCAAAGTGTTGGGATTACAGATATGAACTATTATACCCCGTTTAAACCAGCAAGGGTTTCTAAAAGTTTAATAATATAAGGTTAGGCAATCCTGATCTTTTTTATGAGCATTAAACAATGAATTAAAAGCAGAATATAAACTTTGTCAGCTCAAAATTTCATGCATTAGGAAAAACTCCAATGTCCATTAATAAACCACCTTTCATCAAGACATAAAGAATACAGGGTATGAAGGAAAACATATTTTATAGAAATTGAGTCAAAAGTGTTCTCCCACCAATATCAGCTGAAAACTTGAAAATCACAATCTATTTATTATCACAAATAGGCAGTAAGTATAGTGACTACAGAAACAATCTAGTACCTGACAATGTGACACTCTATCAAACGTTAACAGCATTTTGCAGATACATTTTTTATTTTTGTATACAGAAATTCACTGCATAATAACGATATAGACCCATCTTTTTTTTTTTTTTTTTTTTTGGAGATATGGTCTTGCTCTGTCACCCAAGCTGGAGTGCAGTGGCACAATCATGGCTCCCTGAGGTCTCGACCTCATGGGCTCAAGTAATCCTCCCACCTCAGCCTCCCAAGTAGCTGGGACTACAGGGGCATGCCACCACACCTGGCTAATTTTTGTATTTTTTTTGTAGAAAAGAGGTTTTGCCATGTTACCCAGGGTGGTCTCCAACTCCTGAGCTCAAGTGATCTGCCTACCTCAGCCTCCCAAAGTGCTGGGATTACAGGCATGCACCACCGCACCTGGTGGCACTATTTTTTTTAGATGCAGTCTCACTTTGTCACCTAGGCTGGAGTGCAGTGGCACAATCTCAGCTCGCCACAACCTCCGCCTCCTGGGTTCAAGTGATTCTCCTGCCTTATCCTTCCAAGTAGCTGGTACCACAGGTGTGCGCCACCACACAGGGCTAATTCTTGTATTTTTAGTAGAGATGGGGTTTCACCATGTTGGCCGGGCTAGTCTTAAACTCCTGACCTCAGGTGATCCACCTGCCTCAGCCTCCCAAAGTGCTGAGATTAAAGGCATGTGCCACTGCGACTGGACTGAAATGCCAATTTTGAAAGAAGTTCTACTATGGGTAAAATACTATGAAACAGCATTGCATGCTACAGAGAAATCATTTGTGATAAAAGAATCGATCAATGCAGAAAACTACATTGTATTAATAGTATTATTTTAAGAAATTGCCACAGCCACTCTAGCCTTCAGCAACTACTACCCTCATCGGTCAGCAGACATTAACATCAAGGCAAGACCTTCCAACAGCAAAAACATTATGATTTGCAGAAGGCTACGATCAGATGATCATTAGCATTTTTTAGTAATAAAGTATTTTTTAATTAAGATACATACATTGTTGTTTTTTTTTTTTTTCTGAGACAGAGTTTTGCTATCTGTCCCCCAGGCTGGAGTGCAGTGGTACTATCTAGGCTTACCGCAACCTCTGCCTCCCAGGTTCAAGCGATTCTCCTGCCTCAGCCTCCTGAGTAGATGAGATTACAGGCATCGGCCACCACATCTGGCTAAATTTTGTATTTTTAGTAGAGACAGGGGTTCATTGTACTGGCCAGGCTGGTCTCGAACTCCTGACCTCAAGTGATCCACGCATCTTGGCCTCCCAAAGTGCTGTGATTACAGGCATGAGCCACCACGTGTGGCCAGATATGTACATTGTTTTTACAGACATAATGCTATTAATAGAGTACAGTATAGTATAAACATAACTCACACACATTGGAAACCAGAAAATTCATGTGACTCATTTTATTGATATATTCACTTTATTGTAGTGATCTAGAGCCAGACTGCAGTATCTCCGAGGTACACCTGTATGCAGTTTTGGCCTCAATGATTTTAACACCTGGCCATCTAGTCAGAATGTATATTCAGCACATTTCTCTTTCAGTAGAGATGAGGACAAAGGAAAAGAAGTGGCAAAGATTTCACAGGGAAGAGTTTCCTGAACACATGTTCACAGATAGAAAAGTACAAGGTATACTTAAGAATGCTTATGTAGTCCAGACTGGTTGGAGCACAGAATATGTAAAATAATTACGATAAGGATATATACATATTGGAGGCCAGACTGAGAAAGACCTTCCCTCACATCCTGTGGGTAAAGGAAGCCACTAAAAATAGTAGTTTGCTCTCAGACTTCCATCAATAATTCCATTGTCTTAATATGGCTAAAGAGATATACAAATCACATAGTGAAATTGAAAGGTATTAAGCAGAATGGCAAAAAGCAAAAAACTAAAAGGTAAAGTGTGGATAGCAGTACAGTGTAGTAGTTAACAGCCTGGGCTTGGGCCCTAGGTAGGCCACTTAAGTGACAGATCATGTAATCTTCGTTCCTCTGTTCCCTGATGTGTAAGATGGGCTTAAAATAATAGTATACTTGCCTGATTAGATTATTGTGTAAGTTAAGGGAAATAATTATGCAAAGTGTTTTAGTACTGACCTGCTATATAGAAAGTCTTTTTTTTTTTTTTTTTTTTGAGACGGAGTCTCGCTCTGTTGCCCAGGCTGGAGTGCAGTGGCGCGATCTCAGCTCACTGCAACCTCTGCCTCCTGGGTTCAAGCTGTTCTCCTGCCTCAGCCTCCCGAGTAGCTGGGACTACAGGTGCCTGTGCCACACCCGGCAAATTTTTTGCAATTTTAGTAGAGACGGTGTTTCACTGTGATAGCCAGGATGGTCTCGATCTCCTGAGCTCATGATCCGCCTGCCTCAGCCTCCCAAAGTGCTGGGATTACAAGTGTGAGCCACCACGCCCGGACTGAAAGTAGCGACCAGGTGCGGTGCCTCACGCCTGTAATCCCAGGACTTTGGGAGGCCAAGACGGGTGGATCATCTGAGGTCAGGAGTTTGAGACCAGCCGGGCCAACATGGTGAAACCCCATCTCTATTAAAAATACAAAAAAAAAAAATAGCCAGGTGTGGTGGCAGATGCCTGTAATCCTAGCTACTTGGGAGGGTGAGGCAGGAGAATCGCTTGAACCGGGGAGGTGGAGGTTGCAGTGAGCCGAGATTATGCCACTGCACTCCAGCCCAGGCAACAAGAGTGAAACTCCGTCTCAAAAAAAAAAAAAAAAAAAAAAAGCAGCTTTATTTCTACCAGAGACAATAACTCTATCAGAGATAAATGAACTCATGGGCCTGCAGGCTTGGGGAACAGAGAATTTTGCCAAATGTTATACAATTCTGCAGTGAATTCTAGGACTAGAACAAAACACCCACAGGCTCAATTCTGCTTTAAAAAGGAACTATAAAAAACTGGTGGGAAAGATGTGGGGGTTGGGGGAGACCTTTTAAAAATATTACAGCAGAGCTGAAACTTCCTTACTTAGGAATATCTAGAAATTGTCCTCATAATATTACAACTTGCTTCTGACATGAAATATTTATTAAACTGCTTGCCTATTCAAGATGCATAATCTTTTCGGCTCTTAAGAATACCAGATTTAGGCTGGGTGCAGTGGCTCACGCCTGTAATCCCAGGACTTTGGGAGGCAAAGGTGGGGGGATCATTTGAGGTCAGGAGTTCGACCAGCTTGGCCAACATGGTGAAACTCCATCTCTACTAAAAATACAAAAATTGGCTGGGTGTGGTGGCAGGCACCTGTAATCCCAGCTATTCAGGAGGCTGAGGTAGTAAAATCGCTTGAACCCGGGAGGCGGGGGTTGCAGTGACCCAGAGATCGCGCCACTGCACTCCAGCCTAGATGACAGAGTGAGACTCTGTCTAAAAACAAAACAAAACAAAAACCAGGTTTATTATCAGCTAGCTTGAAAACCGAAAATCTTTTCAAGAGGGAGGCATAGGAAAGGTTTGGCTACTTTCTAAGTAGAGCTTGTGAAAATGGAATAAAATTAGGTTTACAAGTTTTCAGACTTTTAAATAATGAAAATAGGTTCTCTTTAGTGAAAAGTACATAACTAACAAAGTATTCCAGGGCAAGTACTGCTATATTCACATATCTACCTATTTTCATTATATATATACATATACTGCTTCATAACATCTATTTTAACATTCCTTAACATATGGTCCAGCAGTTCTACTTGGGAGTATATATTCAAAAGAATTGAAAGCAGTAAACAGATATTTGCACACCAATGTTCATGGCAGCATTATTGACAATAGCCAAAAGGTAGAAACAACCCACGTGCTATATATGTAAATATATATTATATATTATACATAGTATATCCATAAAATGCAGTATTATTCTGCCTTAAAAAGGAAAGAAATTCTGACACCTACTACAATATGGATGCATCTTGAGGACATTATGCAAGTGAAACAAGTCACACACAAAGGAACAAATATTGTATGAGTTCACTTATATGAGATACCTAGAGTAATCAAATTCACAGACACAAAGTAGAATGGCTGGCTGTCAATGGCTGGGGGAAGGGGGAAATAAGGAGTTATTATTTAATGGGTACAGAATGTCAATTTTACAAGAATGAAAAGGGTTCTGGATGGATAGCAGTGATTTTTGCACTATAGTGTGAATGTACTTTAAAAAAATCCTATTTTGTCTACGGAAAATGGATACAATCTTAGGATAATGAACACAATCTTAGGCACAAACTCTTGGGCTCAAGCAATCCTCTCATCTTGGCCTCCCAAAATGCTGGGATTTTAGGTGTGAGCCACTGTGCCCAGCTCAAGAGAGGCACTCGCTAAATATTTTCTGGACTAGTCTATTTTTTCTCCATTCCTATTGTCATTATTCATTGTTGAAAAGTACATGGGGCCAGGCACGGTGGCTCATGCCACTCGTAATCCCAGCACTTTGGGAGGCCGAGGTGGGCGGATCACCTGAGGTTAGGAGTTCCAGGCCAGCCTGGCTAACATGATGAAACCCCGTTTCTTTTAAAAATACAAAAAATTAGCCAGGTGTGGTGACCGATGCCTGTAATCCCAGCTACTTGGGAGGATGAGGCAGGAGAATTACTTGAACCCGGGAGGCGGAGGTTGCAGTGAGCCGAGATTTCACCACTGCACTCCAGCTTGGGCAACAAGAGGGAAACTCCATCTCAAGAAAAAAAAAGAAGTCACGGATGTTACCTTGTAGACTGTCAAGTAATTTGGATTTGCTTGTTGCTTCCTAATGTTTAGTTTTACCTTACTCACTTTTTGTCAGTAATACTACAGAAGAGATAGTGTCTTTCTTAGTGTATCATATCAGGAGGCACCTTATGCTGGTTTGTGCCCTTACTGGTGAAGTGAATTTTAGCCACTTGGTTAAATTAAGGTAGAGCTGGTCAAGTTTCTTCACTGCCAAATTACCAACTTTCCTTTTGTGATTAATAAGTATGAGAGGAGATTCTCTGCAATTATGTATATCTCTTATCATTCTTTGTCAAATTTTCACTTTAAGGTTTTAATACCAATTGGTGATTTTTGCCCAAATAAATCATTACTGTGACTTCTGAAAAAAGATTACTAAATATCCTTTCATTGTCTCATGGTCTGCTGAACTCTGGATCTAGGCTGGGTCAGTAGGGCTGTGCAGTGCCTCTTGTGCCTGTCTCTGTCTCTTGAAGTCCTATTTACCATCTCTGGAAGGCTTAGTTTGCAGTCTCAACAGCGGGGTAGACTCCCAGGAAGAGAGAGACAGATTTGAGCCTAGTTGATGATATATAAAATACAATGAATTAGTCTCTGTGTCCATCACGTTCTGGCTCCGGAGAAATAAGAGAATTGCTAATGAGTTGGTGCCATTCTGTGTACTTTCTATATCTTGAACTCTTAAGAGATCTTGTCCCTGGGTCTTCTGCTAAGGATTTACCACCTGACTCTAGTATAGTATCACATTACAGATAAAGGAAATCAAAATATCTTACCCCCAAATAACATTCTTTTTGCCATAAATAGCCCTGCAAAGGGCCACTTTGTGAAGAGAAAACTTGCATCTGTAAAACATTTCTATTTACATAAGTAGATTTTTTCCCCTTCCAGGTTCTCCCAATCCTGAAGAGATTAACTCAGAGTCTAGCAACTTTTAAAGGTCTAAATAAGAAACACTTGCCACCAGGCAGTGGCTCACTCTTGTAATCCCAGCACTTTGGGAAGCCGAGGTGGTTGGATCATTTGAGCCCAGGAGTTCCAGACCACCCTGGGCAACACAGGGAGACCTTGTCTCTATAAAAAATTAGCCAGGTGTGGTGGTAGGCTCCTGTAGTCCAAGCTATTCAGGAGGCTGAGGTGGGAAGAGCATTTGAGCCCAGAAGTTGAGGCTGTAGTGAGCTGTGATTATGCCACTGCACTCCAGCCTGGAAGACAGAGGGAGACCCTGTCTCAAGAAAAAAAAAAAAATTGCTTCTAAGGGCAGCCACCTATGAGACTTCATTTACATCAGCGATCCCCAACCTTTTTGGCACCAGGGACCGGTTTCCTGTAAGACAATTTTTCCATGGACTGGGGTGCAGATAGTTTTGGGATGAAACTGTTCCACCTGTGATTTTCAGGCATTACTTAGATTCTTGTAAGGAGTGTGCAACCTAGATCCCTCCAATGTGCAGTTCACAATAGTGTTCATGCTCCTAGGAGAATATCATGTTGCCATTGATCTGACAGGAGGCAGAGCTCAGGCTGTAATGCTGGCTTACCTGCTGCTCATCTCCTGCTGTGTGGGTTGGTTCCTAACAGGCCACGGACCAGTATTGGGCTGTGGCCCAAGGGTTGGGGACCCCTGACCTACATCGTAATAACCTTGGTCTCCACAACCTTTTATCTTAGCCTAGACACTCCTCCTTTCTATTGATTCCAGGTCTTTAGATAACTCTTTCAACCAATTGCCACTCAGAAAATCTCTGAATCCACTTATGACCTACAAGTTCCCCTCAACCCCCACCACCACTTTGGGTTGTCCTACCTTTCCAGACCAAACCAATGTCTATGTCATATGTACGGACTGAGGTCTTATGTTTCCCTAAAATGTATAAAACCAAGCTGTAACCCAACTACTTTGGGCAGATGTTCTCAGAATCTCGACTGTGCCTCTGTGGAGGTTGCAGTGAGTGGACATTGCAACACTGCACCCCAGTCTGGGCAACACAGTGAGACTCCGTCTCAAAAAAAAAAAAAAAAAAAAAAGACCGACTCAGGCATGATCACTCATATTTGGCTCAAAATAGACCTCTTTAAATATTTTACAGTTTGGCTTTTTTTGTCAACACTCTGGAGGAGGGGAAAACTTCTTTTCACATGGTGTAAGGCAGAAAGGGTAAAAGCCTATTTCCATAATTTAATACAGCATTTAATGTGCATATAGAAAGAGCATAGAATACAAGCCCAGAAAGAAACTCTACTATTAACTACCCCATTATTACAGCTTTGTAATCTCAAGGATATTTACTATCTCTAATTCTTAGATTCATTCTAATAAAAAGGGGATACAGTTGTGAAGTTCAAAGGACACAATGATGATGCTTCTCCTTGGAATACCCTCCCAGTTCAATTTGCCTAGCTGACACTCATCCTTCAGGACCCATTCCTTGATAACTCCTTAAAAGCTTCTCTAACTCACTCCCCAGTTCCTTAAATCTTCTTCCTCCTGTCTAATAAAATCTTTTTAAAAAATACACTGTCTCACTGTGTTGCCAGGCTGGAGTGCAATGAAAATGTGATCATAACTCATGATAGCCTTGAACTCCTGGGTTCAAGCAATCCTCCTGCCTCAGCCTCCTGAGTAGCTAGGACTACAGGGATGTGCCAAGGCACCCAGCTAATTCTTTTTTTTTTTTTAACATTTTCAAATAATTTATTAGGAATTTAAAACTGAAAATAAAACCTGGAAAAAGAAGTTACAGATGTGGAGAGAAGAGACACCGGAGGGTGGTAACTTGCTGGCTTCGAAATACCATGTAACATCTTAAAAAAAAAAAAAAAAAAAACCCAAACAAATCAGCAAACGGAATTCCAGGGTTCTGAGCCCATGGTTGGGTCCAGTGGGGTGGAAGGGTCCGGGTATGGGGGACAGGGAAGCTAAGTGTCTCTGGACTCAGCTCAAATGTGTAGAAAATTAAAAATAAAAACCAACAAAATGCAGCTTCTTTTATTAGGAAACATTAAAAAAAAAAAACCCAAAACACGAACAGCCGCATCTCAGTAACAAAGATTACTGCTTTGTGTTCTCAGGCCTGATAGGTTAAGCACCTCACACAGAAAATTAACTCTCCAAAGGCGGGGTTTTTCGGGGGTGGGGGGGCGATGCTGGGGAAGAGAGCTCAGGCCCTGGGCCTTAGAACTAGGGGACAGGGACACACAGAAAGGGGATGGCAGTGAGTGGGCCTTGGGCCTGCCACGCCAGCCAGGCCACTGTTAATGAAGGTCCAATGCCCTGAACTTCTCTTTTTTCCTTAGAAGGGGGCTCTGGGGTGAGGGGCTGCCAAGGGACTCTGGCTGTGGGGTCATCCTGGTGGGAAACTTCAGTGAGAGAATGTGGGGGTTCCCTGAGACGCCTTTTGCTTTCTCCTGGGGTCTGCCCTCGCCAGAGCATCCCCTGGGCACCCAGCTAATTCTTTATTTTTTGTAGGGATGGGGGTCTTGCTGTATTGCCATGGTCTCAAACTCCTGGCCTCCCAAAGTGTTGGGATCACAGGCATGAGCTACCATGCCCAGCACTAAAATATATACTCCAAGTAGCACCAGTAGTTCTTTCAGAGTTATTTACTGCACTGATTGTAATAGCCTATTTTTACTTCTCTATCTTTCCCTCTAGACTTTAAACTTCTGGAGAGCAAGGCTCTCATTTCATCTTTGTTATCCCAGTATCTGACATGCAGTAGATATTTTTCAAAATGTTAGCTAAAACAATAATTAAGGGGTGTGAAAACACATTAGGAAGCAAAAAGTGGCCAGGCACGGTGGCTCACGCTTGTAATCCCAGCACTTTGGGAGGCCGAGGCAGGCGGATGACCTGAGGTCAGGAGTTCAAGACTAGCCTGGCCAATATGGGGAAACCCCGTCTCTACTAAAAATACACACGCACACAAAAAAATTAGCTGGGCATGGTGGCTTGCGCCTGTAGTCCCAGCTACTAGGGAGGCTGAGGCAGGAGAAGCACTTGAACCTGAGAGGCGGAGGTTGCAGTGAGCCGAGATCACATCACTGCACTCCGGCCTGGGTGACAAGAGCAAAACTCTTGTCTCCAAAAAAAAAAGAAAGCAAAAAGTGCAGCACAAATGTTTATATTAGTGCCTTTACTTGCTGGCTGTTGGGTACCTATTGAACGTTAATTGTCAGATTAATTCTTTGGGTATAACTATCCACAATACTACTCAGCAGACCAACACAGACTTCAGAGAGCTTATTTTCATATCAAGTCAAAGAAAATCTGGCAATACTTATGCCCACTGAATCCTCCTGACCTCAAAAACAGAGCAAAAAAAGAAATCAAGGCCGGGCGCAGTGGCTCACGCCTGTAATCCCAGCACTTTGGGAGGCCGAGGTGGGCGGATCATGAGGTCAGGAGATCAAGACCATCCTGGCTAACAGTGAAACCCCGTCTCTACTAAAAAATACAAAAAATTAGCCGGGTGTGGTGGCAGGCGCCTGTAGTCCCAGCTACTAGGGAGGCTGAGGCAGGAGAATGGCGTGAACCCGGGAGGCGGAGCTTACAGTGAGCCGAGATTGCGCCACTGCACTCCGGCCTGAGCGACAGAGTGAGACTCTGTCTCAAAAAAAAAAAAAAAAAAAAAGGAAAGAAAAAGGAAATCAATTTATTCAGTTCTAATGGAAAAAGAAGTATAAAAGGGATTTCAAACTTACATGCATAAGAGGGTTACAGTGAGGGAAAACTCTGACTAAATTAGATGAACGTCAACTTGATAATAAACAAATGCCTGCCGGGCGCGGTGGCTCACGCCTATAATCCCAGCACTTTGGGAGGCGGGCGGATCACAAGTTCAGGAGATCAAGACCATCCTGGCTAACACGGTGAAACCCTGTCTCTACTAAAAATACAAAAAAAAAAAAAAAAAAAAAAATTAGCCGGGCGTGTTGGCAGGCGCCTGTAGTCCCAGCTACGCGGGAGGCTGAGGCAGGAGAATGGCGTGAACCCAGGAGGTGGAGCTTGCAGTGAGCCGAGATCGCGCCACTGCACTCCAGCCTGGGCTACAGAGCGAGACTGTCTCAAAAACAAAACAAAACAAAACAAAAAAACAAAAAACAAAAAAAGCCAATTATGAGTATCTTCAATTAAATATAAAAAAAGGATTTAATGGCTGGGCACAGAGGCAGATCACCTGAGGTCAGGAGTTCAAGACCAGCCTAGCCAACATGGTGAAACTCCGTCTCTACTAAAAATACAAAAATTAGCCATGCGTGGTGGCACACGCCTGTAATCCCAGCTACTCAGTAGGCTCAAGCAGAAGAACTGCTTGAACCTGGGAGGCAGAGGTTGCAGTGAGCTGCGATCACGCCACTGTACTCCGGCCTGGATGACAGAGCAAGACTCCGTCTCCAAAAAATAAATAAATAAATAAATAAATAAATAAAGGATTTAAGGATTTAATTAACATAAGCAAATATAATTGGAATGAATGAAAGTTAAGAGACCAAAAGATTAACCAGTAGGTACATGAATCAGAGAAATATGTGTTTAAAGAAAGCAACAGGGCCAGATGCAGTGGCTCACGCCTGCAATCCCAGCACTTTGGGAGGCTGAGGCGGGTGGATCACTTGGAGTGTAGGAGTTTGAGACCAGCCTGGGCAACATAGCAAGACTCCATCTTTTTTTTTTTTTTTTTTTTTTAAAGAAGAAAGAAAAGAAAGCGACAGGCTGGGCGCTGTGGCTTATGCATATAATCCCAGTACTTTGGGAGCCCAAGGCAGGAGATCACTTGAGCTCAGGGGTTCAAGACCAGCCTAGTAACATAGTGAGACCTCGTCTCTACTAAAAATTTAAAAAATCAGGTGTGGTGGTGGACGCCTGTAGTCCCTACTTGGGAGGCTGAAGTAGGAGGACTGCTTGAACCCAGGAGATGGAGGCTACAGTGAGTTATGATGGCGCCATTGCACTCCAGCTTGAGACTGTTTCAAAAAAAAAAAAGCTAGGTAAGAGTAATAGGTTAAAGTGATCCCACTGGCCCTCCCCCATCCTTATTTTTAACTTTGAAAGTTATTAGAAATACCTCAGGAAAGCTTTCTTGAAAGGTTATGTGTGAAGTCTTTCCCTCTAGACTAGTGGTTCTCAATACCTATGCGGTATCAGAATTACCTGGGAAGCTTAAAAACAAACAAAACTCCAGATGCTTGGGCCTCACCCTCAAAGACTGATTCAACTGATGTGGGGTGGGGCTGAGCCATTCGTGTTTTATTCAAATATCTCTGGATGATTCTAATGTGCAGCTAGGGTTAAGAACCAATGCTGTAGTAACAATTTTTAAGGGTGTGAAACAATCAAATCAAAGAAGGGAAGAAAAGACACTGAGTACTTACTCTGTTGGAATGTTTACGTATTTTCTCATTTTAATCCTCTTATTTGTGAGGAAAATGTTAATAACCCCATTTTAAACAAATCTAAGGCTAAAGAATTTGCCATAGACCAAATAAATGGCAGAGCTGAGATTCCAAAGCTCGTATTTTTTATAATACCTAAGCTGCCTAGTATAAATGGAGTATTTTTTATATGGAAAGCACTGTGAAAGGGCTATGTGAAGAAACAGCTAATAATCTTGGGTAAGAAGAATTTGTTTTGTAAAATACTAGTACACATAAATGACAGACACAAAAAGCTAATCCATTTTTTTACGACAAAAATTTTAGGCTGGGTGCAGTGGCTCATGCCTGTAATCCCAGCACTTTGGGAGGCCAAGATGGGATGATCACTTGGGCCCAGAAGTTCGAGATCAGCCTGGGAATAAGGAGATCCTGTCTCTACAGAAAATTAATTTAAAAATATACCAGGTCAGGCACAGTGGCTCATGCCTATAATTCCAGCACTCTGGGAGGCCAAGGTGGGCAGATCACTTGAGGCCTGGAGTTTGAGACCAGCCTGGCCAACACGGCAAAACTCTATCTTTACCAAAAAATACAAAAAATTAGCTGGGCATGGTGGCACACGCGTGCAATCCCAGCTACTCGGCAGGCTGAGGCACGAGAATCGCTTGAACCCAGGAGATTGAGGTAACAGTGAGCTGAGATCGTGCCACTGCACTCAAGCCTGGGCAACACGCAAGACTGTGTCTCAAAAAATAAAAAAAAATTAAAAATAAAAATATATCCAAATTTTTTTAATCTATAGTTTTAATCTATATATTTAACAAACTTGGTGCTTTCTCCAAAATACTCCAATTAGATTAAAAGAATCAGTGTCACTAACCTAAACTCAACTCAGGACATCCCAAAGTGGGCCAAAAAAACTTTACAAAGGTTTTCAAATTCAAACTTACTTCTTGGTTTAAAAAAAAGAAAAACCTATTTCTTAAATGCCAATGATATGCTAACAAAGGCTTCTGCCATATTAGGAATCACAAATGACTAAGTATGAGACTAGTACAGTTTGTAATACTTAAAAAAAAATCCTCATATTTACTAAGTATCCAGTTTTTTTGTTTTTTTTTTTCTTTTTTGAGACGGAGTCTCGCTCTGTCACCCAGGCTGGAATACAGTGGCGCAATCTCGGCTCACTGCAACCTCTGCCTCCCGGGTTCAAGTGATTCTCACGCCTCAGCCTCCTGAGTAGCTGGGATTACAGGCGCGTGACACCATGTCTGGCTAATTTTTTTGTATTTTTAGTAGAGATGGGGTTTCACCATGTTGGTCAGGCTGGTCTTGAACTCCTGACCTGATAATCTGCCCACCTTGGCCTCCCAAAGTACTGGGATTACAGGCGTGAGCCACTGCACCCAGCCGAGAATCCACTTTCTAGAAGACATTCTAGGGCATCTTTGCTGGAACAGCTTCTTTCCCTAAGAAACTTATTAAGTCCACGCTGACCTCCAGGTGTATGGTATTTTATTTGTAATTTCTAGGAGGCAACAGACATATTTAAGTTGCAGTGACAGCTAGTACAGTAATTAGTTCAGGGATGATGACAAGCTGAATATGGTTCTCTGTAGAAACTTTCAAGTTGAATATTTCAGGCCATAATTTTAGGGCTAAAAATTTTTTTAGGGATAATTTTAATGTAAAGAGATACACTGGAGAAGGAGATTTCAAAATAAAATCACTATGACTACCAGTTCTTACCTTATGAAGTTAACTAAGTAGTTTATAGGCAGAAATACCACCCTTCAAAGAGCAAACTAAGCTACTCAGTTTTACCAACTTACAGAAAAAATTCCATTATGAAAGTAAATGTAAGAGTAAAGAGTGTTTTATACATAACTGAATTCTTAGATGAGTGTTCATTATTTGTGGACTTTTGACTTTATTTTTATTTTTATTGAGACGGAATTTTGTTCTCATCACCCAGGCTGGAGTGCAGTGGCACAATCTCGGCTCACTGCAACCTCTGCCTCCTGGGTTCAGGCAATTCTCCTGCCTCGACCTCCTGAGTAGCTGAGATTATAGGCACCCACCACCACATCAAGCTAATTTTTGTATTTTCAGTAGAGACTTTGGCTCTGTTGGCCAGGCTGGTCTCGAACTCCTGACCTCAGGTGATCCTCCCGCCTCAGCCTCCCCAAGGTGTAGGGATTACAGGTGTGAGCCACCACGCCCAGCTGCTTTTGACTTTTTGCTAGATCTCCATCTTAATTTTGGTAGTATTTCTTAAATGAAAGATTATTTTATTACTTGTATTTAGTTTTTCAATTACTCTTAACAGATCATTTTTTACAGAAGAGCCAGTGATTTCTTTCCTTTCTTGAGACAAGGTCTTGCTCTGTCTCCCATGCATGATCATGGGTCACTGCAGCCTCATCCACCCAGGCTCAACCAATCCTCCCACCTCAGCCTCTGGAGTAGCTGGAACTACAGTCAACACACCACCATGCCTAGAATTTTTTTTTTTTTGCAGACACACACTCTCCCTATGTTGCCCAGGCTAGTCTTGAACTCCAGGGTTCAAGCAGTCCTCCCACCTTGGCCTCCCAAGGTGCTGGGATTACCGGGCATGAGCCATCGTGCCTGGCCTGATTACTTTTAAATTTTAAGTGAGATCCTGTCAAATCTCTCATGAAAATGGCTTCCTCTCTCACTGGGAATAAAATGCCAAATCCTCACTACTGCCCACATGGTCTTAAGGCCTCTGTTCTCCATAACTATCTCTGTGAGCTCTTTTCTTATCATATGCCCCTTCCTTCACTCTAGTGTAACCTTACTAATTTCCTTACTATTCCTTAAACATGACAAGTTCCTTTGAATTTGTCACTGCACTTGAAGCTTGGCATGCTCTTCCCTGGATGTATAAATGGCTCACTTTCTCAATTCCTTCAGTTCTTTGCTCAAATATCACCTTATCAGACAGGCTTTCCCTCCTTTTATAAGACATCAATATATCATAATTCCCTTCACCAGTATTCTTTATCCTTCTTACCCTACTTTATTTTTCTGTTTTTCTTTTCTTTTTTTTTCTTTTTGAAACAGTCTCACTCTGTCTCCCAGACTGGAGTGCAGTGGCATGGTCTCGGCTCACTGCAACCTCCGCCTCACTGCAACCTCCACCACCCAGGTTCAAGTGATTCTTGTGCTTCAGCCTTCTAAGTAGCTGGGATTACAGGTGAGCACCACCACACTCGGCTGATTTTCGTATTTTTAGTAGAGACGGGTTTCACTATGTTGGCCAGGCTGATCTTGAACTCCTGGCCTCAAGTGATCTGCCTGCTTCAGTCTCCCAAAACACTGGGATTACAGGCATGAGCCACTGTGCCTGGCCCCTACTTCATTTTTCTCTATAGAATCTATAACCTCCTTAAGGATTATATTTCACTAATTGTCTAACTCTCCATACCAGAATGTAAGCTCCATAATGGCACAGACTTAGGTATTTTGTTCCATTATTGTATCCCCAGTGCCTATAACATAACTAGGCATGCAGGAGGTGATCAACAAATATCTGAGTTAATTAATGACTGAATAAAACCTGATCAATATAATTTCTCTGTCAGTTCATATTCATTATACATATAGATTTCTGACCATTCAGTTATACTGAAGTCCTACTGTGGGCTGGGCATGGTGGCTCACGCCTGTAACCCCAGCACTTTGGGAGGCCAAGGTGGGCAGATCACCTGAGGTCAGGAGTTCAAGACCAGCCTGGCCAACATGGCAAAACTCCATCTCTACTAAAAAATACAAAAATTAGCCAGGCGAGGTGGAGCATGCCTATAATCCCAGCTATTCAGTAGGCTGAGGTAGGAGAATCACTTGAACCCTGGAGGCAGAGATTGCAGTGAGCCGAGATTGTGCCACTGCACTCCAGCCTGGGTGACAGAGTGAGACTCTCAAAAAAATAAATAAATAAAAATAAAAAATAAAGTCCTACTGTGTTAAGGATATGAAACACAAAAGGATAAATTGGGGTGAGGTTAAATTTGAGAGAGGCAGAATATAAGGCTTAAGATCTCAGATTTTGGAACTAAATAGACCTGGGCTCACATTGCAGTTTAAGTTATAATCTTAAGCAAGTTACTTGGCCTCTAAAACTTTGGTTTCATATCAGTGAAATGAATATACTTATCTACTTCATAGGGATATTGTGAGAATTAAGTTAAACACTTGGTACATTAAATGGATCTAGCAGATAGTATTTAGGCAATTCTAGGAAAGTTATATAATTTCTACGCTTCAGATTTTCTCTCTAAAATCAGACCAACAATAGCAGTTGACTCGTAGGATTGTTACATAGATTCCTTCTTGTATTCGACAAGTATCTAAGCACCTAGATATTGTATATAAAGTGCTTGCTAGGAAGGCAATATGAAAGATTTTAAGTGAACGTTCATGGCATAGTATTTACACTATGTGTGCTAGGTAGTCTTGTATCATACATATGTTAATTTTTCTTCTTCCTAGAAGCATCCCCAGTTACCTATCCAAATCAAGTACACTCAGTTCAGCTCAGATACTTTTTTTGCGATTTTTTTTTTTTTTTTTTTTGAGATGGAGTCTTGCTCTGTCGCCCAGGCTGTAATGCAATGGCACAATCTCAGGTCACTCCAACCTCCGCCTCCCAGGTTCAAGTGATTCTCCTGCCTCAGCCTTCCCAGTAGCTGGGATTACAGGCGCCCGCCACCACACCCAGCTAATTTTTTGTATTTTTAGTAGAGACAGAGTTTCACCATGTTGGTCAGGCTGGTCTCGAACTCCTGACCTCCGGTGATTCACCCACCTTGGCCTCCCAAGGTGCTGGGATTACATGTTTGAGCCACTGCGCCAGGCCGATAATGCTGTTTTTTAAACAAAGCATTCCTCAACCATTCTAACTATATGTGATATCATTCAATTAGTCAATAAACCTCTTTGTGCCAGCATTCGTTTTGCTTCTCTCCTTTTTAATTTTTTTGAATCAAGGGTCTTGCTCTGTCATCCAGGCTGGAGTGCAGTGGCGTGCTAATAGCTCACTGCAACCTCCAACTCCTGGGGTCAAGTGACGGTCCCATCTCAGGCTCTCTCAGGCTCCTGAATAGCTGGGACTACAGACACTCAACCAGAGCTAGGTAATTTTTAAATTTTTATTTATTTTTCATTATTCTGTAGAGACAAGTTTTCCCTTTTTTGCCAAGGCTGGTCTCAAACACCTGGCTTTCAAGCAAGCCTCCCAACTCAGGCTCAGAGGTGTGAGCCACTGCGCCTGGCCTTGCTTCTCAATAATTACGATGTATCTTACTGTCTGTAGCATTTGCTAGGAATTTATCATGTATGACCCATTCTTTACTGCACAGTCTTCATGAGAATGTGACTCTTCTTCCCAACAATATCATAAGTTTCTTGAAGTTAGGAACCACATTTTACATAACTTTTTATTTTCCAAAGTACCTACAGTGGTCTAGCGTGCCACACTTGATACCTATGGATTTAGGTACATGACAAAAGCCCAAGATTAACACCTGCTATAAGCCAACTGTGGTAGACATGGGAGATATAGTGATGAGGAAAAGATATGATCACCACCAATGCATAAGGTACATATACTATTTCAGCCAATATAAAATAATTTTCCCATACATATAACATTGCAACTCCATGGTTAGTATGTACACAAGCTTTCATTGACCTGTTAGAGCTGATGCCCATCAGCTATCACTAGTTTCTCATAAAGTCTTCTCTCTTTCAAACAAATCTTCTTTTTATGATAAGTACTAATGATTTTAGAAGTTGAAGATCAAGGAGTTTTTCTTTTCTTTTTCCATTTTTCAGTACTACAAAATATATAATAAGGTGACACCACACACTTATTGCTTCACTAAAAGAATGTACTAATTCCCAGATGAAAAGCCAGGTGAAGGCTAAAGTAATCACCTTATCATTATCATTTCTTCAGCAATTTAAACACCATACCACTTTCAAAAACAAAGTAATACTTATGCATTAGAAAAAAAGAATTTGGGCCAGGCACCATGGCTCACACCTGTAATTCCAACACTTTGGGAGGCCAAGGCTGGTGGATCACTTGAGGCCTGGGCAATATAGCAAGACCCATCTCTAGGAAAAATAAATAATTAGCTGGGTATGATAGTGGGGGCCTGTAGTCCTAGCTACTTAGAAGGCTGATGAGGCAGGAGGATTGCTTGAGCCCAGCAGTTCAAGGCTGCAGTGAGCCGTGTTCATACCACTATACTCCAGCCTGGGTGACAGAGCAAGACCCTGTCTCAAAAAAAAAAAAAAAAGTGTGTGTGTGGGGGGGGGGGGGGGAGGAGGGTAGTGGATGAGAAATCTAAGGAGTAAAACTATTTTTCAGAGGCTGTCTTTTTATGAAATACTGAATGGAATGAAACACATTTTACTTAAATATGCTATATAATACAAATGATCATGTTAGATATTACTATTTATGCTAGTTCTAGTACTGATTGTTTTATTTTTTAAATGACAACAATCTTCTGTAAGACAGAAGCAGGACTTTAGGGTCAAGTGCTTAAATCAAAATAAAGAGCAAAAGGGTTAAGCACAGGACATTTTTAAGTAAGAAGGCAAAGTAGTATTATTGGGTAAAATAAACTGTTTTAAGGCAAGGTTCTTGGGTGCTACAGCCTAGTCACTTGAATCATGATTAGATAATAAATGATGTAAAAGCTCTCTCACAATTATTTAAAAAGAAAACAGTAACTGTGAAAGCCCATTTTTAAGCTTTTATTATGTGATGTGCATTATAATCTAGTAAATGAGGAAATGGGGAAGAGGAATCCAGTTAGATTAGCAGAAAGCTAGGAAACAACTCTGTATATGGAAAAGTAGAACTACATGGTACCTATAGTACTGATAAATATATACCTTATATACAGAAAGACTTCTGTGTATCTTCTGGTAAAAAGGCATGATTTTGTCAAATAAAATGAGTACAATCAAAAATCAAAAATAGTTCTGCTTACAAACATACACAGCTGAGAAAACACACAACGGTAATAACAGGCATGTAAGACTGTGATTCTCAATGTTTTCCAAGACAGTGACTAGACTGTGAAATTTACCTCAGAAAGTCCTGAATACCAGCACAACTTCTGAATTGTGACTGACCTACATAGCAAGAACTCAGAAGAGATCAGAGATTATTTCACGATAATCAGTTTTATTTCCTTTATCAGATATTTTAATTTTTACCCCTATAAATTCAGTGCAGACTTTAGCTTTGGTAATAGCAGAGCAGCTTGTATAAGACTAACACTCTTGTACATACAGCAATGATTAACTCTGGATATGGGGACATTTCTTTTTTCTTTCGTGTTTTTTGTTTTTTATTTTGAGACAGGGTCTTGCTCTATTGCTCAGGCTGGAGTGCAGTGGTGTGATCTCAGCTCACTGCTGCCTCGACCCCCTGGGCCAAGCAATCCACCCAGCTCAACCTCCCAAGTAGTTGGGACTACCACGCTGGGTTAATTTCTGTGTTTTTTTGTAGAGACAGGGTTTCGTCATGTTGCCCAAGCAGGTCTCAATTGCTGGGCTCAAGAAATCAGCCTGCCTTGCCTTGGCCTCCCAAAAGCGCTGGGAATACAGGCCTGTGCAACCACACACAGCCCACGAGGGACAGTTCTTTACATACAAAAAGTCAACAGATAATGAAGACATAATGATCCTAAATATGTATACACTTACTAACATAACTTCAAAATACAAGAAGTAACAGCTGACAGAACTAATCAGCAAAGCGAACAATACATCGTTGTTGTTATAGGTTTCAATATCCCCTTCTCAGTTATCGACAGAACTGGACAAAAAACTAGTAAGGATATATAAGGTGTTTTTTTGTTTATTGAGACAGTCTTGTTCTGTTGCTTAGGCTGGAATGCAGTGGCGCAATCATGCCTCACTGCAGCCTTGAACTCCTGGGCTCAAGCAATCCTCTGCCTCAGTCTCCTGAGTAGCTGGAACTACAGGTGCATGCCACCATGCTCAGCTAATTTTCAAAAAAATTTTTCTACTTTTGTAGAGACAGGGTTTCACTATGTTGACCAGGATGGTTTTGAACTCCTGGCCTCAAGTGATCCTCCCACATCCACCTCCTGAAGTGCTGGGATTATGGGCATGAGCCGCTGTGCCCAGCCAGGCTATATAAGGTTTGAGAATGCTGTCAAACATGTTAACTAGTATACCTGATAACTGTAAAAAAAATTCTTTTTCCAGTACATATAAGAACATTCAATAAGATAGACCATATGATAGGCCATAAAACTTGTCTCAATAAATTACAAATGACTGAAATATTACAGAGTGTATTCTCTGACTATAACAGAATTAAATTAGAAGCCAGTAACAATTAAGATTATCTAGAAATGTCCCTAAACATTGGGAAATTAACAACATATTTCCATATCTTCATTGCTGTGGTCATTATACCTGTAAATACATTTACCAAAACTCATCTAATAGTCAATTTAAGATGTATACATTTCACTGTACATAAATGTTTATCTCAATTTTATATATATTATTATTTTTTTTTTTCTTGAGACAGAGTCTCGCTCTGTCACCCAGGCTGGAGTGCAGTGGTGTGATTTTGGCTCACTGCAATCTCCGCCTCCTGGGTTCAAGTGATTCTCTTGCCTCAGACTCCCGAGTAGCTGGGATTACAGGTGTATGAGACCACATCCAGCTAATTTTTTAATTTTTTAGTAGAACTCCTGACCTCAAGTGATCCGCCTGCCTCAGCCTCCGAAAGTGCTGGGATTATAGGCATGAGCAACCATGCCTGGCCTAATTAAAAAAAATTGGAAAAAAAAAATTCAACATGGGTTCAGGTGAATGCAAAGAAACGGAAGATGAACATGTATCTATGTCTAAGGTGTAGTCAAAACAGCAAATGAAGGGCAATTCTCCAAGTAACCTGGCTTCTCTAGGGCTTGTTCAGTCTAGCTAAGAAAATTCTTAAGACAGAACCAAGGACATGAAATAAATCTTATTTTTATGGCAAAACAATGCAGCTCTAAGAATCTGCTAAAAAAAAATAAAGTATATTATCATTCATTCAATGAACATTTATGGAGTTTGTTGTTTAGTGGGGAGGCAGAATAAACTGACAATTAAAAAATTTCTGGCCAGATACAGTGGCTCACGCCTGTAATCTCAGCACTTTGAAAGGCTGAGGTGGGCGTATCACCTAAGGCCAGGAGTTTCAGACCAGCCTGGCCAACGTGGCAAAACCCTGTCTCTACAAAAAATATAAAAATTAGCTAGACACAGTGGCATGCACTTATAATCCCAGCTAGGCAGGAGGCTGAGGCATGAGAATCACTTGAACCAGGGAGGCGGAGGTTGCAGTGAGCCAAGATTGTGCCACTCACTCCAGCCTGGGCAACAGAGCAAGACTGTCTAAAAAAAACCCAAAACAAAAACAAAAACAATCTAAATTAAAAGTAAGAAGGGCTGGGCGCCGTGGCTCACGCCTGTATACCCAGCACTTTGGGAGGCCGAGATGGATGGATCTTGAGGTCAGGATCATATAAAAATACAAAAATTGGCTGGGCGTGGTGGCATGCGCCTGTAGTCCCAGCTATTTGGGAGGCTGAGGCAGGAGAACTGCTTGAACCCGGGAGGCAAGGTTGCAGTGAGCCGAGGTGGTGCCACTGCACTCCAGCCTGGGCAACAGAGGGAGACTCCATCTCAAAAAAAAAAAAAAAATTTCTAACATCAGATTATGGTAATAGTTGTACAATGCTATAAATTTACTAAAAATCGACCAGGCAGAGGGGCTCATACCTATAATCTCGAAATCTTCGAGGCCAAGTTGGGAGGATCACCTGAGTCTAGGAGTTCAAGACTAGCCTGGGCAACATGGCAAGAACCTATTCTCTGGAAAAAAATTAAAAATTAGCTGGGCATGGTGGTGTGTGCCTGTAGTCCCAGCTATTCTGGAGGCTGAGGTGGGAGAATCACTTGAGCCTGAGAGGTCAAGGCTGCAATGAGCTGTGATCATGCCACTGCACTCCAGCCTGGGCAACAGAGCAAGACCACAACTCAAAAAAATAAAAATAAGAAGGGCCAGGCATGGTGGCTCACACCTGTAATTCCAGCAATTTGGGAGACCGAGGCAGGCAGATCACGAGGTCAGGAGATCGAGACCATCCTGACCAACATAGTGAAACTCCGTCTCTACTAAAAATACAAAAAAATTAGCTGGGCATGGTGGCGCTCGACTGTAGTCCCAGCTACTCGGGAGGCTGCGGCAGGAGAATCACTTCAACCCAGGAGGCAGAGGTTGCAGTGAGCTGAGATCGTGCCACTGCACTCCAGCCTGGCGACAGAGTGAGACTCCATCTCAAAAAAAATAAATAAATAAAAAATAAAAATAGTCTGGGTGCAGTGGCTCACACCTGTAATCCCAGCACTTTGGGAGGCCGAGGTGGGCAGATCACGAGGTCAGGAGATCGAGACCATCCTGGTGAACACGGTGAAACCCCCTATCTACTAAAAATACAAAAAATTAGCCAGGCGTGGTGGTGGGCGCCTGTAGTCCCAGCTGCTCGGGAGGCTGAGGCAGGAGAATGGCGTGAACCTGGGAGGCGGAGCTTGCAGTGAGCCGAGATCACGCCACTGCACTCCAGCCTCGATGACAGAGCGAGACTCCATCTCGAAAATAAATAATAAATAAATAAATAACAAAAATAATAAAAATAAAATTGGAAGCAATCAAACATTATGAAGATACTAGACATCAGTGGTGCTTACTGTATGCTATCTGATAATTCTAGAGTTTCTAAACCTATGAGACTACTTAGGGTCAGGGCTAGGGGACTACAGCAATGCCTTCTTTAGCTATTAACCAGGAAAAGGACAGCCTGTACCAGGATATATAAGCAACTAGCTCACACCCTTATCAAAATGTCTCTAAAAGAGAAAGCCAGCTGGGTGTGGTGGCTCACACCTGTAATTCCAGCACTCTGGGAGACAGAGGCAGGCAGATCACTTAAGGCCAGGAGTTTGAGTCAAGCCTGGCCAACAAGGTGAAACCCTGTCTTTACTAAAAGTACAAAAATTAGCCGGGAATGGTGCTGCACACCTGTAATCCCAGCTACTGGGGAGTGTGAGGCATGACAATCACTTGAACCCTGGAGGCAGAGGTTGCAGTGAGCCGAGATTGCACCACTGCACTCAGCCTGGCTGACACAGCAAGACCCTGTCTCAAATAAAAAAATAAATAAATATAAGAGAAAATATATATAAGAAATAGAAAAGAGAAAGCCAGATGAAGCTACCCACTGCTTTGTCTTAGAATAGTGGCATATGGCTAATATAATGGTATTACACAAATTATTTAACTGTCTGTGGCTCCTATGGGTTCAGTTACGTATCACTTACTACGTTCCATACACATTGCTAGGTTCTGGGAATATATAATTCCGATGAGAGAGAGAGAGAGAGAGAGAGAGAGAGAGAGAGATTTTCAATATACTATGGTAAGTAATGATACTGTTTTTGCTGAGATCAGGTCGGTGAAAACACATAAGAGAATCAGGTGTCACAGACAGGAGGTAGGATGGGAAATGTCAGAGAAAATGTTGCTGAGGAGCTGACATCTAAACTGAAACTTATAAGGAGTACAATTAGGAAAGGGAAAAAAAATGAACATTCTAAGCAAAGGAAACAAAAGCATGAGCACAGGTATCAAACCATGACCATGAAACAATATGTTAATGAGGAAAGAATCAGTGATCATTCAATATTACTTACATTATGATTCAAGGCATGGAGGGAAATAAATTAAAAAATATAAAAACAATATAAAGACTTCTTCCTAAAGCTTTAACTATTTAAATGATGTTACTGTTACCCTCTGTTGATCACCCTCAATTAAGAAAATTATTGGTCTAGGCCGGGCGTGGTGGCTCACACCTGTAATCCCAGCACTTTGGGAGGCTGAGGCAGGCAGATCACGAGGTCAGGAGATTGAGACCATCCTGGCTAACACAGTGAAACCCCGTCTCTACTAAAAATACAAGACATTAGCCAGGCGTGATGCAGGCACCTGTAGTCCCAGCTACTCGGGAGGCTGAGGTAGGAGAATGGCGTGAACCTGGGAGGTGAAGCTTGCAGTGAGCCGAGATCGCGCCACTGCACTCCAGCCTGGGCGACAGAGCAAGACTCCATCTCAAAAAAAAAAAAAAATTATTGGTCCATAAATCTTATAAATCTGGGACCACTACCCTACATGATATACAGCCTTGAAGAGTTAAGCATGTGAGTCTCTGGCTGACCTATCTTGTAGAAAATGGCTTGATAATGTGACATCTCCCTATATTTTCCTGCCCTCCCCCAAAAAGACCTGTTGTAAACACTGTTCAAACACCAGCATTTTATTAAGGATAAAGTAACCAGAATTTACTTTTACAACAAGAAGTGGAACACCATTACTGACAGTAAATACTTGCTTTCATTTATCTCAGTCTTGGCATCAAACTCTGAAATAAAATTTACCGGCCGGGCATGGTGGCTCACACCTGTCCCAGCACTTTGGGAGGCCAAGGCAGGCGGATCACCTGAGGTCAGGAGTTTGAGACCAGCCTGACCAACATGAAAAAAACCCCATCTCTACTAAAAATACAAAATTAGCTGGGCATGGTGGCGCATGCCAGTAATCCCAGCTACCCGAGAGGCTGAGGCAGGAGAGCTGCTTGAACCCAGGAGGTGGAGGTTGCAGTGAGCCGAGATCACGCCATTGCATTCAAGCCTCGGCAACAAGAGCGAAACTCCATCTCAAAAAAGAAAAAAAAAAAAAAAAAGAAAAGAAAATTTACCTTTAAAGCAATGTAGTAGGAATGTAGTGACAATATGGTAGATTTACCACTTTGCAGTAGTTCTATCCACGATCTGAAGTTTGCAAGTCTTTTCTCTTTTTCCAAAAACTATGCCACATTTATATTTTTCACTGTTTGAAAATATACTGCTAGTTTGTAAGGCCTGCTCTTGCCAGGTGGAAGGAAACCTATACACCAGAGAATAGAATACTCACACAATTATTTCATATTTTTTCAATTTGGTAACCTCAACTCAACTTACCTGCTTTACATTGTATCCAGCTTTTGCACTAGTTTCAATAAACATAACATTCAGCTCTTTGGCTTTCCTCTCTCCCTCCTCAATTGACACTTGCCTGTAAAGAAACAAACAAACTTCTTACTTTTGAGACATGAGGCAGTATTATAAAGATTATAAAGAAAGCTCTGAAAATAACTTTCCTTGATATAAGGACTGGTTATACAGGTCACATTAGTTTAAAAATTCATTAATCTGCCACACTCTTGAAATTTGTGTGTTTCTGTGTGTGTATACTTAACATTTTTTTAAAGACTTTTTTTTGTTACTGATTTGCTTTCACTTGACTGGGCTCATCCTGTAATTTTTTTACTTTTACAAACTTAATAGCTTGAGGATGCTCGAGCCCAGGAATGTTGAGGCTGCAGCAGGCCATTATTAGGCCACCACATCACTGCACTCCAGTCTGGGCAACAGAACCTGTCTCAAAAAAAGAAAAAGCTAAAAACAAAACAAAACAAAAAACGCTTAATAGCTTGCCTCTTTCCCTTAATATCAGACCACAGGCTTTTAGCCTTAAAATTCAAATCTTTGTGTAAAACAATTTTTATGGCTAAACAATTTCTGTCAATTTGCTCCTATAATTTATATAACCATTCCCAAACTATTAGAATGCAAGTTGCTTTCCAATTTTACACTACTATGAAAATTGTTGCCCTAAATATCTGTGCTTAATATTTTGTGCACTGCAAATCATTTCCTTAGGTTAGATTTTGTGGTTTTCTTTTTTTTGAGACAGTTTTGCTCTTGTCACCCAGGCTGGAGTGCAATGGCGCGATCTCAGCTCACTGCAACCTCCAACACCTGGGTTCAAGCGATTCTCCTGCCTCAGCCTCCTGAGCAGCTGGGATTATAGGCGCCCACCACCACACCTGAATAATTTTTGTATTTTTAGTAGAGACAGAGTTTCACCATGTTGGCCAGGCTGGTCTCAAACTCCTGACCTCAGGTGATCCACCCATCTCAGCCTACCAAAGTGCTGGGATTAGAGGCGTGAGCCACCGTGCCCAGCCGATTTTGTGGATTTCTGTAAGTGAAGTAAGTGAGTCAAAGACATGTATGGTAAAGCCTCTAGATACAAAATATTAATACTTTAATATTACCTTTACAGGGTATTTTGTGATGCATTACAATTAGCACTATGTCTCAAATTGTGAGATCTCAAGTGCAAGATTATGTCATTTATATTGGTATTCCTAATGCTTAAGCTGGCAGATAAGTATTCCATAAATATACAAATGTTCTAATTAGCTAGATTTAAACTATCAGCTGACAAACCCTGCTTCCTACAACACAGAAAATGGGCAATGGAAGAGAATTTCCACAAGCTTCCATTTACTTGCAAGTGTGCCCTTATATCCTACCTCTAGTCCTATTACTATGAAAGAGTTGTCCTTATTCTCAAAACTTACATCTATGTATTAGATCCCACTCCCTTCTTGCCTACAAGAAATTATTATTCTAGAATTCTCCACTCCCTAAAAACAAGAACATTCTCTTACATAACACTCCAACTGTTAAGATTTTACATTTGCTTGTGTTATCTTCTCATTCTCTCTGTGTATATAAATTTTCTGAAACACTTTTAAAAAACTGTTTGAGAGTAAACCGCCAATCTGCAGACCTTTAGCCCTAAATACTTCAGCAGTGTGAATTTCCTAAAAACAAGGACATTCTCTTATATAACCACAGTACAATTATTAAATCTGGGAATTAACATCAACATCATACCATCATTGAATCTATAGGTTTTATTCTTGTCAATTATCCCAATAATGTCCTTTACTGCCAGTTATTCCAATGTCCTTTATAGCAAATTAAATACTTCTTTAGAAAGAAACTTTCTCAATTATTTGGTTATCCTGAGGTACTTAGAACAAGGAGGGAGGGAGTGACGGAGGGAGGGAGAGGAAAGGAGGATAAATGCTCGAGTCAGTCTCTGGCATCTTCCAAAGGGGACCAATGAGTTTTCTCCTTAAGTATATTATTATTATTATTATTATTATTACTATTATTATTATGACTCGTGGATTTAAACATGTTTTATAGTAATTACTGATTTTCAAGTTTTCCTACAGTTTGACCAGTAGAGCTTCTTTGAGTTGGCTCTCCTGAATCTGACATAACCTCAATGGTCTTTAATAACTTCTTTGATTTATGGTATGACATGTTCCAGCCCCACTGTTTACATTTTCTGGCCCAGATGCCTAATTTGTCACTTCTTCAAGTAGCCCTGGTTCCTTTGGAAAGAAACCGTATTTACATGTGGTAATGTGGGCTCATTCCTCCTGGTTTAAATCTTTTCAGTAGACAGAGCTAGAAAATATTAAAAATTTTCAAATGCTAAAAAATGTAATGAATTCATGCATATATATACATATATACACATATATATACATATATACATATATACACATATACATACATATATACATATATATACACACACATATATACATATATATACACATATATATACATACACACACACACACATATATATATATTTTTTTTTTTTTTTGAGACGGAGTCTTGCTCTGTCGCCCAGACTGGAGTGAAGTGGCACGATCTCGGCTCACTGCAAGCTCCACCTCCCAGGTTCACGCCATTCTCCCGCCTCAACCTCCGGAGTAGCTGGGATTACAGGCTCCCGCCACCACACCCGGCTAATTTTTTGTGTTTTTTTTTTTTTAGCAGAGACGGGGTTTCACCGTGTTAGCCAGGATGGTCTCGATCTCCGGACCTCGTGATCCACCCGCCTTGGCCTCCCAAAGTGCTGGGATTACAGGCGTGAGCCACCGCGCCCGGCCCCCATGCTTATATTTTTTATATTTAACTTTATTAATCTTATATCTGTATTTCCATCTCCCGTGTCCAAAATGCCAGTTCTCAATCATTAAGCAAAGTATTCATTTATTTTATGCAGAATACAGACAATCATTTTGAAATAACAATATCCAACATCATCACCAACATGTTTACTAAAAACAGTTAAGATCTAGCCGGGTGTGGTGGCTCACACCTGTAATCCCAGCACTTTGGGAGGCCAAGGCGGGTGGATCATTTGAGGTCAGAGTTCAAGACCAGCCTGGCCAACATGATAAAACCCCATCTCTACTAAAAATATGAAAATTAGCTGGGTGTGGCGGTGCATCCCTGTAGTCCCAGCTACTCAGGAGGCTGAAGCAGGAGAATCACTTAAACCCAGGAAGTGGGGGTTGCAGTGAGCCGAGGTTGTGCTATTGCACTCCAGCCTGGGCAACAGAGAGAGACTCAGTCTTGAAAAAAAAAAAGTTAATTTTTTTTTTTTTTTGAGACAAGGTCTTGCTCTGTTGCACATATAAGTGCGGTGGCAGGATTGTAGCTCACTGTAACCTCGAACTCCTGACCTCAAATGATCCTTCTGCCTCAGCTTCCTTTGGGAATAGAGGTGTAAGTCACCATGCCTAGCCCATTTTCTTTAAACTTATAATTTATCTTTCCTTTTTGGCCCTGATTTATAGTTTAACGGCTATACAGGTCCCAGTCCCTCATTTTGGCCACTCATGGGCCCACTAATTGGGACTCAAAGGCTTTCTGCTCAAAGGCATAGATGCAGAGGAGCACACTTCCACTAGGCATGCATTTACCACCTGGTATCTCTGAAGCAGTGGCTTCCCTTCAAACTCTGCGGGCACCACCAGGACTTGAAAGATGGACATACAGCACGGTGGTATGAGGGCTGTATCCTCTACCTCTACCATGCTCTGCCTCTAGGTCCTGCTGAAGCTTCTCCTGGAAGTACTTGATGCTGAGCTCCACAGCAGCAGTCCAGCTGGGATGGCAGCCCAGTAGGGTCCTCATTTTGCTTTAGGTAATGTGTATATACATCTGTATTTCTCTCTTAAGTAAACTGTACCATATGTTACATACTACTTCACCTTGCATTTTTTCACTTAGTCATATACCCTGAAGATTCACTCCATAGTAATATATACATTCTTCATTCCTTTTTGTACCTGTCTAGTACTCCTTTAAAAGGATGTTCGTAAGTTTGTCAAACCATTTTCCTTTTGTGGGCACCTGCGTTGTTTACAGTCTTTAGATATTACAAATAGTGCTAGGTATTACAAATAGTGCTATAGGAAATAGACTTGTACATATGTCTTTTTGTACTCTTACCAGTGTATCTTGAGGAGATTCCTAGAAGTGGGATTTCCAGGTCAAAGGCTAAATGTCGATATTAGATATTGCCAAAAATCAACTCTCTCTCCTCCATAGGAGTATTACCATTCTGCATTGCCTCAGTAATTTATGAGAGTAACTGTTTTCCTTATAGCCTTGCTATCAGAAGATTTCAACAAACTTGGAATTCTGGCAGTCTGAATCTGAGGCAAAAATATTTCTCAGTGCAGTTTCAATCAGTACTTCAGTAAGAGCAAGACAGAGCTTCTTTTCAGATAATTAAGAGCTATGTTACTTTCTCCATGAACCGTTCATATTTCTAGTCAATTTTTCTATAGTGATGTTTATCTTTTTTCTTCTCTATTTTTAGAGGCTTTTTTATTTGGGATATTAGCCATTTTTGATACGATTTACAAATACTTTTCCCTAGTTTGCCATTTGCTTTGTTTATAATGTTTTAAGTAATCAAACTTTACATTTTCCCTTATTTTGTGCCATAGCATTAGTATCATTAAGAACCAGAATTCAGTTAGTCCTTATTTTATTTTCACAATTAAATCTCTAATCCCTTTAGAATTTGTCCTAGTGTAATATGAGAACTTGATCCAATTTTATCTTTTCTATACACTTAACCAGTTACTCCAATCAATTTATTACATAGTTCATTTTCCCCAGTGATTTGAGGTACCACCTTCATACTTATTTTCCATATGAAACTGGGTCTGTTCCTAGCTTTTCCTTTTTTTTTTTTGAGACAGTCTCACTCTGTTAGCCAGGCTGGAGTGCAGTGGCACAATCACAGCTCACGGCAACCTCCACCTCCTGGGCTCAAGCAATTCTCCTGCCTCAGCCTCCTGAGGAGCTGGGATTACAGGCACATGCCACCACGCCCGGCTAATTTTTGTATTTTTAGTAGAGACGAGGTTTCACTAGGTTGGCCAGGCTGGTCTCAAACTCCTGACCTCAGGTAATCCACCTGCCTTGGCCTCCCAAAGTGCTGGGACTACAGGCATGAGCCACCACGCTCGCCTGTTGCTAGCTTTTCTACTCTGTTCTACTTTTCCATAACTTTTCATGCAGCAAGACCACATTGCTTTAATTATAGAGGCTTTTTTTTTTTTTGACAGTTTCACTCTGTCACCCATGCTGGGGTGCAGTGACACGATCTCAGATCACTGACCTCTCCCTCCTGGGATCAAGTGATTCTCATGTCTCAGCCACCCAAGTAGCTGGGATTACAGGCATGTGCCACTTCACCTGGCTAATTTTTATATTTTTAGTAGAGACAGGGTTTCGCTATGTTGGCCAGGCTGGTCTCGAACTCCTGGCATCAAGTGATCTGCCTGCCTCGGATTGCCAAAGTGCTGGGAGGTGTGAGCCACCACGCTGGCCAGATTTTTCTTTTACTATTATTAATATAAATAGGGTCATCTTGTTCATCTTATCTTATAACTTCAGAGGTGAGAGGGGTATTCTGTCTTGAACCTACTGTAGTGAGATTTTCAACCCCACCACTTCAGTGTGACTACTTGTCAACAACATTAATAACCTCCAAACTTCTAAATCCAATGGTTAATTCTCAGTCTTCATTTGGTTTGATCTTACAGAGCATTTGGCATAGTTAATAACTGTCTTCTCCTTAAAACATTTATTTTCATTTGGCTTTCAGGGCTGGGTGTGGTGGCTCACGCCTGTAATCCCAGCACTTTGGGAGACCAAGGCAGGTGGATCACGAGGTCAGGAGATCAAGACCATCCTGGCTAACACGGTGAAACCCCGTCTCTACTAAAAACACAAAAAATTAGCCGGGCATGCTGGCGGGTGCCTAGTCCCAGCTACTCAGGAGGCTGAGGCAGGAGAATGGCGTGAACCCGGGAGGGGGAGCTTGCAGTGAGCCAAGATTGCGCCACTGCACTCCAGGCTGGGAGACAGCGAGACTCCGTCTCAAAAAAAAAAAAAAAAGAAAATACTGTGTGCATTTAAATCTTCTGAATCATAGTCAATCTAATAGGAGAATATGCTCTCTATGTATTCAAACTTATCAATCATTCCCTTTATGGCTTCAGGATTTCATGTCATGCTTATAAAAGCCCAAAATATAAAGATGCTTTAAAAAATTAAGTCTTTTACCCATTTGAAAATCATTTTAGTGGAACGAACAAGCTGTAATTCTTTTAAATGTGAACAGTTGAGAGATGATAGTCTGGCAAAGATTACCAAGAAAGATGGTAATTTCAACGCAACTGACAAATGTTACCTTAAAGAAAAATTATTATAAATATAATTTCAGATAGGGCTTGTTGGCTCATGCCTGCAATCCCAACACTTTGGGAAGCCGAGGCGGGTGGATCACCTGAGGTCAGGAGTTCGAGACCAGCCTGGCCAACATGGGAAAACTCCGTCACTACTAAAAAATACAAAAATTAGCCAGATGTGGTGGCAAGCTCTTGTAATTCCAGCTACTCGGGAGGCTGAGGCAGGAGAATCACTTAAGCCTGGGAGACTGAGGTTGCAGTTAGCCAAGATTGTGCCATTGTACTCCAGCCTAAGCAACAAGAGCAGAACTCCATCTCAAAAAAAAAAAAAAAAAATATATATATATATATATATACACACATATAATTTGACAAGTTTCTACCATTTGTGCACACAACTGAAATATTAAGCAATAAAAAAATCCTTATAAGCATCCTCCTCAGATAACTCTGGCTATAAAGGGAAACAATTCAGATATACAATTTTTCTATTTAAAAATGAAGAGGCCGGGCGCGGTGACTCACGCCTGTAATCCCAGCACTTTGGAAGGCCAAGGCAGGCGGATCACAAGGTCAGGAGTTTGAGACCAGCCTGGCCAACATAGTGAAACCTCGTCTCTACTAAAAATACAAAAAAATGAGCCGGGCATGGTGGCAGGCATCAGTAATCCCAGCTACTCGGGAGGCTGAGGCAGGAGAATTGCTTGAGCCTGGGAGGCAGAGGTTGCAGTGAGCCGAGATCGCGCCATGGCACTCCAACCCAGGTGACAATGCGAGACTCCAACTCAAAAATAAATAAATAAATAAAATAAAGGTACTGGCAGGGCGCGGTGGCTCACGCCTGGCACTTTGGGAGGCTGAGGCGGGTGGATCACGAGGTCAGGAGTTCAAGATCAGCCTGGCCAACATGGTGAAACCCCGTCTCTACTAAAAATACAAAAATTTGCAGGACATGGTGGCAGGCGCCTGTAATCCCAGCTACTCAGGAGGCTGAGGCAGAAGAATCGCTTGAACCCAGGTGGTGGAGGTTGTAATGAGCTGAGATCACACCACTGCATTCCAGCCTGGGCGACGGAATGAGACTCCATCCCAAAAAAAGAAAAGTACCTACAAAGTCTCTAGAGTGAGGATAAATAAAATAGTGAAAATTTCCTTCATAGCAGTTCATGTCCAAAACATATTTTTATAAAGAAAAGATGCAATCACTTTGAATTTACTTTTAAATTAAGAAAGACTTTTTTGCAACTGTACTACCAATTCTTTTTTTTTTGAGACGGAGTCTCACTCTGTTGCCCAGGCTGGAGTGCAATGGCACAATTTCAGCTCACTGCAACCTCCGCTCCCCTGGTTCAAGCAGTTCTCCTGCCTCAGCCTCCCGAGTAGCTGGGATTACAGGTGCATGCCACAGCGCCCAGCTAATTTTGTATTTTTAGTAGAGACGGGATTTCACCATCTTGGCCAGGCTGGTCTTGAACTCCTGACCTCGTGTTCCACCGTCCTTGGCCTCCCAAAGTGCTGGGATTACAGTTGTGAGCCACCGCACCCGGCCTGTACTACCAATTCTAACTGAGGTGCCATGTGCAGAAATGGGCTTCATATCTCCACAAGTCTTTTAACACTGGCTTTCTTTGCAACACTTGAATTAATATCACAAGTTCATTACCCGAATTTCAATATCCATCTCATGAATAAACAAATAAATAGTAAAAGCTCTTACTATTAAGTAGTATGGTCAAAACTATTTAAAGCAGAAAGAATATGCAGTAAATCGCTTAAGAATGCTGAAAGCAAATATTCAAGCCATGGGTCCTACAGTGAATGTTAATATATTTTGCATCCTGTGACTTGAATATCGCTTTGCTCATTTGACTAAGGTATCACAATCAAGCTATTCAGTGCAACTACACAGTCTGGCTCAGCCACACAATTAAAAACCAACAACCAAAAAACAAAAATCCACACCACTGAATTATAATGAATGTTTTATAAGAAGACTACTAAGAAAAGAGTGTGCATTTAATCATTATGAACAATTTTTAAAGATAAGGTTTTTCCAAAATGGCTTGCTCTTTAACAAAACACTTTTCATACTTATGAGATCTAAAAAAAGCAAAATATTTACTGGCTTCATGTCTAAACAAACTTGCACAAGAGTTATTTACACATGGGCTTAAACAAAATAAAATTCATTTCCCTTAAGGACTGGCTGTTTAATATTTACATTTATATTTGAGGTTCCCATGCTAAAGAAAAGCAGGGGAGGACGTAAACTTAAGGATTAAGCATGTCTCCTTTCAAAACAATTTCTCAGTGAACAAAAATAAAAGGCTGCATCACAGAAATCAAACATTACACACATATAAAATAACTCCATACCTCTTGTCAGCAAGATCTGTTTTATTTCCTACTAGCATGATGATAACATCACTTCCTCTTTCTGTTCTGACATCATCAATCCACTTTGTAGTTTGCTGGAATGAGTTAACATCTAGTATAGGAGGGTAGACAGAGAGATTAGTGTTGCTGAAAAATGCCTCCCCAGGTGGTGGGCACCTCCCTCCAAAAAAGCCCTGGAAGTTGGAAGGGGGCTGGCACATTAGTACCCCACTTTTAATGTGCCTGCAACATAACTCCATTTTATCTGATTACAACTGTCAGCAATTTAAACAAATTACAAGAATAAAATCTTCAAGGTTCCTTTTAGAGTAGTTTAAAAATTTTTTGAACATGATCAAATGAGTACAATGTAGTATTTAATTGAAAAAAAAACAACTTTTTGAAATATAAGGACAGCTATGGCAGATAATATGGTGTCACATTGCCACAATGCTTTTTTGATCACTTACACATACCAAACATGACAAAGAAAGCATTTTCCAAAGTATGTCAGCCAGTAAGTCCCAACACATCCAGAAAATCTGTAAAGCCTTTCAATAGCTTTCAACACCACTGTTTGCACTGCTTCCTCAGTTTGTGATCACTTTAACCTAAAGTTTATTTGTTTAATGCATCAGAAACACTTGTAACAAAATTTATCTTTTCTAGTGTTGGATTCTAAGTAGAGTACTTCAACACTTCTTACAGCAGCTAAAGAAAACAACGTACTAATATTTGAATCACATTTGTGGATTTAAAAAAAAATACACCAGGTTTCACTTGCTGTGGTTAAAGTAAGCACAAACATTTTAAAGCTACAAAACGTGTCAATGCACAATATGAACATACCTCTTTTTTTTAAACAAACAGCAACCCAAAGTAAAGGTGCAAAGGAAGAAAGACTGCATATAGCACCTATCTCAAAAAAAGTCCTTGAATGCAATCTTCTAATTTTGCCAGCACAATTATTCGTTATTAGATAACAATTCCTAATTGAGGAGATATGCAAGAATGCATAGTAACAGTATTACTAGTCCAAATGAATAGTTCCTTTGTCTATTTAAGATTTTTTTTAGCCCAAGATACTACATCTGTGTAGTGTGGTACACATTTTTTAAAAATTTAAAAAGAAAGCCCCAGATACTGGGCTGGGCACAATGGTTCATGCCTGTAACCCTAGCACTTTAGTTTTTGTTGTTGTTGTTGTAGTTGAGACAGAGTTTTGTTCTTGTTGCCCAGGCTGGAGTGCAATGGCACGGTCTTGGCTCACTGCAACCTCCGCCTCCCAGGTTCAAGAGGTTTTCCTGCCTCAGTCTCTCAAGTAGCTGGGATTACAGGCATGCACCACCACACCTGGCTAATTTTGCATTTTTAGTAGAGATGGAGTTTCATCACGTTGGTCAGGCTGGTCTCAAACTCCTGACCTCAGGTGATCCGCCTGCCTTGGCCACCCAAAATATGGGGATTTCCGGCGTGAGCCACTGTGCCCGGCCTAAACCTAGCACTTTAGAAGGCTGAGGCAGGAGGATCACTTGAACCCAGGAGTTCAAGACCCTGGTTTTCCTATAAGTTATGAACCACTACATGTAATAATGTTTAATATTGCCTAATATATGTCATAAACCAATTTACAAAGGCAATTTCAATCAGAAAGCATTTTCTTGTCAGTCACCAATGCTTCATGGAAAATTTACAATCACTTAAAAGGCCACAGGCATTATTCAATCTTTAGAAAAAAGAAAAAGACTACTAGTTGTTTCACCTCCTATTTAAAATTTTTTTCTTGGAGAGAAATGAAAGTGTAATTTGTTAGCAACAAAGTAAATAAATCAGTCACAGAACCAAAATATGATTCAAATAAAAAAGATTAATAGAAAACTGTACATTATGTTTTCTCTGTCTTCCTCTACAGAGAGAGAATGGCTGGAAGGGGAAAGCAGAGAAAAGCTGGCTAGCAGAAGCTTGTAATAGCCTCAATAGAAAGCTTGGAGGATTTGGAAAACCTGGCAAGAGACTTAAATGCAGATCATTTTATTTTAGAGAAATCTGAGATCAAGGAAACATTCCTCCAACTATAATTATGGTATGGTTTACGAATAACAGGATACTAAGAAACCCTTGAAGAGGATTCATAGTTGGACCCAAAAGAAAATTTCTGGGGCAAAAAACCTGGCACAGTTACATATAAAGCATATTGGTATAAACACCAAAGCAAATATTTCTGACCTGGCTGGTATGTAATTTACTATGATAAAACTTATTTTTACATGCCAGTAAGGAAAACAAGCACAAGACAAGAACATGCATGCAGCTAAGCTAAAGGTTGAAAGAAGATTAGAAATGCATAATTCCCTCCACTCACTTGTGATATCATAAACAACAACTGCCACAGTGGAGTCACGAATGTAGCTAGGAATCAAGCTCCTGAACCGCTCTTGACCTGCTGTGTCCCATAATTGCAATCGTACCTAACAACAAAATCAGTCAAACAAGCAAGAAAAATAAGAAAGGTCAACCCGTTGCAATATACCTACTTGTGATATCGTAAACTACTACAGCTGCAGCAGAATCACGGATGTAACTGGGAATGAGGCTACGGAAACGTTCCTGACCCGCAGTATCCCACAGCTGAAGCCTGATCTGTGAGATGGGAAAAAATAAATAAAAAAAAAAAAACCAAACTAATACTAAAAAGAAAAAAGAAACAATGTTTTTTGTAAAAGGGAGAGGGTGGGAAGGAAGTAGAAAGAAGACTCATGCAAGAGGTTGCAGGGAGTGAGGAATGAAAATAACACAAAACTCCTTTTTCAAAAGGGAGAAATATTAAAAATTTGCATACTCCAAACATAAATGACTGGAAAATGCCACTGGGAAAAATTTCACAGAATCAGAAATATGGCTTCCCTTTTTCCCTACCTAAAACCTGTTTGAATCCCTATGCCTTTCAAGTGGCAAAAAGTAGACTGTTGATGGTTAAATAGAGAAAAAAACAAAACAAAACAAAAAAACCTAAGGTAAATGTCAATGAGCAGCCTAAGCTATCAGAGTAAAGGAATTAATGCTTCTTTGAAAGCTTCTCTCAAGCTAAAATGTGTCTCTTTCCTATTGGGTCTAGAATACTTTCAAACCTGTTTTTTAACTACCGTGCTTGTATTTCTCCCATACATTTTCCCCAGAACATGCGAGTGTGTGCGCGCACGCATGCACGCGTGTGTGTGTATAATGTAACAAAAAGGAGGAAGATCTTTTTGCAGCCCTACATAAAAATGTCTTTACGTACTATCCATATCTATATTACAGGAAGAAAAGCCTGAAAACAAGTATCAAGTTCTTGCATCATGATAAAGTCGTTTCCAAGCTTTCAAATTTTTTTTTTTTTTTTTAGACAGACTCTCATTCTTGTCGCTCAGGCTGAAGTGCAGTGGTGTGATCTCGGCTCACTGCAACCTCTGCCTCCCGGGTTCAAACGATTCTCCTGCCTCAGCCTCCCGAGTAGCTGGGATTACAGGCGCCCGCCACCACGCCCAGCTAATTTTTGTATTTTTAGAAAAGATGGGGTTTCGCCATGTTGGCCAGGCTGGTCTTCAACTCCTGACCTCAGGTGATCTGTCCATCCTGGCCTCCCAAAGTGCTGGGATTACAGGCGTGAGCCACCACACCTGGCCGCTTTCAAATTTTAAGAAATGACATGCTATATATCAAAACATAAAAGAGAATATTCAGGAAAAAAAAAACACCTAAGAAATAACACTGGAAATTAAATAATGTTTTTGGGTGCAGGTCTCAAAGTACTGCATTTAAGATATTCACTGTTTAGGTGACAAGTATCTCTTCAAGGGGTAGTGGGCTAGAATACAGATTTTACACTGTATTTAAAGAAAACATTCCAAAGGATGAAAGACAAAAATCCAACAAATAAATACACATTACTTTTTTTTTTTTTTTTTGCAACGGAGTTTCGCTCTTGTTGCCCAGGCTAGAGTGCAATGGCGCAATCTCAGCTCACTGCAACCTCTGCATCCTGGATTCAAGCGATTCTCCTGCCTCAGCCTCCCAAGTAGCTGGGATTATAGGCGCCCGCCACCACGCCTGGCTAATTTTTTGTATTTTTAATAGAGATGGGGTTTCATCATGTTGGCCAAGCTGGTCTCAAACTCCTGACCTCAGATGATCCACCTGCCTCAGCCTCCCAAAGTGCTGGGATTACAGGTGTGAGCCACCGCACCCTGCCCACATAACTTCTTTTTTGTCAGTCACTTTGATACGCATCCTATCCTGACAAAAAAAATCTTGAAGTTCACAAATTGAAATCTTTTTGAATGCCTCAAGGGTGGCATTTAGAAGGTCTTTAGCAGGTTTAATTTCTTCATAAAAATTCTCCTTTAATTCTCTGTAAAGCTCTTTGTTTTCATTTTTCCAAATCAAGATGACTGCCAAGTACTACTCACTCGGTAATAAGAGTTTTTCTCAACAACTGTAAACTATCTTTGGTAACTTTGCTAAGTACTTCTTATGGTGACAATCATTGATAACTTTGATTGCAGTTTTCTAACCTGGAATGTTGCAGAAAATTGCACACTGAAAATATTACTCACTGTTCGATCCTCCAAGTACATAGTTTTTGATAAAAAGTCAATGCCAATTGTTGCCTGTAAAACAAAACAAAGAAGTTAACAAATAATAAGTTTAATGGTGGCCAGCAGTTTAGGATTCAAATGGGATTCATGATTGTGGAAGAAATAATGAATAAACAAATCAATACAACATAGTCAATTAAGGACAATTAAGGACAAACAAAATTTCCAGTGATAATGATTTTCATGTATTCAGCACTTGCTTCATATCAGAGATTGTTTTAAGCCTTTTACATGATCATCTCTAATCTTTATACATTCCTGCCAGGTAGCTTATTCTCATCCCTACTTTTCTCATTTTACAAATAACAAGACAATGGCAACTTTGGTTTAAATATTTGTATTTGAACTTTAGTTTGAGTATCTGATTGTTCTCCACTCAGAATGGTAAGTATCTGCCCCAAGAGCAGTTTTATAAAATACTGTTGATATATTGTCAACTGTCCTAATGCCATAGACAGCCAGAGACTCACAAACATCATAACTTTCCATAAGAGACATGATTTTTCCAATATAAAATAAAAGTCATTAGGTAAGGAAAACAAGTTTTCCTCTGTACCACACAATGATAGCTTCCTTCTGTGGTGAAAACAAATGTAAAGTTCTATTGCCTGGCTGCTGTTTTCCCTATCAAGAGAAAATGGTGAAATAATAAGAGAATAGAAAGAAGGCAGACTACAAAAAAGAAAGGAAAAAAAGTATACAAGTTAAAAAACAGTCCAGTATTAATTAGGGGAGATAAATAAAAAGAATGGAAGAAAGACAGACTCCAGAAAGAGGATGTTGATATGGACTCTATTTTAGAAGTTTTACCACCTCATTAATGTTTGTGTGCACATATACTATGTATATATGTGCGTGTACATACATACTTTTTCCCTAAATATCTTTGTGCCATATTCCTTAAAACAGAAACTGAGTCTGTGCATTTTAAAATATGAGTCACTAAGAATTTTAAGTTCCTAAAAAACAATCAAAAACTAGATCAGAAAAGTGGTCCATCAGTTGGGGATTTTATTTCTGTTAGCAGAAAAATAGAATTTTGTGTGTGTCATAGTTGAGTTCTCACGAGATCTGATGGTTTTATAAAAGGATTTCCCCTCTCTTTGCTCTGTGCTTCTCCTTGTTGCTGCCATGTGAAGAAGGACATGTTTGCTTCCCCTTCTGCCATGATTGTAAGTTTCCTGAGGCCTCCCCAGCCATGTGGAACTTGAGTCTATTAAACCTCTTTCCTTTATAAATTACCCAGTCTTGGGTTATCTCTTTATTAGCAGCATGAGAACAAACTAATACATGTGTCTCCTTTAATTTCTCCCAGCAGTGTTTTGTATAGTCTTATGCTGTTTGTTAAATTTGTTCCTAAGTATTTTATTCTTTTCTGATGCTTCCGTAAATAAAATTCAAATATATATGTGTGTGTGTATATATATATATATATATATATATATATATATATATATTTTTTTTTTTTTTTTTTTTTTTTGAGACAGTCTCACACTCTTGCCCAAGCTGGTATATAGGGGTGTGATTTTGTCTCAGTGCAGCCTCAACCTCCTGGCTCAAGCAATCCTCTCGAGTAGCTGGGACTACAGGTGCATGCCACCATGCCCCACTAATTTCTGTATTTTTTTATAGAGACAGGGTTTTGCCATGTTGTCCAGGCTAGTCTGGAACCCCTAGGTTCAAGAGATCTTCCCCACTTGGCCTTCCAACACGCTGGGACTATAGGCATGAGCCACTACACCCTGCCTAAAGATAATATCTTTATATGAAAAATCAATGCAATGTTGATAAGTCTTTACATGTTTTTACATATATTCAAGAATGAAAGCTACAGTAAATTACATAAATTGATTATCTACTAAGTGCCGATTTATACACATTGCCCCATTTAGTTCTCATTTATTCGTTCATCGATTATTTATTTATTTATTTATTTAGAGACAGAGTCTCGCTCAGTCGCCCAGGCTGGAGTGCAGTGGCGTGATCTCGGCTCACCGCAATTTCTGCCTCCTGGGTTCAAGCAATTTTAGTGCCTCAGCCTCTCAAGTAGCTGGGATTACAGGCATTCACCACCAAGCCCAGCTACTTTTTGTATTTTTAGTAGAGATGGGGTTTTGTCATGTTGGACAGGCTGGTCTCGAACTCCTGGCCTCAAGTGATTCCCCCCGACCTCGGCCTCCCAAAGTGCCAGGATTATAGGCATGAGCCAATGTGCCCAGCTTGCTCATCAAATATTTATTAAGCACGTACTTGCAAGTACTGTGTAAGGTACTAGAGTGATGAACAAACATGCAGTTAGTCTCTACCCAAATTGGACGGAACACATTTAAAAATCATGTACACCTGTCCACATTCATCAGGAATATTTATTGAACTCTATTCCTTCCAAATACTGGGGGGGAAAAAAAGAAAGATTTATTTTACTTATTTTATTTTATTTTATTTATTTATTTTGAGAGACAGAGTCTTGCTCTGTCACCCAGGCTGGAGTGCAGTGGGGTGATCTTGGCTCACTGCAACCTCCGCCTCCTAGGTTCAAGCAATTGTCCTGCCTCAGCTTCCCAAGCAGCTGAGACTACAGGTGTGCACCACCACACTCAGTTAATTTTTGTATTTTTTAGTAGAGACGGGGTTTCACTATATGTTGGCCAGGCTGGTCTCGAACTCCTGACCTCAAGTGATCTGCCCACCTCGGCCTCCCAAAGTGCTGGGATTACAGCCATGAGCCACTGCGCCTGGCCGAAAGAAATATTTATTGATTGCCTACTAGGCACCATCATTAGCAGCTGAGAATCCTGTGGTAAAAGAATAAAAAGCAGACAAGAATCTATGCCCTTGCAAAGGTTACAGTCTGCTAAGACAAACAATAAGCTAATTAAGTAAAATAGTATATTAGAGAGTAGTATGAGAGAAAAAAACCAGGAAAAGGACAATAAAAGATATTATGGTACGATGTCAATATTTTTAGATAAGATACTCAATAAAGGCTAAGAAAATGACTCTCACCACTCCTACCCACATATCTATATACTGTAAACCAGTACCCTGCATTTCAATATATAAGATTTTTTTTAGTTACATAAATAAAACACCACAAACTTTATGTATGTCAATTCCTGTACAGCAAATATTTCTAACAAATAGGTTTTTAAAGAAAAAATTGAACTGTTTCTCAAATTCCATATAAACGCTTATGCATTTCTCATTCACTTTGCCTTAATATGGGATTACTGCATATAGGCTGCAGAAAGTTCACACTCAAGAACAGCTATGTAAAGCATGTAAAACAACAGCAATTCAAAAGGTGACTCCAAAAGCAAAGAAAAAGATATCCCACTGAACACTTCATTTTCTCTTCCATGACAAAAACATTCACTTGAGAATATATTAGTTCGAACATCAAAGTACATTTGTTGATATACATAGGCAACATCACAAACTGACTAAAAGTAAATTTTATAGTATATAAGTCAAGAACAGTACTCTCTTCCTTCTCTGAAAATAGCAAATTGTGACTTACAAATTATGCAGCTAGGTAGTACTATAAAGGCCACAATCATTATCATGCTAAGATCATGTTTTCCTAAATGCATTTCGTTTTTTTTTTTTTTTTTTTGAGACGGAGTCTCGCTCTGTCACCCAGGCTGGAGTGCAGTGGCTCAATCTCAGCTCACCGCAACCTCCGCCTCCCGGGGTTCACGCCATTCTCCTGCCTCAGCCTCCTGAATAGCTGGGACTACAGGCGCCCGACACCAGGCCCGGCTAATTTTTTGTATTTTTAGTAGAGACGGGGTTTCACCGTGTTAGCCAACATGGTGTCGATCTCCAGACCTTGTGATCCGCCCGCCTTGGCCTCCCGAAGTGCTGGGATTACAGGCGTGAGCCACTGCGCCTGGCCTCCTAAATGTATTTCTTTACAGCACTTTTGACTAGATTAATAAATTATTTGATTAACTGTTAAATGTCCAACTTCTCCCCACTAGAAGTTCCATGAGAGTAAGGTTGGTTGATTTGTTCACTGCAGTATGCTATATACCCAGGATGCAGAATAGTGCCTGATATATAACAAAAACTCCAGGAAATAAAGAATAATGAAGATGTTGAGAATGACAAATGCCAGAGAAGATAAGCTTTAGCACAGTTAGGGATTGGCTTTTGATAGGAGGAGGGCATTTACTGCAGTATACTGGAATGAAAGAGGATTAGTACAAATACTGTTACATGTACTTAGATGATGTGGTAAGAAAAATAAATAAGGGCATTCCTGCCTTATACTTTCCATTTCTCTAAGAAGCAAGGTCTTCAAAGTAAGGGTCAAAGAAGAGTGGTAAAAGTGGTAAAGTTAGCTTTTGAGGAGTACAGAGTTAGTATGAAATAGTTACTCCAAAAAGTGCTTGGTAAACTGATAACCTAGTTGACACTAGCAACATTAATGTATTCAAGAACCAATGAGGAGAAATGAGATGACTGGGTTCATAACACGAATTTTGTCAAGCATATGTGATTGAACCAAAGAGAAGTGTATTAGTCTGTTTTGGCGCTGCCGATAAAGACATGCCCGAGACTGGGTAATTTATAAAGAAAAGGAGGTTTAATGGACTTGCAGTTCCACATGGCTGGGGAGGCCTCACAATCATAGTGGAAGGCGAAAGGTACTTCTTACATGGAGGCAACAACAGAGAATCAGAAGCAAGCGAAAAGGGTTTCCCTTTATGAAACCATCAGATCTCGTAAGACTTATTCATTACCACGAGAACAGTATGTGGGAAACCACCCCCAATGATTCAATTATCTTCCACTGGATCTCTCCCACAACATGTGGGAATTGTGGGAGTTACAATTCAAGATGAGATTTGGGTGGGGACATAGCCAAACCATATCAAGAGGCTAGAAAGTTAAAGAATTTCCCATGGAGTCTAAGCTAAAAAAGGAGAAAGGTAAGACAGAAGACACAGGACCAGATGTTTAAAAACAACATGGAAGGGCCAGGCGCGGTGGCTCATGCCAATAATCCCAGCACTTTAGGAGGCCGAGGCAGCCGGATTGCTTGAGCTCAGGAGTTTGTCATCAGTCTGGGCAACATGGCAAGAACCTGTCTCTATTAAAAACACAAAAAAGGCCGGGCATGGTGGCTCACATCTGTAATCCCAGCACTTTGGAAGGCAGAGGTGGGCAGATCACAAGGTCAGGAGTTTGAGACCAGCCTGGCCAATATGGTGAAACCCCGTCTCTAGTAAAAATACAAAAATTAGCCAGGTGTGGTGGTGCGCATGTGTAGTCCCAGCTATTCGGGAGGCTGAGGCAGGAGAATCGCTTGAACCCAGGAGGCAGAGGTTGTAGTAAGCCAAGATTGAGCCACTGCACTCTAGCCTGGGCGACAGAGCAAGACTCCGTCTCAAAAAAAAAAAAAAAAGCCCAGGCACAGTGGCTCACGCCTGTAATCCCAGCACTTTGAGAGGCAGAGGCGGGTGGATCACGAGGTCAGGAGATCGAGACCATCCTGGCTAGCACAGTGAAACCCTGTCTCTACTAAAAATACAAAAAATTAGCCAGGCGTGGTGGCAGGTGCCTGCAGTCCCATCTACATGGGAGGCTGAGGCAGGAGAATGGCGTGAACCTGGGAGGCGGAGCTTGCAGTGAGCCGAGATTGTGCCACTGCATTCCAGCCTGGGTGACAGAGTGAGACTCTGTCTCAAAAAAAAAAAAAAAAAAAAAAAAAGGCATAGTGGTGCACACCTGTAGTTCCAGCTACTCAGGAGGCTGAGGTGGGAGAATCGCTTGAGCCTGGGGGGATGGAGGCTGCAGTGAGTCAAGATCACACCACTGCACTCCAGCCTGGGTGACAGAGTGAAACCCTGTCTTAAAAAAAAAAAAATTAGAAGAAAAATTATTTTTAAAAAATGAAAAAATAAAATAAAAATAACATGGAGGAATTAATGGGTTGAAGGTTTTGATGTGAACCACCGGAGTAGAAACTATTATAGTAAAAGTACCTGAATAAAAAAATTGGAAGGATACAAGACTGTGGTCTGAGAAGAGAATACATGATTTTCAGAGAAGGTCTGAGATTATGGAAACGAAAAGTACAGGAGGCTAGCAGATTGTCTATGTGAACATTATAGTTGTCTAAAATGCTGACAGGTTATAATGAAGAGGACTACTATGAAAAGAAGTGCTAAAGTATTCAAAGAAAGAAATAAAACAATCAATGTTGTTCTCAATGGTAAATGGTAATAATCACAAAAGAATAGAGCTTTTGGCCAGGCATGCTGGCTCATCCCTGTAATCCCAGCACTTTGAGAGGCTGAGGCAGGAGGATCTCCTGAGCCTGAGTACAAGACTTAGGCAAGATGGCAAAAACCCATCTGTACAAAAAAAATTTTTTTTAATTAGCTGGGAGTGGTGGCGTGTACCTGTAGTCCCAGCTACTTAGGAGGCTGAGGCAGGAGAAACCCATTAGCTCAAGAATTCAAGGTGACAATGAGCTATGATCATGCCACTGCACTCCAGCCTGGGCGACAAAGCAATACTCTATCTCTTGGAAAAAAAAAAAAAGAACTTTTTTTTCCCCCAAAAAAGAATGGAGTCACCATCCATAGGGATTATGATTCTCACTTTACAGATGTGAAAATATGGATTCTGAAAAATTTAATAATTGATCCAAACCCATCCAACTACTAAATGGTAGAACTAAGACATAAATAAAGGTGCTTCCAACTCTAAGGCTCATTACATAGCTTTCCTAAAAAAGAAATGCCCATGTTTTTGTTTTTCAGGAAGATTCAATTCAGAAGCCATATTCCTGAAATAAATACTTCAAATGTGGAAAAATACATACTAAGAGGATTTAGATTTTAAGATTACCCTAAAAAGGTTTCTGAAAAATAAAAATGGTTTAATAATCAAGACAGCAGCAGTTAATGAGTGACAGCCTTAATCAGATTAACATTTGCTATATTACAAAGACAAAGCAATTGAAATCAAGTTTTTTTCTTTAATCTATAGAATGACAAATGAAATCAAGTTTTTATGCTAACTACAATACATATAAAATGGATAAGTAAATTAAGAGTAACTTGTTTTCTTTTTTTAACTTAAAATTTTTTTAATTCATTTAACAAGGCAGTTTAAATCTATGCTCCCCAATTGTTTCACAAAAACATTTCATAACTGAAAAGTAGTGGTAATAAAAAAAATTTTAAAGAGTTAACATGGTAAAGATTTACAGTGTGCTTAGTGTCTCAAAGTACTTGCTCTTAAGATTACTAATTTATTCCTTTTAGTTTGTTCTTTGATTTTTGGTATTGAAACTGTGTAGGTTGTGAGGGCAGACATCCTTACTTGTTCCTGATCTTAGAAAGCGTTCAGCCTTTCACATTAAGTATATAAGATGTGGCATTTTTATGGATGCTCATTACCATTTTGAAGTTTCCTTCTATTCCTAGCTTGTTGTTGTATGTTTTTATCATGAAACGCTGCTGGATTTTGTCAAATGCTTTTTATGTGTACATTCAAATGATCATGTGATTTTGTCCTTTATTTTATTCAAATAATGTATTATGTTTATTGCTTTTTGTATATTCCACTTGTTAAATGACACATAGGTCAGGTGTGGTGGCTCATGCCTGTAATCCCAGCACTTTGGAAAGCCGAGGTGAAAGGGTTGCTTGGGCCCAGGAGTTCAATACCAGCCTGGGCAACATAGCAAATCTGTCTTTGTTTAAATAATAATAATAATAATAATAATAATAATAATAATAAATGAAATAAAAATAATAGTGTATATCTTTTTTAACATGTTGCTGGATTCAGTTTGGTTGTATTTTATTGACAATTTTTGTGTCTATATTCATAGGGGATATTGGTCTGTAGTTTAATTTTGATATCTCTGTCTGGGTTGAATATTAGAGTAACTGACCTCACAGAATGAGGTGGGTCCTCTTCTATTTTTCAGAAGAGTTTTACAAAGTATTGGTGTTGTTCTCTAAATGTTTCATAGAATTGACCAATGAAATTATCTGATGCTGGGATTTTCTATGTGGGCAGTTTTTTTTATTACTAATTCTCTCTACTTATTAGATATATATTCCGATTTTCTATTTCTTCTTGAGATAGTTTTAGTAAACTGTGTCTTTCTTGGAATTTGTCCATTTTACCTGTCATCTAATTAGTTAGCATTTAATTGTTCACACCATTCCATTATAACCCTTTTGATTTTATTTTATTTTTGAGATGGAGTCTCACTCTGTCACCCAGGCTGGAATGCAGTGGTATGATCTCAGCTCATTGCAACCTCCGCCTCCTGGGTTCAAGCGATTCTCCTGGCTCAGCCACCCAAGTAGCTGGGATTACAGGCGCCCACCATTATGCCTGGCTAATTTTTGTATTCTTAGTAGAGATGGAGTTTTGCCATATTGGCCAAGCTGGTCTTGTACTCCTGACCTCAGGTGATCCACCCACCTCAGCCTCCCAAAGTGCTGGGATTACAGGCATGAGCCACTGCGCCCAGTCAACCCTTTTTATTTCTGTATGGTTGGTGGTAATATTCCCTCTTTTCTGATTTCAGAACTTGAGTCTTCTTTTTTTTCTTGGTCAGTCTAGCTAAAGTTAGTCAATTTTTTTATCTTTTCAAAGAACTGCTTTTGGTTTCATTGATTTCCTCCATTGTTTTTCTGCTCTCTCTTTCATATATTTCTGCTTTAACCTTTATTAACTTCTGTATTAAGCATGTCTTTTTACTTTCTATAGTTTTGATGTTTTGACATCAGGGTCCTTGCTGACACTGGAGGGACTGCCCCTGCCAGGATTAGCTTTTTCATTAGAGATAGTAAACTCACCTTTGAGTACTCCTTTCATAGGCAAACCAACCAATCCAAAGCCAATACCCCAGCACCTCCTCTATGACACTGAGGGCCAATACTACACTGCCCTAATCACCCGGGCCAGGTACTAGACAACCAGGAACAGCCCCTCAACCCCAGAACCCCTGAAATTATCCGAACTAGCTAATCCTAAACCTGCTTACCCTGTCTTGTGTGCCTCTTCCCTGAAAACCACAATCAAGGCTTTTGTCCACATTTCCCCAGCCACCTGCCTTTTAACTGACCCAGTGCTTCCCCATGTGGCCCCCTCTGGCATGGCATGCCCTCTTCTCTTGGGATCTGTGAGTATAACAAACTATCTTTTCAATGGCAATCATCTCCTGATCTATTGGCCTCACCATACAGGAATAATGATAAAACCTAAATTTTAAAATAGCTTCTTCCTTCTGTCGCTTTGGGTTTAGTTTTCTTCCAGTTTCTTAAAGTAGAATGTTAGGCTATTTATTTAGTATCTCTTTTCTTTTTTGTATAGCACTGCTTTAGTTGTATACCATAAGTTTTGGTGTGCTGTGTTTTCTTTTTTATTGATCTCAAAGCATTTTCTAATTTCTCTTGTGATTTCATCTTTGACATTAATTATTTAGGAGTGTATTATTTAATTTTCACATATTTGTGAATGTGCCAAATATCCTTCTGTTAATGATTTCTAATTTCATTATTCATTTATTCTTAATTTCAAATGTAGATAAAAAATGTCACAGAATCCTAGGCTTGGACAAAATCTATAGAGAATATCCACCATTACTTCTAATGCCATCCTAGATGATATTGGAGATATATTTCAACAGACTTTGGAAGAGACAAAAGAAATCAAATGATAAAAGTTTATCCTAGGACTGGACAAAATCATTTACACATTGTATTTATACAGCATTTTACAGATTATAGAAAGTACTTTTACATCCACAACTGCAAGTAAATAATTTTTTAAAAATATCTTGAATATTACTTGTAACAAAAAATAGACAACAAATAAATTGGCAAAAACAAAATACCTGATAGGTGTTGTCAAAACTGTCATACATGAATCTGGTGATCAAAGATGTCTTTCCAACTGAAATGAAACGAAAAAAAGATTTGCTCAGTGAACACATTACATTGGGTTCTCAGAAAATTTTTCTACAGAGAACTGCAATTAAAGTCAATGGGAAATACCTGCAATGGTTCTACTAAGAATAATTAAAACCCATATAGCCCCAAGATTGTCAAAATGACTTTCTCCAAACACAGACAACCATCTCCCAATTTAAAAGCACAGGTAAACAGTCTATAGTTAAAAGTTGAAAACATTCTGTTATTATATACTGACATTCCTAATTCACAAAAGGCCAAGTAAACACTTACTTGGCCCTAACAAAAAGAATTAATGGAGGCTTAGGTCCACTTCATCTAGCAAATCAAAGTATAATCCCTGGGAGTAGAAAGGCAAAAGATAGTCTTAGAAGGGGTATGAGGGCTACAAGAACTACACTGTTTTAAGAGTGAGAAAAACTGGCCAGGTGCGATGGTTCACGCCTGTAATCCCAGCACCTTGGGAGGCCAACGTGGGTGGATCACGAGGTCAAGAGATCGAGACCATCCTGGCCAACATGGTGAAATCGTGTCTCTACTAAAAATACAAAACTTAGCTGGGCAGGGTGGTTGCACGCCTGTAGTCCCAGCTACTCGGAAGGCTGAGGCAGGAGAATAACTTGAACCTAGGAGATGGAGGTTGCAGTGAGCCGAGATCACACCACTGTACTCCAGCCTGGCAACAGAGACTCCGTCTCAAAAAAAAAAAAAAAGTGAGAAAAACTGACAAGAAAAGCTGTTTTAAAATTCATTTCAAAACCAGATAGAACTCTCTACTTCTCTGGCAAAGAATTACCAAAGATCCATAACTTCACTTTGTATTGTGAGATAGATAGATAGATATTATATATATATATATATATATATATATATATATATATATATATATATACACACACACACACATATTTTCTTTTTTTTTTAGACAGTCTCGCTCTGTTGCCAGGCTGGAGTACAGCGGGAAGATCTCGGCTCACTGCAACCTCCGCCTCCCGGGTTCAACCGATTCTCCTGCCTCAGCCTCCCAAATAGCTGGGACTACAGGTGCACGCCACCATGCCGAGCTAATTTTTTGTTATTTTTAGTAGAGATGGGGTTTCATCATGGCCAGGATGGTCTTGATCTCTTGACCCTGTGATTCGCCCGCCTCGGCCTCCCAAAGTGCTGAGATTATAGGCGTGCACCACTGTGTCTGGACTGTATTGATATTTTTAGGTTAATCCATATGAAAGTGTCATGAGGTCAAAAGTAGTGGAATGCTGGCAATTTCTTTACCAATAAGCACATTCTCCAAGGGCAAAAACCATATCTGATTATTTTTCTATTTTGCCAGTGGCTTGACACAGACTCAAAATACAAAATGAATGCAAAAAAAACCTTATCAATTAGAAAGGAACTGGGTAAATCAACATCTCCAATACTCCCAAAATGTACTTTTTGGGAGGATAAGAACCATACCTAAAAGGCCGGGTGCGGTGGCTCACGCCTGTAATCCCAGCACTTTGGGAGGCCGAGGCGGGCGGATCACGAGGTCAGGAGATTGAGACCATCCTGGCTAACATGGTGAAACTCCATCTCTACTAAAAATACAAAAAATTAGCCAGGCGTGGTGGCGGGCACCTGTAGTCTCAGCTACTTGGGACGCTGAGGCAGGAGAATGGCGTGAACCCGGGAGGCAGAGCTTGCAGTGAGTCGAGACTGCGCCACCGCGCTCCAGACTGGGTGACAGAGCGAGACTCTGTCTCAAAAAATATATATAAATAAATAAATCAGCCGGGCGTGGGGGAGTGCGCCTTGTAAACCCAGCTACTTGGGAGGCTCAGGCAACAGAATCGCTTGAATCTGGGAGGCAGAGATTGCAGTGAGCTGAGAGTGCACCACTGTACTACAGTCTGGGCGACACAGTGAGACTCTGTCTCAAAGCAAACAAACAAACAGATCTGTTCAGGCAGCTATCCTTTCTCCTCAGTGATTTTCTTTTTTTTCCCCCGAGACGATGTCTTGCTCTGTCACCCAGGCTGGAGTGCAGTGACGCGATCTCGGCTCACTGCAACGTCCACCTCCTGGGTTCAAGCAATTCTCCTGTCTCAGCCTCCCGAGTATCTGAGATTACAGGCGTGTGCCACCATGCCTGGCTAATTTTTTTACTTTTAGTAGAGACAGGGTTTCACTATGTTCGCCTGGCTGGTCTCAAACTCCTGACCTCATGATCCGCCTGCCTTGACCTCCCAAAGTGCTGGGATTACAAGCATGAGCGTCCACATCTGGCCTCAATTATTTTCTTCATGGCATCTGGAAACTTGTCTTGGTTGGCAGAAGCTGCTTCTGCTGTTACATTGATTTTTTTGTTGTTGTTGTTTTAAGCCAAGTCTTTCAAAAATCATCAAGCCATCCCTTGCTGGAATTAATTCTCCAGCTGTATTTTAGGCCAGGCGCGGTGGCTCACAGCTGTAATCCCAACACTTTGGGAGGCTGAGGCAGGCAGATCACCTGAAGTCAGGAGTTTGAGATCAGCCTGGCCAACATGGCAAAACCTCATTTCTACTAAAAATACAAGAATTAGCCGGGTGTGGTGATGCGCGCCTGTAATCCCAGCTACGCAGGAGACTGAGGCAGGAGAATCGTTTGAACCCAGGAGGTGGAGGTTACAGTGAGCCGAGATCATGCCACTGCACTCCAGCCTGGGCGACAGGGTGTGAGACACCATCTCAAAAAAAAAAAAATAAATAAATAAAAATAAATAAATAAATAAAGAGAATGGACAAATTGTGGCATAGTCATAAAATGAAATATTACAATGACAAAATATCCTAACATGTAAAATTGTATGAACAAATTTCAGACACTACATAGAGTGAAAGAGACCAGATACAAAAGAATATATACTCTGTAATTCTATTTATATGACGTTCAAAACTGGTAGAATTAATGCTGATAGAAGTCAAGAAAAGTTGTAAGGGGTTTCTAACTGAGAAAGGGAGCCAAGGAATCTTCTAAGTGCTGGTATTAATCATTACAAAGGTGAATAAAAAAGTAAAATTTCCAACAAGCCATATATTTAAGATTTGTCTACTTTGTGCCCTTTACTGGATGTTATACTTTAAAATAAAATCTTTTTCTCAAAGAGTAAAACACTTTACTATATATGTATCATTCCCAATAAAAAGTGTATATATGTATGTGGCTATCAAGAACCCCTGATATACTGTGACAAGAAGGGCACTTCACCTTGTGAAGTGAAAAAAACTCCAGTTTAATAACGGAGAAGAATTTACCCAGTTTATCAAGTTTTTGTTTGTTTTTGAGACGGGGTCTCACTCTGTCGCCCAGGCTGGAGTGCAGTGACACGATATCAGCTCACTGCAACCTTCACCTCCTGGGGTCAAGCGATTCTCCTGCCTCAGCCTCCTGGGTAGCTGAGATTACAGGCGCCCGCCACCACGCCCAGCTAGTTTTTGTATTTTTAGTAGAGACAGAGTTTCACCATGTTGGCCAGGCTGGTCTCAAACTCCTGACCTCAGGTGATATACCTGCCTCAGCCCCCCAAAGAGCTGGGATTACAGGCTTCAGCCACCGCACCTGGCCAGTTTATCCAGTTTAATAGTGAGAAAAAAAAATGGCAAACCCAAATTGGAGATAAATCTACAGTAGCAGTCACCAATCTTTTTGGCACCAGGGACCAGTTTCATGGAAGACAGTTTTTCTGTGGGAGTTGGGGAGGAGGAACGGTGGATGGTTTCAGGATGAAACTGTTCTACCTCAGATCATCAGGCATTAGATTCTCATAAGGAGCATGCAACCTAGATCCCTCACATGCACAGTTCACTATAGGGTTCTCGCTCCTATGAGAATCTAATGCCAGCACTGATCTGACAGGAGGTGGAGCTCAGGCCCACTGCTTACCTCCTGCCGTGAGGCCTGGTTCCTAACAGGAGTAATCTAAAATCTAGGAGAAAAAAAACTAAAGGAGAGTGTCTCTCAGTAAAAGTAGGTAGGAACAAGACAACTACAAGTTGAGTATCTCTTAACCAAAATGCTCAGAACCATAAATATTTCAGATTTTAGAAAATTTGCATTATACTTGAGCATCCTTAATCCAAAAGCCTGAAATGAGAAATGCTCCAATGAGCATTTCCTTTGAAAGTCATGTTTAAATATAAAATTTTGATGCATGTATTTGTAAATCATCTCTTAATAACTACATTTGCATTCACTATGCTGCCTCAATGCAATCTCCAGAAACAAAATAGAAATTCTAGCACAATTTCAACATTTATAATAACATTCCTAAAATCACACCATCTGCACCATGCTAATTACACACTCTTGCAATTCTGTGAAGGCCAGACACAACAATGATCTCAGTAGGATTCACATTCCATTTGACTGTATTAACAACCACTGGCAAACAACTTGGGTATAAATTCTAATTCAAATGATAGGGCTCAATCTTTGAAACTTTTGTAGCCCAGGGCAAATATAATAGAAAAATGATCCTACTCACTTATATTTCTTCCTTTTAATGAGAACATACTAAATGCCAGGGACTGAAAAATGCTGGGGATATAAAAACAATCAGAACATAGTACTTGCTAAGGTTAAGTCAGAGAGACAAAAAGTTACTGCAGAGTGATAAAAAGTACAAGAGCATGTTGTGAATGGGGGCAGTCTTCTATTATAAGGCTAGAAGGTAAAGAAAAACTTTCCAGAGAAAAATAACTTTAAACATGAGGTCTGAAGGAGACTTTAGCTAGAAGAAAAAGAAGGTATCTCAGGCCTTTAACAAGGACCATGAGTATTAGAGAGCTAACTTAGGAAGCTTTATTTATTTTTCCAATCTTATTTGGAAAGAAATAAATTTAAATACGTAACTCTACTTATATACGAGATTACCTAAATTCTTCAACAATAAATCAGACAAGTAAATCTGTAATAACCCATATGCAGGACATAATCTTGAAGTTACAGGCCCTCTTACAGGATTTTGCTGCTAATATCAAACCTATCCCAACCTCAAAAGTCTATTTGAGAGAATAAGCAGTATTTGAGGAGGCAGTTTCTGGAATCCCAACCTTGCCTTAAAAAAAAAAAAAAAAAAGAGAGAGAGAGACAGAGAGAGATAAATCACATACCATACAATTCACCTACTTTTTTTTTTTTGGAAACAGAGTGCAGTGGCATGATCGTGGCTCACCATGGCCTCAACCTCCTGGGTTGAAATAATCCTCTGACCTTAGCCTCCAGAGTAGCAGACGATACAGGTGGAAAGTGCTGGGATTACAGATATGAGAAATTCACCGTTTTAAGGCCAGGTGCGGTGGCTCATGGCTGTAATCTCAGCACTTTGAGAGGCCAAGGCGGGCAGATGACTTGAGGTCAGGAGTTTCAGATCAGCCTGGCCAACATGGTGAAACCCCATCTCTACTAAAAATACAAAAATCAGCCGGGTGTGGTGGCAGAGACCCACAATCTGAGCTACTTGGGAGGCTGAGGCAGGGAAATCACTTGAACCCGGGAGGCGGAGGTTGCAGTGAGCCGAGATTGTGCCACTGCACTCCAGCCTGGGCAACAGAGAAAGACTCTGTCTCCAAAAAAAAAAGAAAAAGAAATTCACCAGTGAAAGTAATTCTAGATGAAGGTATCTCCTAATTGAAAACAAGTACAGTTGGCCAGGCGCGGTGTGGCTCACGCCTGTAATCCCAGCACTTTGGGAGGCCAAGGTGGGTAGATCACCTGAGGTCAGGAGTTTGAGACCAGCCTGGCCAGCATGGTGAAATTCTGTCTGTACTAAAAATGCAAAAATTAGCCAGGCATTGTGGCTCATGCCTGTAATCCCAGCTACTCCGGAGGCTGAGGCAGGACAATCACTTAATCCTGGGAGGCAAAGGTTACAGTGAGCCAAGACTGTGCCACTGCACTCCAGCCTGTGCAACACAGTGAGACTTCATCTCGAGAAAGAAAAAAAAAAGAAAAAAAAAAAAAAAAACAATTAGCCAGGCATGGTGGTACATACTGTTGTCCCAGACACTTGAGAGGCTAAGGTGGGAGGATTGCTTGAGCCCAGGAGGTCAAAGCTACAATGAACCGTGATCATGCCACTGCAGTCCAGCCTGGGTGACACAGCGAGACACTGTCTCAAAAAAAAAAAAAAAAAAAAGAAGAAAGAAAGAAAACAAGTGCTGGGACACAAAGCAAGTCTCAACAAATTTCAAATGTTTGAAATCATATAGAACGTATTATCTGCCCTCAGTGAAACTGAACAAGAAATTTACAACTAAAAGATATCCAGAAAATGTTGAAATGTTTGGAAATAACATAATGTACTTCTAACCCAGAGGTTCAAGAAGAACTCACAATGGAAATTTAGGCTTGGTGTGTTGGCTCGTGTATGTAATCCCATCACTTTGGGAGGCTGAGGAGGATCGAGTGAATACAGGAGTTCGAGATCAGCCTGGGCAAATAAGCGAGACCCTATCTCTACAAAAAATTTAAAATTTACTAGAGTGTGGTGGCATGCACCTGTAGTCCCCTACTTGGCAGGCCGAAGCAGAAGGATTGCTTGAACCTAGGAGTTTGAGGCTGCAGTGAGCTATGATCACACCACTGCACTCCAGCCTGGGTGACAGAGCAAGACCCTGTTTCTAAAACTCATCATCATTTGAGCTAAATGATAATGAAATCATTATAACATATGGCAAGCACTACCCATAAGAGCCAAAGTGCAGAAACAAGCCAAATGTCCATCAACTAATAAACAAAACGTGGTACACAGATACAATGGGATGAAGTATTGATAATATGCTTCAAAACAAATGAACCTTGAAAACACTACACTAACTGAAAGAGATCAGTCACTAAAGACCACATATTATTGCCGGGCATGGTGACTCACGCCTGTAATCCCAGCACTTTGGGAGGCCAAGGCGGGTGGATCATGAGGTCAGGAGTTCAAGACCAGCCTGGCCAACATGGTGAAACCCCGTCTCTACTTAAAAAAAATACAAAAATTAGCTGGGCGTGGTGGTGGGCGCCTGTAATCCCAGCTACTCGGGAGGCTGAGGCAAAGAATTGCTTGAACCCGGGAGGCGGAGGTTGCAGTGAGCCGAGATCACACCATGCACTCCAGCCTGGGCAACAGAGGGAGACTCCATCTCAAAAAAAAAAAAAAAAAAGACCACATGTTATTAATATATACTAAAAACCACTAAACTGTATACTTGATACAAGTAAATTATATGATATGTAAACTTTAGCTCCATAAAGTTGTTATAAAAATTTATGCAGGTGATGGTTGTACTAAATGTGAATGTTATTTTTTATTTATTTTTTACTTATTTATTTATTTTTAATAGAGACAAGGTCTCACTAAGTTGCCCAAGCTGGTTTTGAACTCCTGAGCTCAAGCAATCCTCCCACCACGGCCTCCCAAAGTACCAGGATTATGGTCGTGAGGCACCATGCCTAGCCGGTACTACAATGTGAATGTTCTTAATGCCACTGAACTACACACTTAAAAATGGCTAAAATGGTCAGGGACAGTGGCTCTTGCCTGTAATCCCAGATACTCGGGAAGCTGAAACTGGAGGATGCTTGAGGCAAGGAGTCCAAGGCTAGCCGGGCAACAAAGCAAAACTCCATCTCCAAAAACATTTAAAAAGAAATTTAGCCAAGCACAGTGGAGTAGACCTGTAGCCCCAGCTACTTGGGAGGTTGAGGCAGGAAGATTCAAGCCCAGGAGTTTGCAACTACTATAAACTGTGATAGTGCCACTGCACTCCAGCCCTGGCAACAGGGTAAGATCCTGTCTCAAAGTAAAAAATAAAATAAATATCCAATATTGAGGCCAGGAGCGGTCGCACTTTGGTAGGCCGAGGCAGGCAGATCACTTGAGGTCAGGAGTTTGAGGCCAGCCTGGGCAACATGGCAAAACCCCGTCTCTACTAAAAATACAAAAATTACCCAGCATAGTGGCACACACCTGTAGTCCCAGTTACTTGAGAGGCTGAGCCCAGATGATTGCTTGAGCCTGGGAGTCGGAGGCTGCAGTGAGCCAAGACTGCGCCACTGCACTCCAGCTTGGGCAACAGAGTGAGACTCCTGTCTCAAAAAACAAAACTAAACTAAACTAAACTAAACTAATATTGGGGCTGGGCACAGTGGCTCATGCCTGTAATCCCAGCACTTTGGGAGGCTGAGGTGGGCAGATCACTTGAGGTCAGGAGTTCAAGATCAGCCTGGCCAACGTGGTGAAATCCTATCTCTACTAAAAATACAAAAATTAGGCAGGTCTAGTACTCAGGATGCTGAGGCACAAGAATCGCTTGAACCTGGGAAGTGGAGGCTGCAGGGAGCCAAGATCACAGCACTGCACTCTGGCCTGGGAGACAGAGCAAGACTGCAAAAAAAAAATAGTAATAATAATTAAAAAAAAAAAAAAAAAAAAAATATATATATATATATATATAAATACTGGAACACCAAAGATAACTAAAAAGTAAACTAAAAAATTTTTTAAGAGATGGGGTGTCACTATATTGCCCAGGTTGGTCTCGAACTCCTGGGCTCAAGTGATCTTCCCGCCTCAGCCTCCCAAATGCTGGGATGAGTCATGAGCCACCAGTGCACTCAGCCTGATTTTTTATTTTTTATTTTTTTGAATCAGGGTCTTGTTCTGTCTCAGGCTGGAGTGCAGTGACACCAATCATGGCTCACTGCAGTGCCAAGTCCTTGGGCTCAAGAAATCCTGCCACCTCTAAGGTTGATTATTAAAAGTTAGATAAACTAATTATTGGGGCCTCAAGAAAACCGAGGGATATTAATTTAAAAGATAAGTTTTATAAGTGGCAAAGTAAGTCCTCACATAATATACTCTTGAAGGATACCTAGGATTCACACAATCTAAGACTGGTATTTGCATAAAAAAGAGAAGCCTCAGGCCGGGCCCGGTGGCTCATGCCTGTAATCCCAGCACTTTGGGAGGCCCGGGCGGGCAGATCACAAAGTCAGGAGATGGAGACCACCACCCTGGCTAACACAGTGAAACCCCATCTCTACTAAAAATACAAAAAATTAGCTGGGCTTGGTGGCACACACCTGTAGTCCCAGCTACTCAGGAGACTGAGGCAGGAGAATCGCTTGAACCTGGGAGGCAGAGGTTGCAGTGAGCCGAGACTGCGCCACTGCAGTCCAGCCTGGGCAACAGAGCAAGACTCTGTCTCAAAAAAAAGAAAAAAAAAAAAAAGAGAGGACTCAATTAGTCTACAATCTATAACTATGATAAATTCTGACCTGCTTCATAATTCTTGGTCAATAACATTGGCCAGATAGTATTGAACTAGACCAATTAGATATTTATATTTTTTACTTTTTCCCACAAAAAAACACTATAAAAAATTAATCCGCTATGATAATGGTAGCTTAAATCATATGCTATGATTGTAGTAACAAAGCCAAGCAAAAGACACTATCTAGTCATTGTTCCATCCTGGTAACAAAGACAGTTGAGAAAAGTACCTAGGGATCACAACAGAAAAGCTCAGCTGCAAGCAAACCTCACTGCAATATCATATCCAAGGGCGTCTCACCTAGGTGATGCAATTCTAGAGGAAAACAAAATCAAATAAACCAAGCTAATGCTACTTCAGTGTAACTTACCTAGTCAATAAAACTAAAGTTTAAAAATCTAGTAGCCTTTCTCTAAAAGACCTAAATTGAATCAAGATTTTTTGTTTCTCCTAAAGTTAATTTAAAAAAAAAAAAACTAGCTGGCCAGGAGCAGCGGCTCACGCCGGTAATCCCAGCACTTTGGGAGGCCAAGGCAGGCGGATCACCTGAGGTCAGGAGTTTGAGACTAACCTGGCCAACATGGTGAAACCCCGTCTCTACTAAAAATACAAAATTGGCCAGGCGTGATGGCATGCGCCTGTAATCCAGCTACTCGGGGGGGCTGAGGCAGGACAATCGCTTAAACCTGGGAGGCAGAGGTTGCAGTGAGCCGAGATCACGCCAGTGCACTCCAGCCTGGGCAACAGAGTGAGACTCTGTCTTTAAAAAAAAGAAAAAAAAAAACTACACTACACCTGTACAGTCGTATTTAAAAATGGAGAGAATGAATGTGGTTGTATAGAAAATTTGTTAAAATAAGTAATTTCACATCTATGGCTCAAAAGTTGTTTTTAATAAAAGTGGTTTCTCCACAATAATATTTATTAGATCTACAGTATGAGTTTCCAGCATGATGAAATAGAGACATCCAAAGTAAAAACAAAAAATATTTACCTGACAAAACAAAATATACTCCTTCCCCCCACCCCCCCAACAGAGTCTTGCTCTGTCGCCCAGGCTGGAATGCGGTGGCGCAATCTCGGCTCACTGCAAGCTCCACCTCCCGGGTTCACGCCATTCTCCTGCCTCAGCCTCCCAATCAGCTGGGATTACAGGTGCATGCCACCACGCCTGGCTAATTTTTTGTATTTTTAGTAGAGACGGGGTTTCACCATGTTGGCCAGGCTGGTCTTGAACTCCTGACCTAAGGTGATCCACCCACCTCGGCCTCCCAAAGTGCTAAGATTATAGGCGTGAGCCACCGTGCCTGGCCCAAAATATACTCTTACCATATGATCCAGCGACCATGCTCCTTGGTATTTACCCAAAAGAGCTGAAAACATGTCCACACAAAAATCTGCACAAGAAAAAAAAAAAGGACGTACATGTATGTTTACAGCTGCTTTTTATTAGTAACTGGCAAAACTTGAAAGCAACCAAAATGTCCTTCAGTAGGTGAATGGATACACAAACTGTGGTATATCCACACAATTGAGTATTATTCAGCACCAAAAAGAAATAAGCTATCAAATCATAGAAAGACATGCCAGAACCTAATGTGAACTATTAAATGAAAATATCTTATCTCGAAAGGAATGCATACATGATCCAACTACATAATATTCTGGAAAAGACAAAAAGAAATAAAAAATTAAAACAAAATGAAATGAAATTTTTTAAGATTTAATTTTTTAGATCAGTTTTAGGTTCACAGCAAAATTGAGAGGCACTTACTGATATTTCCTATATATCTCCTGCCTCCAGGAGACATATAGGGACAAGAAGGGAATGTGATTTAAAAAGAAAAACAAAATTAAAAAAGAAAAAATAAAATAGGCTGGGCATGGTGGCTCACGCCTGTAATTCCAGCACGTTGGGAGGCTGAGGCAGGTGGATTACTTGAGGTCAGAGGTTCACGACCAGCCTGGTCAATATGGTGAAACCCTGTCTCTACTAAAAATACAAAAATTAGCTGGGTGTGGTGGTGGGCACCTGTAACCCCAGCTACTTGGGAGGCTGAGGCAGGAGAATTGCTTGAACCCAGGAGGCAGAGGTTGCAGTGAGCTGAGATTGTGCCACTGCACTCCAGCCTGGGCGACAGAGCGAGACTCTGTCTCAAAAATAAATAAATAAATAAATAATAATAAAACAAAATAGAAACAGGGTCTGGCTATGGCTGCCCAGCCTTGTCTCAAACTCCTGGATTCAAGTGATCCTCTCGCCTAAGCTTCCCAAAGTGCTGGGATTACAGGCGTGATCCACCACACGCAGACAAAAAAACTTGTTTAACTACATAAAAGCTGCAGATAAGAAAGATACATAATGGTAAAGACAGACTACTGATTACTCTTATCAAAGAAAAATGGGCCAGGCGTGGTGGCTCACGCCTGTAATCCCAACACACTGGGAGGCTGAGGCAGGTGGATCACCTGAGGTCAGGAGTTCAAGACCAGCCTGACCAACACGGAGAAACCCCGTCGCTACTAAAAATACAAAATTAGCTGGGCGTGGTAGCACATGCCTATAATCCCAGTACTTGGGAGGCTGAGGCAGGAGAATCGCTTGAACTCGGGAGATGGAGGTTGCAGTGAATCGAGATTGCCCCATTGACTCCAGCCTGGGCAACAAGAATGAAAATCTGTCTCAAAAAAAAAAAGTAAACAAATACATCAATGCTCAAATGGCTATTTCTCACTTCATTCCAAAACTATTAAATGCTAGGAAATAAGGAGGTTGGGGGATAAGAATGCAAAAACAAATACGAGTAAAGCCCTGACCTGAAAGGAGCTTACAATCCACTGAAGAAAACAAATATGCACACATACAAGAGAGTGAACAAGATAAGAAAGCACTGTAAGGCCAAGCACGGTGGCTCACGCCTGTAATCCCAGCACTTTGGGAGGCCAAGACGGGCAGATCACTCGAGTTTGAGACCAGCCTGGGCAGCATAGTGAAACCCCATCTCTACTAAAAATACACACACAAAAAAAATTAGCCAGATCTTGTGGTGGGCACCTGTAATCCCAGCTACTCCAGAGGCTGAGGCAGGAGAACTACTTGAACCTGGGAGGCGGAGGTTGCAATGACCCAAGATTGCGCCACCGCACTCCAGCCTGATCAACAGAGCGAAACTCTGTCTCAAAAAAAAAAAAAAAAAGAGAAAAAAGAAAGAAAGCACTGTCAGTGTCCAACCTCCATACTAGCAGAGGTATCCTTCTTCAATTTATAAAACATTGCAGGGGTCCCCAGTATCCGTAAGATAATGTTAAACTTTTAGCAGGTCATCAAGGACCTTTATGTCAAACTTGAGTTTGAAGCCAGGTGTGGTGGTGTGTGCCTGTAGTCCCAACTACTCAAGAGTATCAGGTGGGAGGATCACTTGAGCCCAGGAGACTGAGGCTTCAGTGAGACAGGATCACTGCAGCCTGGGCAATATGGCGAGATCCTGTCTCAGAAAAAAACCACCAACCAAAAAAAAACACTTAATTCTGAGCCTAGCCTCCAGTCTCATCTCACACCTTTAACAAACATAAACCTCATCTGCCAATTACAGAAGGCTATTCATTATTCTCCAAGCATACTATGTACTTTAGAGGCTCTGAACCCTTGCTCACATAACACAATTTTGTGAAACTTTTCTTTCCTGGTTACATTATTAGCTCATAAAATTGATATCAGATATGGTTCTGCCTGAAGGAAAAAAAACTAAATTATCTTTCTAAATTACTTTCAGCCTAAGATTGCATCTCTCTAAGAATTTTAGATCAGCCAGGTGCCATGGCTCATGCCTGCAATCCCAGCATTTTGAGAGGCTGAGGCAGGGATCACTTGAGCCCAAAAGTTCAACATGGACAACATGGCAAGACCCTATCTCTACAAAAAATTTTAAACTGGACGGGCGCAGTGGCTCACGCCTGTAATTTCAGCACTTTGGGAGGCTGAGGCGGGTGGATCACGAGGTCAAGAGATGGAGACCATCCTGGTTAACACAGTGAAACCCTGTCTCTACTAAAAATACAAAAAATTAGCCGGGCATGGTGGTGGGCGCCTGTAGTCCCAGCTACTCGGGAGGCTGAGGCAGGAGAATGGCGTGAACTCGGGAGGTGGAGGTTGCAGTGAGCCGAGATCGCACCAATGCACTCCAGCCTGGGTGACAAAGGGAGACTCCATCTCAAAAAAAAAAAAAAAAAATTTAAATTAGCCACATGTAGTAGCACATGCTTGTGGTCCCAGCTACTCAGGAGGCTGAGGGAGGAGTATCACTTGAGCCCAGGAGGTCAAGGCTGTAGTATACTGTGATGACACCACTGCACTCCAGCCTGGGCAACAGAGTGAGACCCTGTCTCCAAAAAAAAAAAAAAAAAAAAAAAAAAAAAAAAAAAAGAATTTTAGATGGCAGCAGGACTTTTATTTTACTCCTACAACAAAGTCAACATACTTTTATAATTGTATCATAAGGACAAAAAGAGAAATCAAAATAGTTTGCACTCTAAAAGAATATTCCAGTGGAAAGTTCAAAATAAGCACTGGGGCTGGGCGCGGTGGCTTACGCCTGTAATCCCAACACTTTGGGAGGCCGAGGCGGGCAGGTCATGAGGTCAAGAGATCGAGACCATCCTGGCCAACATGGTGAAACCCCATCTCTACTAAAAATACAAAAATTAGCTGGGCATGGTGATGCACACCTGTAGTCCCAGCTACTCAGGAGGCTGAGGCAGGAGAATCGCTTGAACCCGGGAAGTGGAGGTTGCAGTGAGCCGAGATCGCGCCACTGCACTCCAGCCTGGTGACAGAGCGAGAATCCATCTCAAAAGAAAAAAAAAAAAAAAGAGTAAAGAGTACTGGCATAAGACTGACTACTAGCACAAGACTCACTTTATCAGCATTATTTCACTCAAACACTTAAGTGTAGAAATTTTAAATAAAGCATGATCCATCTTTTCTTATGGGAAAAAATAGGAAAAATTGGTAATATAATAAACACATTAACACTATCTCAAAGTATCTTGTTAATGCATTTATTTACTAGTTTACCTCTCTCAACTACACACGATAAAATAAGAAACAAGAACTGTATTTTTCTTGTTCATAGCTGTATACTCAGAGAGTCAGTTTCTGCCTGGCACTGAATGAATTAATTAACCAATGGAGAGAAACTTCACCAAGTAGACTTCATTCAGTACTTTAGGCAGTTAATGTGGTCCAGAGTTTGGCCTAAAACAACTTTGCATTCTTAGAAAAATGAAAGTGGATACAACTCACAGAGACATAAAATTAACCTTAAGAAATAGAGACACAGGCCGGGTGCAGTGACTAACGCCTATAATCCCAGTACTTTGGGAGGCTGAAGCAGGTGGATCACTTGAGGTCGGGAGTTTGAGACCAGCCTGACCAACATGGTGAAACCTTGTCTCTATTAAAAATTCAAAAATGAGATGGGTGGATCATCTGAGGTCAGGAGTTTGAGACCAGGCTGGCCAACATGGTGAAACCCTGTCTCTACTAAAAATATAAAAACTTAGTCAGGCATGGTGGCGTGTGCCTGTAATCCCAGCTACCAAGGAGGCTGAGGCAGGAAAACTGCTCGAACCCGGGAGGCAGAAGTTGCAGTGAGCCAAGATCACTCCACTGGACTCCAGCCTGGGTGACAGAGTGAAACTCCATCTCAAAAAAAATAAAAAAATTAGCAGGACATGGTGGTGGCACGCATCTGTAGTCCCAGCTACTCAGCAGGCTGAGGCACAAGAATCGCTTAAACCCTGGAGGCAGAGGTTGCAGTGAGCTGAGACTGCGCCACTGCACTCCAGCCTGGGCAAGAGTGAGACTCCATCTCAAAAAAAAAAAGAAAGAAAGAAATAGAGATACAAAACAATGAAGATCAGTCAAGTGCAGAGTTCGCACCAGTAGTCCCAGCTAACTACTCAGGAGGCTGAGTGAGAGGATCACTTGAGCCCAGGGAGTTCAAGAGCAGCCTGGCCAACAGAGACCCCATCAATTTAAAAGAAAAAAAAAAAGCTGTTGTAAGCTAAAGAGAAAAGAAAAAAAGTCAAATTTTCTAATTTATAGTAAGAAATAACTTTTGTAAGAATGAGAATATTCATCAATTTTTCTCATTCAAGCTGTATATTTATGATTTATATGCTTCTATGTATACTACATATCAATCAAACATTTTCTCTATACACACACACAAAAAATAGCCAGGCACAGTGGCACATGCCTGTAGTCCCAAATACTAGGGAAATTGAGGCAGAAGAAACACTTGAGCCCAGGGGTTCAAAGTCAGTGTGCTATGATTGTGCCACTACACTCCAGCCTAGGTGACAGAGTGAGACTCTGTCTCTTAAAAAAAACCAGCACTTTGGGAGGCCAAGGCAGGAGGATCAGTTGAGCACAGGAGTTCAAAACCAGCCTGGAAACACAGCAAGACCTCATCTCTGCTAAAAATAAAAAAATTTAGCTGGGGATGGTGGTACACACCTGTATTCCCAGCTATGGTGAGAGGATTGCCTAAGCCCAGGAGACTGAGGCTGCAGTGAGCAGTGATCACACTACCATCACACTCCAACCAGGGAGACGTAGCAAAACTCTGCCTCGAAATAAATTAAAAAAAAAAAAAAAAGTGAGTTGTAGAACCAGACTACTGGGTTGAAATCCCAGCTTGCCTACTTACTAACCACGCAACCATGAGACAAGTTAGTTAATCTCTCTGTGCCTCAATTTCCTCACGGTAAAATCAGAATAACAGTAGTACACGTAGTAGGACTGTTTTTTGTTGTTGTTGTTTTTGAGACGGAGTCTCGCTCTGTCACTCAGGCTGGAGTGTGGTGGTGCAATCTCGGCGCACTGCAACCTCCACCTCCCGGGTTCAAGCGTTTCGGCCTCCCAAAGTGCTGGGATTACAGACATGAGCCACCCCAACCAGCCATACGACTGTTTTAACATTCTATTTGGAAATTTTTTTGGCTTATAGAAAAGCTATAAAAATAGTACAGAGAATTTCAGTACACCTTTTACCTGGCTTCCTCTAAGACAAAATCTTCCTTTTTTTTTTTTTCTGAGACGGAGTCTTGCTCTGTCGCCCAGGCTGGAGTGCAGTGGTGCGATCTCGGCTCACTGCAATCTCCACCTCCCAGGTTCAAGCAATTCTCCTGCCTCAGCCTCCATAGCTGGGATTACAGGCGCCCACCAGCATGCCCAGCTACTCTTTGCATTTTTAGTAGAGACCATGTTGGCCAGGCTGGTCTCGAACTCCTGACCTTGTGATCGGAACCCCCCCCCGCCCCGCCCCCGGCCTCCCAAGTGCTGGGAATTACAGCTGTGAGACACCATGCCCGGCCAGCCTCTAAGATAAAATCTTACATAACCACAGCACAATTATCAAAACTAAGAAATTAACAGTGATATAATGTTATTAACTAAACTATGTAACTTATTTAGAATTTCACCCATTTTTCTAATGCCCTTTTTCTGTTCCAAGATGTCATCCAGGATCCCACATTGCATTTAGCTGTCATGTCTCCTTGGTCTCCTCTGATATGTGAGATTTTCCCCATTTTCCCTTGTTTTCATGACATGGACACTTTCAAATAATACTTGTCAGTTGTTTCATGTAATGTTCCTCGATTTGGATTTGTCTGATGTTTTCTCACGATTAGACAGAGGCCATGAATTCTTGGCAAAACTACCACAGAACTGATGTGCCTTTCTCAGTGCATTATAACAGAGGATACATAATGGCCCATTATCTTATTCCTAACGATGTTAACCTTGATCACTTGGTTATTGGTGGTGTCTACAGTGTTTCTTCACCCTGAAGTTAATGTTTTTCCCTTTGTAAATAATAACTATTGGGGAAGATACTTTGAGATGATGCAAACATTGTGTTCTCAAACTTTTGCCCACCAATTTTAAAATTCATCAAAGGGATCTTACCTGCAGCAGTTATTACTGTGGTATTCTAATGGTGATTTTTAAATTTACCTCATTCTGTCTGTATTTGTTAATTGGAATTCTTTTAAAGGAAGAGCTGTCACTTCTTTAGATTATGAACTCATGGATATTTTAATTCTCTAATATAGAGATCCTGAAATATTAAGCTCAAAAACGTGTAAAGGAATGAACAGTATCCCAAAAATAAAGGCCTCTATGAGCAATTATGTATATAAATGTCAAGAATATTTCAATAAGGAGGTCTTCCTCTTTGAGCAGCCATAGCAAAATAGTTACAATACGACGTGTGGAGTTTGCTTTAAAATAACGCACTTTTCCTAAGAGTTCAAGGTTACAGTGAGCTATGGCTGCACCACTGGAATCCAGCCTAGGTGACAGAGTGAGACCTTGTCTCTAAAAAATAAATAGACACATAAAATAACCCACTTTGGTACAGAGGTTGGGAATGCTATATAGATGAAAAAAGATTAAGATACGAGTTAATAATTATTAAAGCTATGTAACAGCTAACAGGGGCTCCTGATGCTAGTCTCCGTATTTTTCTATACATTTAAATTTTTCCATAATGAAGAGTCAAAAAATATTTTAAGGACCCCAAAACACAGTATTTAGTTAAATCACAAGTTCACTTTTCAAATATGCCATTTATACCTGTTGTCTATTTCTGAATCCTCCTTCATCCCCCCAAAATTCTACCAAAGCTAACTTTAAAAAATTATGGATTAGGCTGGGCGCGGTGGCTTACACCTGTAATTCCAACACTTTGGAAGGCCGAGGTGGGCAGATCAATTGAGGTAAGGAGTTCAAGACCAGCCTGGCCAATATGATGACACCCCGTCTCTACTAAAAATAAAAAAATTAACCAGGCGTGGCAGCATACGCCTGTAATCCCAACTACTTGGGAGGCTGAGGCACGAGAATCTCTTGAACCCGGAAGGCAAAGCTTGCAGTGAGCCGAGATCACGACACTGCACTCCAGCCTCGACAACAGACAAAGACTCTATCTTAAAAAAAGGAAAAAAAAGAAATGTGGTATACATCTACCATGGACTACTACTCAGCCATAAAAAGGAACGAAGTAATGGCATTCGCAGCAACTTGGACGGAGTTGGAGACCATTACTAAGTGAAGTAACTCAGGAATGGAAAATCAAACATCGTGTGTTCTCATTTATATAAGCGGGAGTTAAGCTATGAGAACACAAAGGAAAAACAATGAGATAATGGACTTTGGGGACTCACAGGGAAGTGGGAGAGGGATAAAAGACTACATACACACTGGGTAGAGTGTACACTGCTCGGGTGATGGGTGCACCAAAATCTCATAAATCACCACTAAAGAACTCTTCCATGCAACCAAACACCCACCACCTGTTCCCCGAAAACTACTGAAAAATAAAAGTTGTACAGTATACAACTTAATGACAATTTAAGAAACCAAAATAGGCTGGGCTCAGTGGCTCATGACTGTAATCTCAGCCTTTTGGGAGGCCGAGGCCAGAGGATCACTCGAGGCCAGAGCATTGCTCAAGGCCAAGAGTTTGAGACCACCCTGGTCAACAAAGCAAGATCTATCTCTATGAAAAAACTTAAAAATTAGCCAGGTGTGGTGGTATGTGCCTATAGTCCTAGCTACTCGGGAGGCTAAGCCAGGAAGACTGCTTAAGCCCAGGAGTTTGAGGATGCAGTGAGCTGTGATCACATCACTACTCTCCAGCCTGGGTAACAGAGCAAGACCCTGACTGTAAGAAAAAAACAAACTGGCAGGGTATGGTGTCATATGCCTGTAGTCCCAGCTACTCAGGAGGCTGAGGCAGGAGAATCACTTGAGCTCAGGAGTTCAAGGCCAGCCTGGGCAACATAGTGAGATCTTACCTCTAATTACAACATTTTTAACACAAATTTTAAAAAATATTTTTTTTAAATCTGCCTTATAATAACAGGTAAAGATGAGTGTTAGAAGTAAGTGAGAGATACGAAGGTAGACGTCAGACCATGAAAGGGTTTAACTTAGACAAGAGAGTTTGGATTTCATCTCAAAAGTAAAGTTTGTCAGGATGTTTTGGCAAGGTTTAGTCAATCTCACAACGGACAGGATAACAAGGAGGTTTATTTAGTACTTATTAATTTTAAAAATCATAAAATATTTGTCCTTTTGTGACTGCCTTATTTCACTTAGCATAACGTCCTCAAAGTTCATCCACATTGTAGCATGTGTCAGATTTCCTTCCCTTTTTTTTTTTTTTCTTTTGAGACAGAGTCGCACTCTGTTACCCAGGCTGGAGTGCAGTGGCATGATGTCAGCTCACTGCAAACTCCACCTCCCAGTTCAAGGTTCAAGCAATTCTCGTGCCTCAGTCTCCAGGGCAGCTGGGATTATAGGCATGTGCCACCGCGCCCAGCAAATTTTTGTATTTTTAGTAGATGGGGGGGTTTCTCCATGTTGGCCAAGCTGGTCTCAAGCTCCTGGCCTCAAGTGATCCTCATGCCTTGGCCTCCCAAACTGTTGGGATTACAGGCATGAGCCCCCATACCAGGCCAAGATTTCCTTCCTTTTTAAGGCTAATATTCCATTGTATGCATGTGTCACATATTGTTTATTAATTCATCTGTGGATGGATACTTGTTTGCCTCTACCTTTGGCTACTATGAATAATGCTACTATGAGTATGGGGGTAAATAAGTTGGTTTTAATTTTATAGAATGTACTTTTTTTTTGAGGCAGGGTCTTGCTCTGTCTCCCAGGCTAGAGTGAGGTGACACAATCAAGACTCACAGTAGCCTCAACCTCCTATGCTCAAGCCAGCCTCCCAAGTAGCTGGGACTACAGGCATGTGACACCACACCTGGTTAATTTTTTTAATTTTTTGTAAAGATAGGGTCTCACTATGTTGCCCAGGCTGGTCTCCAACTCCTGGCCTCAAGCAATCCTCCCGCCTTAGTGTCCCAAAGTGCTGGGATTACAGGTGTGAGTCACCATGCCCCCCGGCCAAAGTGTACTTTTAAAAAAGAAAAGAGTCAGGCTCACTGGCCTGACTCTATAGTCCCAGCTACTCAGGAGGCTGAGGCAGGAGGATCACTTGAGCCAGGAGTTCCGGGCTGTAGTACGCTATAATCATGCCTGTGAATGGACTGCACTCCAGCCTGGGCAACACAGAAAGACCCCGTCTCAAAAAACAAACCAACTAACCAACCCTAAGCAAGTATTAAGTGTTGGTTCTCGGAAAATCTGAATCATCCAAGTTAGAAAGTAGAAAGCAAATGGAAAAGTAGTAATTGACCTAAAAGACTCAATAATGATCAATTTTAAACCGACAATGGGGAAAGCTGAGAAAGCTGATTTGGACCACAGAACCCCCATTGACTTAGGAATTGTCTGGGCCAAGTACATCTAGAAATAAAGGTAAAGATGGAGCTAAAAACAGAAGGAAGGGATGAAAGTCTATTTAACAAGTAGATTAACACTCTCTTCTATTCCCTCTTCTGTTCAACACAGCTGAAAATTAGAAGATAATGCTGCTGAGAAAGAAAAACGGGGTTTCTGTACTAGGGATTACAAGGTACAGCTGAGGGATAGAGTACAAACAATATTAAAAGCAAGGAGACTAAATGCATTTACTGTATGTTATGACTTCAAACCCTCTCTCCATTCACCTCCAAGAACACTGACAACCAAGATTCTCTCCAGCAGTGCACTGAGTAATTCTTCTTCAGGGAATCTGACCAGCAAAAAGACTTAAAGACCTAACATCAGAGACTCCCAAAAAGGAACTCAGCAAGATCATTCTGCAGTAAAGACCCACAAACCCACACAAGAGCATAAAAAACAAAAACAAAAACACAACTCTCAGTGCTCACCTCTTAAATAGAAGCAAATAGCCAAGAAACACTAGTTTTTTGAGGACCACATCAAACAGGAAATAGAGAAACTAAAACAAGCAGAGATGAAAAACAATTTACAAAAACTAAATATGCAGGAAGAAAAAAGTCATGTATCTTATTAACATCTTCAAAATGACAAGAAAAGGTAAAAATTGGGAATTAAAAAGATGCTACAGAAGGCTGGGTGTGGTGACTCCCACCTGTAATCCCAGCACTTTGGGAGGCCAAGGGGGCAGATCACTGAAGGTCAAGAGTTCGAGACCAGTCTGACAAACAGTGAAATCACGTCTCTACTAAAAATACAAAAATTAGCCAGGTATGGTGGCAGATGCCTGTAATCTCAGCTACTCAGGAGACTGAGGTATGAGAATCGTTTGAACCCGGGAGGTAGAGGTTGGAGTAAGCCAAGATTGCACCATTGCACTCCAGCCGGGGTGACAGGGCAAGATTCTGTCTCAAAAAAACAAAAACACAGATGCTACAGAAAGGAACATTCAGAAGATGAACAAAAACACTCTTTGAAATTAAAATGATAAGAACTGGCACGGTGGCTCATGCCTGTAATCCTAGCACTCTGGGAGACCGAGGCCAGGCAGATCGCATGAGCTCAGGAATTCGAGATGAGCCTGGGCAACATGGCAAAACGCCATCTCTACCAAAAATACAAAAAATAGCCGGCCTTGGTGGCGCATGCTTGTGGTTCCAGCTACTCAAGAGGCCGAGGTGGGAGGATCACTTGAGCCTGGAAGGCACAGGTTGCGGTGAGCTGAGATTGCACCACTGCACTCAAGCCTGGGTGACAGAGTAAGACTCCAGCTCAAAAAAAAGAAAAAAAAAATTAAAATGATAGCAGAAAAAAATAATAAAAAAATGGAAGAAAGTTGAGAAAAATCTTATGAGAATTAAAACAGAAGCTTAAGGAAATGAAAGAGACCAGATGAAATAAAATCAGGAAGTCTAATAAAAAGTCCAAGCCAGGTGAGGTGGTGCATGCCTGTAATTCCAGAGTCAGGAGCTTGAGGCGGGAATCACTTGAGGCCAGGAGTTGGAAAGCAGCCTGGCAACACAGCAAGACCTCGTTTGCTAAAAAAATTTTTTTTAATCAGCCGAGCGCAATGGCGAATGCCTCTAATCCCAACAGCTCCAGAGGCTGAGGTGGGAGGATCACTTGAGCCCAGGAGCTCGTGGCTGCAGTGAGCTATAATGGCACCCCTGTACTGTAGCCTGGGTGAGACAGCAAGGAGTTCAAGACTAACCTGGCCAACATGGCCACTCACTGCAACCTCTGCCTCCCGGGCTCAAGTGACTCTCCTGCCTCAGCCTCCTGAGATGGGATTACAGATGCACGCCATCATGCCCAGCTAATTTTTTGTATTTTAGTAGAGACAGGGTTTCACCATGTTGGCCAGGCTAGTCTCCAACTCCAGACCTCGCCGGGCACAGTGGCTCATGCCTGTAATCCCAGCACTTTGGGAGGCCGAGGCAGGCAGATCACGAGGTCAGGAGATCGAGACCATCCTGGCTAACACGGTGAAACCCCGTCTCTACTAAAAGTACAAAAAATTAGCCGGGCATGGTGGCGGGCGCCTGTAGTCCCAGCTACTCCGGAGGCTGAGGCAGGAGAATGGCATGAACCCGGGAGGCAGAGCTTGCAGTGAGCCGAGATTGCGCCACTGCACTCCAGCCTCGGTGACTGAGCGAGATTCCGTCTGAAAAAAAAACAAAAAAACAAAAAAACTCCAGACCTCAAGTGATCTGCCCACCTAGGCCTCCCAAAGTGCTGGGATTACAGGCGTGAGCCACCACGCCCAGCCTTAGCTCTACTTTTAAAAGCAGTGGCACTCATCATGCTATATTGTATTAAGTATTGTGTATTTCTTCCCTGATAAAACGTAAATTCCTTAAAAGTAAGCACTACCAAACCACCTGACACTGTAGCAATTTTCAATAAAGATTTGTTAAATTAAAACACTTTCTGAGCACTTCTCATGTGCCCAGCACTCTTCTAAATGTTTTGCATTATTTGACTAGTTTAAATGTCACAATAACTCTATGATAGGTCTATTATCTTTATGTTATAGATAAGGAAAAATGGGGCATAAAGACATGTTGAGTAATCTGCCAAAGGTCAGTAGCCACTGCTAAAACATGAAACCTAGACTCTTACTCTCCATCTCTACCAGTCCTCTAGTGCTCTAAATCATTAACTGTATGTACCACGCAGTTTTAAGGCTTCAGAACAAGATATGAAAAACTGGCAACATTATAACAGGAGATACAATTGACTTGATATTACCTAACCCAGCAGTTTACAAAGAGTGGTCTACTGACCCCTTAGGATCTCCCAAGACCTTTGGGGAGGTCCACAAACTCCTGGATGTCAAAACCATTTTCATAAGATTAAGATGTTATTTGAATTTTTCACTCTTACTCTCTTGAAATGTATTGTGGAGTTTCCCCGTGCCTATATGATGTGTAATATTACAGGATTGAATGCATAAGCAGCTATGCAAATCCAATTGTCCTCTATTAAGTCAGACATTAAAGAGATTTGCAAATATGTAAAACAATGTCACTCTCACTAAATATCTGTTTGGAAAATAGTTCTTTTTCATTTCAGAAATGATGTTAACATGAAGGCTGGGCACAGTGGCTCATGCCTGTAATCCCAGCACTTTGGGAGACCAAGGCAAGCAGGTCACTTGAGGCCAGGAGTTTGAGACCAGCCTGGCCAATATAGCAAAACCCTGTCTCTACTAAAAAGTCAAAAAATTAGCCAGGCATGGCGGCATGTACCTGTGGTCCCAGCTATTCAGGAGGCTGAGGCATGAGAATCGCGAACCCGGGAGGCACTCACTCCATCCTGGGCAACAGAGGGATGCAGTCAAAAAAAAAAAGGGTATTAACATGCAATGGGTTTATTATTATTATTATTATTTTTTTGAGATGGAGTTTTGCTCGTTGCCCAGGCTGGAGTGCAATGGCGTGATCTTGGCTCACTGCAACCTCCACCTCCCGGGTTCAAGGGACTCTCCTGCCTCAGCCTCCTGAGTAGCTGGCACTACCACTGGGACCGTCCACCACCATGCCAGGCTAATTTCTTTGTATTTTTAGTAGAGACGGGGTTTCACCATATTGGCCAGGTTGGTCTCAAACTTCTGGCCTCAAGTGATCCGCCCACCTCGGCCTCTCAAAATGCTGGGATTACAAGCATGAGCCACCACGCTCGGCCCTATTATTTTTTAACATATTAAATATTTTGAAATTTTCTTTTTCAATACAGTAAATGTTGATATATTTATTCATTTATTTTGAGATGGAGCCTCACTCTGTTGCCCAGGCTGGAGCGCAGTGGCACGATCTTGGCTCACTGCAACCTCCACCTCCCGAGTTCAAGCAATGCTCCTGCCTCAGCCTCCCGAAGAGCTGGGACTACAGGCACGCACCACCATGCCCGGCTAATTTTGTATTTTTAGTAGAAACGGGGTTTCGCCATGTTGCCCAGGCTGGTCTCGAACCCCTGACCTCAGGTGATCCACCCACTTCGGCCTCCCAAAGTGCTGGGATTATAGGCGTGAGCCACCGCACCCGGCCTAAATGTTGACATAAACTACATAAACAAAAGTCAGGCACAGTGGCATGTGCCTATAGTCCCAGCTACTAGGGAGGCTGAGGCAGGAGGAGAGCTTGAGACAAGGCTGCAGTTGGCCATGATAGCCCCTGTGAACAGTCACTGCATCCAAGAAGGGGGAAGGAAATGGGAAGAGGAAAGGAGGAAGGAAGGGAGAAAAGGAAAGGAAGGGGGAGGTGGAAAGGGGGAAGGAAGGGAGAAGGGGGAAGGAAGAGAAAGAAGAGGAGGAGGAGGAAGAAGAACAAGAGGAGGAGGAGAAGGAAGAGGAGGAGGAAGAAGAGGAGGAGGAGAAAGAAGAGGAGGAGGAGGAAGAAGAACAACAATAACAACTACATTAACAGAGCTCTTCAGGATCCTCAAAAATTTGTAAGAGCAGAAAGGGGTCTTGGGGAAAAAAAGTTTAAAAACCACTGATCTAGCCAATATAAAATGTTCAGTACTGGCCAGGCGTGGTGGCTCACACCTGTAATCCCAGCACTTTGGGAGGCTGAGGCCGGAGGATCTCGCCAGCTCAAAACTTTGAGACCAGCCTGGGCAACATGGTAAAATCCCATCTCTACAAAAAAATACAAAAATTAGCCAGGCGTGGTGGTGCGTGCCTGTTGTCCCAGCTACTTGGGAGGCTGAGGTGGGAGGATCACTTGAGCCTGGGAGGTGGAGGGTGCAGTGAGCTGAGATCACACCACTGCACTCCAGCCTGAGTGACAGAGGTAGACCCCGTCTCAAAAGAAAAACAACTGGTCAGTACTGCTAGTCTCTGACAATAAGACATTTTTTCCTTATCTAACATATTGCAATTTGATCAGCATTGATGGAAAAAAAGAAAAGGCAATATAAAGTGAAAAAAACAGTAGTAGGCTGAGTATGCGCTTCTCTCTGCCATTACATCTCCTAATTTATAATTGGTAACATGTATATATAGTGAAATCTTCTACTGTAAACCACTGAGTGACATTACTAAAACTGCCTCTGCATCTCAAGACAATAGCCAGAGGTAGTAACAAAACAGACTCCTCAAGGAAACTTCCAATTGTGTATTTCAACATTCCTTTATTTATTTATTTAGAGACAAAGTCTCGCTCTGAGGCCCAGGCTGGAGTGCAGTGGGGCAATCTCAGTTCACTGCAACCTCCACCTCCTGGGTTGCAGTTTTCCTGCCTCAGCCTCCTGAGTAGCTGGGATTACAGGCACACGCCACCACGCCCAGCTAGTTTTTGGATTTTTAGTAGAGATGGGATTTTGCCATGTTGGCCAGGCTGGTCTTGAACTCCTGACCTCAGGTGATTTGCCTGCCTCGGACTCCTAAAGTGCTGGGATTACAGGCGTGAGCCACCACGCCCAGCCAAACATTCCTTTATTAAACCGTAAGAATTTATCTAAGGTTAAGATTGATGTCATTAACTCAATCTGCTTCATGTACTGACACAATTCATTTTCACTATAGAGCGTAGTATCTTAAATATACATACATATATATATATATATATATATATATATATATTTTTTTTTTTTTTTTTTTTTTTTTTTTTCTTGAGACAGAGTCTCACTCTGTCACCCAGGCTGCAGTGCAATGGCATGATCTCAGCTCACTGCACCCTCCGCCTCTCAGGTTCAAGCGATTCTCCTGCCTCAGCCTCCTGAGTAGCTGGGATTACAGGCTCCCACCCGCCATCATACCTGGATAATTTTTGTATTTTTGTAGAGACCGGGCCATGGGGTGGGGGGGAGCCGGGGACTCCACCATGTTAGCCAGGCTGGTCTTGAACTGCTGACCTCAGATGATTCACCTATCTCAGCCTCCCAAAGTGCTGGGATTACAGGCATGAACCACCGCACCCAGCCTAGTATCTTAAATTTTTGATAAGCCAAATAAAACCTAATTTCAAATCAGTTCCATGAGCACATCATTGGTATAATTTGAATACTTTTCATGCGTTACATTAATAGCAAATAATTTAACAACTTTAATAAAGGAAGACGAATTTTGCTCAACTCAAAAAAAAGTACAAAATTCAGGTCAGTCCTATTTTTTGAATGAAATGGTTGGGCCTCTAAACGATTGGTTTCTCTACCCCCTTAAGTATCTGATATATTCCTGTATACAATCAAATGATGTAAGTTTTAAGTGTTATTGTTAAACTATCAATTGCGTAACCATGTCAAAGAGTGTAACATAGGCTACTAGCTTTCGTTACTACTAGATTCAGCCATCATTCATTTACCCAACATGTCTGAACAGCTACTATGAGCCTGGCTCTACGCTAGGCAATGGGGACACACTGAACAAAAAAGAATAGTTTTTATCTTCATGGGAGTTGCATTCTTCTGTGGGAAATAAAAACAAACACATAAAAAATAAGATAATTGTAAATGTGGTAAATGCTATTAAGAAGAAACAAGGCTTTGCCATAGATTACAGTCTTTGAAAGCTGAATTGTGGAATTCTAACAGACCTAAAAATAAATAATTCATGAAGAGTTACATCAAAAGGACATGGAGTCTACAGACTTCTAACGCATAAGAAAACTATAGACACTGACCATGAAAACAGAGATCAATCTTTCATTGTCAAAGCTAATGAATGGCATTACTTGACAATATAGTAACCTCAAAAGATAATTAACTTCACATCCTGAATTGAATGCTGAAACAGAAAAAGGACATTAGGTTAAAACTAAAAATCTAAATAAACTATGGACTTAAGTTAATAATAACATATCAATATTAGTTCATTAATTGTTAACAAATGTGCCATACTAATGCAAGATGTTGATAACAGGGGAAACTAGATGTGTGGGTATATGGGAACTCTACACTATCTTTTCAATTTTTCTGTAAGTCTAAAACTGTTCTAAAAAATGAAGTCTATTAAAAAAAATCTAACCAGGCTTCAGTAATGGAGGGGGGAGGGTAGTAGAGGCTTAAACAAGGTACGAAATTAGAAGCCATAAAACTCTCCATTATGCATTAGAACATACACAAATACTCAAGAAATTCAAAGGAAACCTGAAGATACTTAGGAAGTTAAGCACTCCATTCATGCTAAAACCTTTTTAGGCAGGAAGATGAATAGGTTTTTTCATGCAAACTAAATAGCTGTGCATCACAACATAAGGAAGGCAATAATATCCTTAGAATGCACAATAAGCACTTTGGATCCTTTTTATCAATAATAACCAATAAACTATATTTTATGTTTGGGAACTATCCTGATATTGACACAGAAAAGCTGGACTAGAAGCAACTCCATAGGTTCTACCAAGTTACTCACCTAAAGACACAAGTTTATACTTACTTCAGGAAAATATATAAGCAAAAAGGAGGGAGATTGTATTTTTCCCCCCAAAAGGGAGGAGGGGAAGATAATCTACACATGAAAGGAGAAAAATGATTTCCCAGTTCTAACTGGAGGCAATTTTGCAAGAGTATTAACCTCTGTGATGGCATACAAATTAGTATAAATAGTTCAAAGTAGTAATAAAAGCTACGAATTTATATCACTTACATGCCTTCCAGTCAAAACAAATAACTAATGTTTTCTATAACCTCACCTAAAACACCTAGTAGGTACTCAATGTTTGATGACTCAGAACTAATCTCTCAATGTCTGAATTTTAAAGATGGGCATGCAAAGTATGAGAAAAACAAAGGAGGGTAATCATCTCTGAATTGTCGAGTGTCAAGTTTGTATAATACAGCATAAAACTGGAATTACTACAAGAAGTAATCGTAGATACAACCATCACAAAATTAGGATCTAGTATCTAATACAAAAGTACAGTGACAGCAGAACCTGACCAGGTAAATGACATAACAATTTCACTCATCAGACAGTACAGAATATTAAGCATAAAAGAATTATTTAGCCCAAATGGTATTTAAATCTAATTTAGGTAACTAGATGATGAGTCTGTTCCTACTCTACTCCATTTTCCAAAGGAAATCCGACAAAACAAAGATGTTTGTTATTCCAAGCCTTCTCTCACATGAATCCTCAATATATCATTGGAAAATACTCAAGAAGGAATGAATAATTAACATTTCCCCAGTAATTCCCTTTTGTACCACCATGAGACTCAGACGCTGCTTCATGTTGAAAAGAGAAAAAGGGGAGGTGAGATGAGAAAAATTCCAAGTAAAATGATCATGACATAGCATCTGGCAGAGATTGAAAAATCATCAACATTGCCAAAAGAATTGTCAGTGATGAAAGTCAAGAGAACAAAATGAGGTTTTCCGACAAGCCACAGCCCCATCTAACCTAAGGGGCAAAAATCTCCACTGCCGACGCTACCCCTTTCACCCCCAACCACCCCATGCTCAAGTCGTCTCCAATTCAGATGTTTCCTCTATGGCCCAGACTAATTTCCCACCCAGGTGAAAATCATTTAATTTTTTCTACTACCACCCCTTCCCACCTTCCACGACATCAGCACTTCGCAGGGCCAAGCCTCTGGGGAAAACAACGCCCAGATCCCACCCTCCTTGGCCAAGGTTGAAGAGGGCCCGCTCTCGGGAGTGGGGCTTCCCTGAGTGGGCCTCACAGAGCTGAGGAACTGGGAAAAGAGCAAGGAATAAGGGTGGGGCTCAAGAAAGGGGGCCGGGGTACGGGCAATGACCGAGACCGGAGGAAGAAAGGGATGGACAAGAGGCTGGGCGGGGTGAGGTCTGGGGAGGGAGGGCAGATCGACCGGAGATGGCCGGACTGCGGGGAACGGAGCCGGGGAGTCGAGGATTGAAGAACCCGGGGAACAGGGTAAAAACTCGGCCACTGGCGAAGAGCCAGTGGCACCGGGGGGCACATCGGGAAGGGCTGCGGTGGCAACGAGCGCGGACGCGAGGCGGGCAGGGAGCCTCCGCGGACGGAAGGGCCGCACCGGGGGCGGTGCGGGGACGCTGCGGCCAGCTGCCAGGAGTAGGGGAGCCACGCACTCACCGCTTTGCTCCCCCAGGAACACCAGCTTGAATTTCCTCAGCGGATTCCCGAAGTCTCCGCCCGTGGACATTGTGGAACTAGAGGAGCGGCCGCCGCCTCAGCCTAGAGACCTCCCGGACCGATGCTGCTCCAGCCAGCTGACGAAAAAGGCGAGCGGAAGGGCGGGCACCGAGCTCTCTCGGCCCCTGCAAGGCCCGGTGGAGGAGCCCGGCTGGAGGGCAGCAGGACTCTCCACAGACTGGCAGCCGCCGCCGCCTCCCGGCAGAGTAGCCTAGCACCGAGCGAGGCCCGCGGCTGGGAAGGGAAGGAGGGCGGTGTCGGCAGGAGCCAGGGGTGTCCTCTGGCTTCCCAAAGCTAGGGCCGTTCCCTCCTTCCGCACTCGGCTCCCAGACCTGGGGAAGAGAAGCTGAGGGTGGCGGAGCCGGAACCGCAGACGTATCTGGGACCTCTCACGCGCAGCGCCTGAGCTTCCACAGCTGCCGCCGCCGCCGCAGCCCAACCTGCTGAGTGCGCGAGCCTCTGGAGCGGCGCGGGGCGAGCCCGGGCGCGAGCCTGCGGCCCCGCCGGCCGCTGGCGTGCGTGCGTGCGTGCATGCGTGCGCGCCACCGCCATCGCCATCGCCTTCCTGGTTTGGACAGCTCTACCGGCTCCTCCCGCACGGCGGCGACGGGGCAGGTTAGGTTTCCACTGGCGTCAAAAGAAGCCAGGAGGAGGCGGGGCAAGCCAGGGATAAGTTAGTGGGAGGCTGGAGCCCTTACGTCACTTACATAATGAGCCAATCGGAAGGGGCTGAGGGCGAGCCCACACGCGAGTGAGGTGGCAGCGTGAGAGCGCGCGCAGCCCTCGAGCTGTGGAAAGCGGAGCACTGTGGCGGCCATAAGAAGTGTGGCGCCTCTCAGCCTGAGGGGAGGGGAAGGAAAGAAAGGGGAGGGGGAGAAGGGTGGGGCGGAGGCGGGGCCGGGACAAAGGTGGAATATGATCCCCCAAAAAGTGTGGGTGGGGTCCTATAGCCTTAAAATTTGTAATGGGAGCCTCTTTCCTGAGCCCTCAGCCGTGCCTCACAGTCCTCAGATCCCTTCTTCACCATTGCACACACCCCACCTTCTCCATCCTCTCATCATAATTCCTCACAGGCATCTTACTAAATAACATTCTCCTCCATTGCTCCCAGGAATGTTATAACTGCCAGAATCATGGCCTCCCAATTTTGCAGATGAGGAAACTGAAGCTTAGAGGGAGTAAATGACTTGCAAAATCCATAAAGCGGGCTGGGCGCGGTGGCCCACGGCTGTAATCCCAGCACTTTGGGAGGCGGAGGCGAGTGGATCACGAGGTCAAGAGATCGAGACCATCCTGGCCAACATGGTGAAACCCTGTCTCTACTAAAAATGCAAAAATTAGCTGGGGGTGGTGGCGCGCGCCTGTAGTCCCAGCTACTCGGGAAGCTGAGGCAGGAGAATCGCTTGAACCCGGGAGGCGGAGGTTGCAGTGAGCCGAGATCACACCACTGCACTCCAGCCTGGCGACAGAGCGAGACTCCATCTCAACAGAAAAAAAAAAAAAAAAAAAAAAAAAAAGCCGGGCGTGGTGGCTCATCCCTGTAATCCCAGCACTTTGGAAGGCTGAGTTGGGTGGATCACCTGACGTCAGGAGTTCCAGACCAGCCTTGGCCAACATGATGAAACCCCATCTCTACTAAAAATACAAAAAATTAACGTGGTGTGGTGGCGGGTGCCTGTAATCCCAGCTACTTGGGAGGCTGAGGCAGGAGAATCGCTTGAACACGGGAGGCGGAGGTTGCAGTGAGCCAAGGTCACACCATTGCACTCCAGTCTGGGCAACAAGAGCGAGACTCTGTCTCCAAAAAAAAAAATCCATAAAGCAGCTGGGCGCGGTGGCTCACGTCTGTAATCCCAGCACTTTGGGAGGCCGAGGCGGTAGAATCGCTTGAGCCCAGGAGTTCGAGACCAGGCTGGGCAACAAAGCAAGACACTATCTCTACAAAAAATAAAATAGCCGAATATCGTGGTGTGCTCCTGTAGTTCCGGCTACTCAGGAGCCTGAAGCAGAAGGATTGCTTGAGTCCAGGAGTTGGAGGCTGAGGTATGGCACCACTACACTGAAATCTGGGTGACAGAACAAGTCCCTGTCTTAAAAAAAAAAAAAAAAAACAAAAAAACTTTCTAAGTGAATAATAAAAAATATGTCCTTACATTTGTGTCTATACACAAATGTATATCATTTGTGTATATCATTCACAAAACATTTATGTACTTTTTCTCATTATTGGGGAGTTATTTGCTTAGCTGTAGAAATGACAGGATTGAAAAAGTGCCTTCTCAGGCCCAGGGATGAATTGCTGACCTAGAATAAATTACAGGGAAGAACCAAAGTTCTTAAAATATCATCTATTCTGGCCTATCAAGACAACAGCTATATCCTCAAACCATCTCTATCAAAATTTACTCCCTTCTGGTTCCTCTCCCAGCCATGTGCAGGTAGAACATGCATCTAAAATAAAATGGTAAAAACCTGGCTTGTAGCATGGACATTTGATTTTACAAGTAGTTTGTCAGATCTAATAGGGTCCTCTCCACCATTAACCCAGAACCCTGGCACATACAAAGAGCAGCTTAAACCAAGAAACTTTTTAAAAAGATTATGCAAACAAAAGTGAGTAGCTATTTTCTTTCTGATGGGTACCAAGTTTTCATTATGCTTCCTGAAATAGACTTTAAAGTAACATCTGAGGATTGGAACTATAATTACTTTGTACTTCCTACAGAACTTTATGAATCAGTCCTCCCTGCTGCTTTGGTCTCTGTAGTCACCTAGACAGGTGGTACTGTTCCCTGTCATTTTGAAGGGCCTTATGGTCTAGTCCACCTCTTACCTAAAATGTTTTAATGTTTTAAGCTTTCATTTTGCATTGACACATACACAGCCTCATTATCCTCTGAAGCTGCCTTCATATTACCAAGTACTCTGTGTAAGTTTTGTCTTCAGAGACTTTATGGCCTAAACATTGCATATTAAGTGCTGTAGGGTATAGCAAATGGAAAAATTACTCAGGAGAAAGAGGAATTAGAGAGGCCCTTTTCAAGAGTATTTTCACCAACATTTTCACCTTCATGATTTCCTACGCTCACTTCTCTTTACTGCAAACACTCTTCCCCTCCCTTCCCCACTCTTCCCCAATTCCTACTCATCCTTCAGTTAAAGAAATTGTCTTTTTTTTTTTTTCTTTTAAATCACTTACCACTTAAAGAAGTTGTCTTTGTCCATTCAGGCTGCTATAACAGAATACCATGACTGGGTGGCTTAAACAACAAATGTTTATTTCTCACAGCTGGAGACTGGAAAGTCCAAGAGCAAGGTACCAGAAGATACTGTGTCTGGTGAAGGCCCACTTCCTGGTTCATAGACAACCATCTTCTCACTGTGCCCTCACATGGCAGAAAGAGAGCAAGAAAGCTCTCTGGGCTCCCTCTTACAAGGGAACTAATCCCATTTATGAGCACTCCACCCTCATGACCTAATCACCTCCCTAGGGTCCCACCTACTAATACCATCACATTGGGGACTATAGTTTCAACATATGAATTTTGGGGAGACACAAACATTCAGTCTACCACACAAGTCTTGCTCCCATCTGCTCCCATCCCCACTAACAGTATAAGTACCTTTGCCTGTCCTATTGTATCCTATTCTTAATTGCTGTTCATTGTCAGTGTTCCCTACTTGACTGTAACCTCCACGAGGTCAGATCTCATCTTGTATCCCCAGTGCTTGAAGAGTGCTTGCTACATAGTAAGCATGCAGCAGATGTTTGCTGACAAAATCAAATAAAAGAGGAATTATTTTTCACTGTCTTCAAAGGATGAATGGGATTTGGGCATGCAGAGAAGGAAGGTTAAGAGCATTTTGGAGAAAGAGAACATTACCCAAAAATATGTCATGTAATTTGATACTTCTTTCCTAAACCATTACTTATGAAAAAGATGCTGAGAACAGATCTTGTAACTAAAAATTAGGAACAATGGGAGAGGACAGTCTTCACAGCTCCAAATTCAAAGTACCTAAAGCAGCTTTCATTATCTATTTAAAGGTCATATCTAAATTGAAGCCCAGGAGTATGTAGGGAATCTATCACACAGAAATTGTAATAAAATTATAGCTTATCTTCTGCCCTGAGAGACACAAAACTTCTTGCAGGAGGACTGAATTTTTTTTTTTTTTTTTTTTTTGAGACAGAGTTTTGCTCTTGTTGCCCGGGCTGGAGTGCAATGGCGTGATCTCGGCTCACCGCAACCTCCGCCTGTCGGGTTCAAGCAATTCTCCCACCTCAGCCTCCTGAGTAGCTGAGATTACAGGCATGTGCCATCACGCCCAGCTAATTGTGTATTTTTACTAGAGATGGGGTTTCTCCATGTTGGTCAGGCTAGTCTCGAACCCCCGACCTTAGATGATCTGCCCATCTTGCTCTCCCAAAGTGCTGGGACTACAGGCGTGAGCCACTGTGCTTGGCTGAAATTTCTCTTTTTCCTTTTTGGAGACAGAGTCTTACTCTGTCCAGGCTGGAGTGCAGTGGCCGATCTCGGCTCACTGCAACCTCCACTTCCTGGGTTCAAGCGATTCTCCTGCCTCAGCCTCCTGAGTAGCTGAGATTACAGAAGTGTGCCACCATGTCCAGCTAATTTTTGTATTTTCAGTAGAGACGGGGTTTCACCATGTTGGCCAGGCTAGTCTCAAACTCCTGACCTCAAGTGATCCTCCTGCCTTGGCCTCCCAAAGTGCTGAGATTACAGGCGTGAGCCACTGCGCCCAGTCAATTTCATCTTATTCTTAGTGACAGACACTAGTGGTTGCATATCCAGCAATGCACACATAACACACACACATACTTCCACCATATATACTAGAAATGACAGATGTGTTTCCAGCCTCCCTTCAGCTAAGTTATAGGCACATGAGTCCATCTGAGCCAGTGGGAGATGAAGGAAATGTGCTAGAGGCTTTTTTTATTCTAAGAGAAGAAGAGAGATAGAGAGACATATTTTCTTCCTTGATGAAAAGGAATAAATGAGAAAAAACTGCCATTTTTCTGCCATTGATGTAGCTGTGTAAGGACATGATATTTAGAGCTAAGATAGCTCTTCTGAACATTGAAGCTCTGCCTCCCGGGTTCACGCCGTTTTCCTGCCTCAGCCTCCCGAATAGCTGGGACTACAGGCGCCTGCCACCATGCCCGGCTAATTTTTTTGTATTTTTAGTAGAGATGGGGTTTCACTGTGTTAGCCAGGATGGTCTTGATCTCCTGACCTCGTGATCTGCCCGCCTCAGCCTCCCAAAGTGCTGGGATTATAGGCGTGAGCCACCGCACCCGGCCGAACATTAATATATAATTCTAATGAAAAAAGCCAATCATTGATGACGGCTAAGCAGAAAGCTAAAAGGCATCATTGAGCCGCTGTACCAGCCCTGGAACTGGCCGCCTAGATTTCTTTTTAGTAACATAATAAATGTCTTTATATTTAATAATGCTTTTATGTGTCTTTGTATTTCTTTGTTATTGTTACTTGCAGCTCACATTCTCATATTTAGATCCCTTAAAACACCTTGCATAGTTCCTTGAATATTAGGCACTCAATATTGTATGTGTATATATAAAGTAGTAGTTACCACACTGGAACTGCCTTTTTCTGTTTACTACTCCCTAAAAAGGGATTTATTACTGTTGGAGAGGCAGGAAATCAATAGAAGGAGAAAAACTGTACAGGTAAAAGGACTGAAATCATATTGCTCACATTTGAAACAAATAATAGCTCTGGCAGGAATTCAAATTCCATCAAATGCAAAGCCCTTCTAACCCACACTGCAGGTTATTATAATCATTGCTACTAAAAATAATAATGGGTCAATATACAAAGCATAAAAATGACAAATGCTCAGTAATTCAAGGTGACCAGTTAAATGAGTACAATTAACACAAGGTATGTTGAAGTAAGTCTCATTTTTAAAAGACTACAAAAAATAAAGGGGGAGACGAGTCATGTTAAAACCTGTTTTCCAAATACTTTGACCTATAAGGACATGCCATGGGAGAATAAAGATTATTCAGTCAAAGTGGAGAAGGTGTTAGAACTTAAATGGAATGGTCCTTCCTGTAATTATAGCCAATTAATAGCTAAGTCAGAAGATATTTTTGCTACGGATTGATCTACAGAATCTATTTTTGATAATTCCATTTTGTTCTGTTCATGTGAATCATGGTCCCCATTATGAATAATGTGATTTCTCAAAGCCTTGTAAGTGAGGTGTTACTTCCAGGCTTTGAAATTGCAGTGGGGGAAGAACTTGCTGCTTTTTATGCTAGTCCAGAATGTATAAAATCTGACACATTGCTGGAGCTCTCCTCTCCCCACACTCTATCCCCCACAAATAATAAAGTCTCCTCTAAGATGTACAAGAGAATGAATCACTCCACCTGCTACTAAGTGATAATCACTCTCAGAGTAGAAGAGAACAACTGCCTCTACTGCTGTTTATATAAAGAACAGAGCATCTTAGGATAGAAAAGTGAGACCAACACTGTTTGCACTGAAATACCAACAGACTGCACAGCCAAATTGTAACTTGCCAAAGAAGCCAAGAGAAACTATCTTTCTGTGAATATTTCTTCGGCTTTTCAATTAACACAAAGTAACTAGGACTTTATTTTATATAAAATCAAAAGATATCAAAATAATTATAGAAGTTGTAGCTCAAACTATGAAGTGAGATAATAAGCCCCAACATCACAGGAAAAATGAAAAAACTACCGGTTTTAGGAAGATAAAGATGTTCTGTCTTCTCTCTCTGAAACCATTCCAAAACGAGAATAAAGAAATTAAAATGCAAACTCTGGATTTGACATCTGTAACCCAGAGCCATAATATTTTAAGATGGGGGACAAAGATAGAGCAATGGTAACTGACTAAACAGAACATATAAAGTGCTTACTGAAGGATGAATTAACAAGAAGCAAGCCAATCAGCTAAGCGGAACTGCAGAAATTCTGCTCAGGAATGTGAAATACCAGGTACCATATAAGGTAGGGGGTAAAACGAGGACAAAAACAAGGGAATTGTATCAAGGACTGTATGAACAGCATTTTAAACCCATCCCTTTCTATGGTGAAACTGAATATAAGAAGCTCTCAGCAGCGGGGCGCCGTGGCTCACGCCTATAACCCCAGCACTTTGGGAGGTCGAAGCGGGGCGGATAGCCTGAGGTCAGGAGTTCGAGACCAGCATGGCCAGCATGGTGAAACCCTTACTAAAAATACAAAAATTAGCCGGGCATGGTACCAGGCACCTGTAATCCCAGCTACTTGGGAAGATTGAGGCAGGAGAATCGCTTGAACCCAGGAAGCGGAGGTTGCAGTGAACCGAGATCGCGCCATTGCACTCCAGCCTGGACAACAGGGTGAGACTCCGTCTCAAAAAAAAAAAGTTCTAGGCTCAGTTAACCAGGCATAGTAAAGTACCAGGGTGAGGTGCTGCCAAAAGACAGGGGAATTGATAAACAACCATCTCTTCCCAAGCATCTTCCATAACAACGGCAGGCAGTCTCATATGCCTAAAAAAGAGACTGAGTTTCGCCCTTGTTGCTCAGGCTGGAGTGTGGAGTGCAATGGCGCGATCTTGGCTCACTGCAACCTCCACCTCCCGGGTTCAAGCAATTCTCCTGCCTCAGCCCCCCGAGTAGCTGGGACAGGCGCATGGCACCATGCCCAGCTAATTTTTTTATATTTTTAGTAGACACAGGGTTTCACTGTGTTAGCCAGGATGGTCTCGATCTCCTGACCTCCTGATCTGCCCACCTCAGCCTCCCAAAGTGCTGGGATTACAGGCGTGAGCCACAGGGCCCGGCCCACATTAATTTCTAGACCAGCCTGGGCAACATGATGAAACCTCATCTCTACCAAAAATACAAAAAATTAGCCAGGCATGGTGGTGCACTTCTGTGATCCCAGCTACTCAGGAGGTTGAGATGGGAGGATTCCTTGAGCCTGGGAAGTGGAGATTTCAGTGAGCCGAGATCATGCCACTGCACTCCAGCCTGGGTGACAGAGCGAGACTCCGTCTCAAAAAAAAAAAAAAAAATCCACCAAAACAAAACAAAACCAATTCGCATTATTTTCATCAATAAAGACAAAAAATTTCCAAATCACTTTTCATACCAACTGTCTTCCTGGCTTTACCTGACACGCTGTTATTGCTGTTGTCCAGATCGGAGATTATCAAGGACAGTGTGCAGTCTTTCCAGAGGAGGCTTGCAAGAACACCTACATCGTAGCTGTAGTCCAATACAGACAACAAAGATTACAATAGGGTTGACATGTGCCCTTTATATATATACTCCACTATCTTTTGATGAGGGAAAAAAACAAACAAAAAAAAAAAAAAAACAAAAAAATAAAGAAAAAAACCCCACAGTTTATTTGCTATGTGATCCATTTACTAACATTATCATTTCAGAACCTTTCAGCTGGAAGAAACAGAAAACTCAACTCTAAATAATTTAAATGGGCGGGCTCTGTGGCTCACATCTGTAATCCCAGCACTTTGGTGCGGCCAAGGCAGGAGGATCACTTGACCTCAGGAGTTAAGAGACCAGCCTGGCCAACATGGTGAAACCTCGTTTCTACTAAAAATACAAAAATTAGCCGGGTGTGGTGGTGAGCGCCTATAATCCTAGCTACTAGGGAGGCTGAGGCAGGAGTGTTGCTCGAACCCGGGAGGCGGAGGTTGCAGTGAGCCAAGACTGCGCAACTGCACTCCAGCCTGGGCAACAGAGGGAGACTCCATCTTAAAAAAAAAAAAAAGTTTCAACAATAGGGCAAATCACATAAAGAAGTCCTGGCCGGTGCAGTGGCTCACGCCTGTAATCCCAGCACTTTGGGAGGCCGGGATGGGAGGATCACGAGGTTAGGAGTTCAAGACCAGCCTGGCCAATATGGCAAAACCCCCGTCACTACTAAAAATACAAAAATTAGCCGGCCGGGCGTGGTGGAGCACGCCTGTAATCCCAGCACTTTGGGAGGCCGAGGCGGGCGGATCACGAGGTGAGGAGATCGAGACCATCCTGGCTAACATGGTGAAACCCCGTCTCTACTAAAAATACAAAAAAAAAAAAAAAAAAAAAAAAAAAAAATTACCCAGGCGTGGTGGCACGCGCCTGTAGTCCAATGTAGTCCCAGCTACTTGGGAGTCTAAGACAGGAGAATGGCGTGAACCCGGGAGGCGGAGCTCGCAGTGAGCGGAGATCGCGCCACTGCACTCCAGCCTAGGCGACAGAGCGAGACTCTGTCTCAAAAAAAAAAATTAATAAGTAAGTATAAAATAAAATAAAATTAGCCAGGCGTGGCGGCAGGCGCCTGTAATCCCAGGTACTCAGGAGGCTGAGGCGAAAGAATCGCTTGAACCTGGGAGGCGAAGGTTGCAATGAGCCAAGATCATGCCGTTGCCCTCCAGCCTGGGTGACAAGAGCAAGACTCCGTCTCAAAAAAAAAAAAAAAAAAAAAAGGGAAGTCCGAAGCTTCCAGGACTGGTTAATTCCCTCCTACCCAGCAATGTCTACAAGAACCAGGTTGTTCTGTCTTTCTGCTCTGCCTTTCTCAGTGTATTGACTTTGCTCTTAGATGCTAGCTTCCCCAATAATCACAAGATTGCTGCTATAGTTCAAGCTGACACATCTATATCCTATAAAGTCCAAGGAAAGGAGATGCCATCTATGTATCTCTGTAAGTAAAAAAAAAAAAAAAAAAAAAAAAAAACATTTCCCAGAATCCCCCAGCAAACTCCCCATTACATCTCACTGGCCAGAATTGCTTCATATCCCCATCCTAAATCTGTCACTGCAAGAGAAATGGGATTACTAAGACTGGGATAGATAGATCTATGGCTGTGTGGAGAAAGATAGATTTTTGCATTAAAATTGTAATTTTGTTATGAGGAAAAGATGAAATATAATATTTGGAGCCCAAAGCCAGTGTTCATTACATTAAACACACGAATTCAGGTTCGAGTATCCTTTGTCCTGAAATATTCATTTGTTCATTTATTCATTCTACAAACACTTTTAACTACTGTGTACCAGGTGCTCTGCTTTTCTACTGGAAATATAAAGCAGAAAAATATTTGGTCCTTACTTTTTTTTTTTTTTTTGAGACAGAGTTTCACTCTGTCACCCAGGCTGGAGTACAGTGGTGCGATCCTGGCTCACAGCAACCTCCGCCTCCCAGGTTCAAGCAATTCTTCTGCCTCAGCCTCCCAAGTAGATGGGATTACAGGTGCCCACCACTATGCCCTGCTAATTTTTTTGTAGTTTTAATACAGGCCGGATTTCACCACATTGGCCAGGCTGGTTTTGAACTCCTGACGTCAAGTGATGCACCTGCCTTGGCCTCCCAAAGTGCTAGGATTACAAGCATGAGTCACTGTGCCCAGCCTTATCTTTACTTTTGAGGTTACATCATTCTACTGGTGAGGCAAACATGTTAATATATATATATATTTTCTTTTTCTTTTTCTTTTTTCTTTTTTTTGAGATGGAGTCTTGCTCTGTCACCCAGGCTAGAATGCAGTGGCGCGATCTCGGCTCACTGCAACCTCCGGCTCCCAGGTTCAAGCGATTCTCCTGCCTCAGTCTCCCCAGTAGCTGAGATTACAGGTGCCTGCCACCACGCCCGGCTAATTTTTGTATTTTTAATAGAGGCGGGGCTGGTCTCCAACTCCTGACCTCATGATTCACCCGCCTCAGCCTCCCAAAGTGTTGGGATTACAGGCGTGAGCCACCGCGCCCGGCATATTTTTTCTTTCAGAGATGGGATCTTGCTATGTTACCCAGGCTGTTCTTGAACTCCTGGCCTCAAGTGATTCTCCTACCTTAGCCTCTGTAAGTGCTGGGATTTTAGGTGTGAGCCACCATGCTCAGCCTTAAAAAAAAAACTAAATATAAGTAAGAATAAAGTAAGTAATGGGGGTATAGGTACTTTATTTATTTATTTATAGTTTTTTTTGAGACAGGGTCTCACTCTGTCACCCAGGGTAGAGTGCAGTGGTGTGATCTTGGCTTATTGCAACCTCTGCCTCCTGGGCTCAAGCAAGCCTCCCACCTCAGCCTCCTGAGTAGCTGGGACTACAGGCACGCATCACTATGCCCGGCTCGTTTTTTTGTATTTTTGGTAGAGATGGGGTTTCACTATTTTACCCAGGCTGGCCTTGAACTTCTGAGCTCAAGAAATCCTCTAGCTTTGGCCTCCCACAGTGCTGGGATTACAGGCGTGGGCCACTGATCCAGGCCCAGGTACTTTATAATTTTATTTAACTTATTAGATCTGCTAAGAAGAGTATATTATGGTCTACAGACCACAGAGATCATGCATATATTTCATATATCATCCACCACTTTGAAAACTAAGATATGGGTAAATCTTTTTTTTTTTTTTTCTTGTTGAGACGAAATTTTGCTCTTGTTGCCCAGGCTGGAGTGCAATGGCATGATCTCAGCTCACCACAACCTCTGCCTCCCAGGTTCAAGTGATTCTCCTGTCTCAGCCTCCCAGGTAGCTGGGATTACAGGCATGCGCCACCACACCCAGTTAATTTTGTAATTTTTAGTAGAGACAGGGTTTCACCATGTTGGTCAGGCTGGTCTCGAATTCTGGACCTCAGGTGATCTGGCCATCTCAGCCTCCCAAAGTGCTGGGATTACAGGCGTGAGCCACCGCGCCCGGCCAGATATGGGTAAATCTTAATTATCTCCTCCAGAAGAATATGAATTTGGTGAGTTTTCTATTTGCATTTTATTATGGCCAAAGCCCAAGAAATGACCAACTGTTAATGATAAGTATTTTCACTACTGTATCATATCAATCTGGAGCTCAGGGGCTATGTCTGAGCTGTAGATAGAGATTTTGGAGTCATCAGCTTATATGTGGCAGCTGTAGTAATGAGAATGGATGTATCACCTAAGTAGAGTGTAGCCTGAGAAGGCCAGGATAGAATCCTATGGAACAGCAATATTTAAAGTCAGACAGAAAAAGTATGGCCGAGCGGGGTGGTTCACGCCTGTAATCCCAGCATTTTGGGAGGCTGAAGCGGGCAGATTATCTGAGGTCAGGAACTTGAGACCAGCCTGGGCAACATGGTGAAACCCTGTCTCTACTAAAAATGCAAAAATTAGCTGGGCGTGATTGACGCACCCTGTAATCCCAGCTACTCGGGAGGCTCAGGTGGGAGAATTGCTTGAATCTGGGAGGCGGAGGCTGCAGTGAGCCCACATTGCGCCACTGTACTCCATCCTGGGTGACAGAGCAAGACTCTGTCTCAAAAAAAAAAAAAAAAGAAGTAATCTGTGAAGAAAAAAATGTCAGAAAGTTAGGTGGAAAACCAGGAGAGAAAGTGGTGACAAGAAAGCCAAGGAAGAAAATGTGTCAAAAGGAAAGCCTCAGTCAGCAGACTGAAATACGTCAGAGCAGTTAAATAAGTCAAAGACTAAAAAGCATCCTATTATCAAAGGTGAGTGACTGCAAATGGGGCAAATCGGGACAAGGAATCTTTTTTTTTTTTTTTGAGACAGAGTTTTGCTCTTGTTGCCCAGGCTGGAGTGCAATGGCGCGATCTTGGCTCACTGCAACCTCCGCCTCCCAGGTTCAAGTGATTCTCCTGTCTCAGCCTTCCAAGTAGCTGGGATTACAGTTGCATGCCACCACACCCAGCTAATTTTTGTATTTTTAGTAGAGACTGGGTTTCATCATATTGGTAAGGCTGCTCTCAAACTCCTGACCTCAGGTGATCCACCCGCCTCGGCCTCCCAAAGTGCTGGGATTACAGGCGTGAGCCACTGTGCCCAGTAAGGAATCTTTTTTAGGGTGATAGAAATCTTCTAAAAATTATACTGTGTTGATGATCACACAATTCTGCACATTAACTGAAAATCACTGAATTGTATGCTGAAAATGAGTGACTTTTGTGGAATGTAAATTATACCTCAAAAGAATGTTATTCCTTTTTTTTTCTGAAATGGAGTTTTTCACTCTTGTTACCCAGGCTGGAGTGCAATGGCATGGTCTTGGCTCACTGCAACCTCTGCCTCCTGGGTTGAAGCAATTCTCCTGCCTCAGCCTCTCGAGTAGCTGGGATTACAGGCACCTGCCACCATGCCCAGCTAATTTTTGTATTTTTAGTAGAGACGAGGTTTCACCATGTTGGCCAGGCTGGTCTCGAACTCCTGATATCAGGTGATCTGCCTGCCTAAGCCTCCCAAAGTGCTGGGATTACAGGCGTGAGCCACCAAGCCTGGCTCTTTTTTTTTGAGACAGGGTCTCACTCTGGTTGCCCAGGCTGGAGTGCAGTGGCATGATCTCGGCTCATTGCAGCCTTGACCTCCCAGGCTCAGGTGATTCTCCCACCTCAGCCTCCTGGGTAGCTGGGACTACAGGTACGAGCCACCATACCTGGCTAATTTTGTGTATTTTTAGTAGAGACAGGGTTATTCTACATTGCCTAGGCTGGTCTTGAACTCCTGTACTCAAGCAATCCTCCTGCCTCAGCCTCCCAGAGTGCTAGGATTACAGGAGTAAGCCACCGCACCTGGCCAAAACAGTATTTTCAAGAGGGTTACTGGTGGCCTGGGTCTGAGAAGTTTCAATGAAGTAATGAGAAAAAACACCAGATTTGGATTTAGAAGTAAATTCAAAATGAAGAAATGGAGGCAAGAAGTGAAGACTCTTTCATTTAAGAAATGTGGTTCTCCCCTCCCCCTCCCCCTCTCCCTCTCCCCATGGTCTCCCTCTCCCTCTCCCTCTCCCCATGGTCTCCCTCTCCCTCTCTTTCCACGGTCTCCCTCTGATGCCCAGCCGAAGCTGGACTGTACTGCCGCCATCTCTGCTCACTGCAACCTCCCTGCCTGATTCTCCTGCCTCAGCCTGCCCAGTGCCTGCAATTGCAGGTGCGTGCCGCCACGCCTGACTGGTTTTCATGTATTTTTGGTGGAGACGGGGTTTCGCTGTCTTGGCCGGGCTGGTCTCTAGCTCCTAACCACGAGTGATCTGCCAGCCTCGGCCTCCCGAGGTGCCGGGATTGCAGATGGAGTCTCGTTCACTCAGTGCTCAGTGTTGCCCAGGCTGGAGTGCAGTGGCCTGATCTCGGCTCGCTACAACCTCCACCTCCCAGCCGCCTGCCTTGGCCTCCCAAAGTGCCGAGATTGCAGCCTCTGCCCGGCCGCCACCCCATCTGGGAAGTGAGGAGCGTCTCTGCCTGGCCGCCCATCGTCTGGGATGTGAGGAGCCCCTCTGCCCGGCTGCCCAGTCTGGGAAGTAAGGAGCGCCTCTTCCCGGCCGCCATCCTGTCTAGGAAGTGAGAAGCATCTCTGCCTGGCCGCCCATCGTCTGAGATGTGGGGAGCGCCTGTGCCCCGCCACCCCATCTGGAATGTGAGGAGCGCCTCTGCCCGGCCGCGACCCCGTCTGGGAGGTGAGGAGCGTCTCTGCCCCGCCGCCCCGTCTGAGAAGTGAGGAGCCCCTCTGCCCGGCAGCTGCCCCGTCTGAGAAGTGAGGAGCCCCTCCGCCCGGCAGCCGCCCCATCTGAGAAGTGAGGAGCGTCTCCGCCCGGCAGCCGCCCCGTCTGGGAGGGAGGTGGGGGGCAGCCCCCGCCCGGCCAGCTGCCCCGTCAGGGAGGGAGGTGGGGGGCAGCCCCCGCCCGGCCAGCTGCCCCGTCAGGGAGGGAGGTGGGGGGCAGCCCCTGCCCGGCCAGCCGCCCCGTCCGGGAGGTGGGGGGTGCCTCTGCCCAGCTGCCACCCCGTCTGGGAGGTGTACCCAACAGCTCATTGAGAACGGGCCATGATGACGATGGCGGTTTTGTCGAATAGAAAAGGGGGAAATGTGGGGAAAAGATAGAGAAATCAGATTGTTGCTGTGTCTGCATAGAAAGAAGTAGACATAGGAGACTCCATTTTGTTCTGTACTAAGAGAAATTCTTCTGCCTTGGGATGCTGTTGATCTATGACCTTACCCCCAACCCTGTGCTCTCTGAAACATGTGCTGTGTCCACTCAGGGTTAAATGGATTAAGGGCGGTGCAAGATGTGCTTTGTTAAACAGATGCTTGAAGGCAACATGCTCGTTAAGAGTCATCACCACTCCCCAATCTCAAGTAGCCAGGGACACAAACACTGCGGAAGGCCCCAGGGTCCTCTGCCTAGGAAAACCAGAGAACTTTGTTCACTTGTTTATCTGCTGACCTTCCCTCCACTATTGTCCTATGACCCTGCCAAATCCCCCTCTGCGAGAAACACCCAAGAATGATCAATTAAAAAAAAAAAAAGAAAGAAAGAAATGTGGTTCTAAGGAAAGGAAATAAAAAACATAGTACCTAAAGAGACCCACAAGGTCAAGAAGGGGAGGAAGGTGGTAAGTTTAGTTTTAGATATATTCTGTTTGAGGTAAGACTCTATATAGCTAGTAGACAATTATTCCCTTTTGTTTGAGAAGTAGGAATTGTGGCAGATTGCTTAGTACAAAAGTTCCACAACAGGTGGGCATTGGAGTGAAGCTGGAAAGAGAGCAGCACAGCAGATAAAGGGCCCCAGTTGGTCTCTAGGCAAATTCCATTTCCAGAATTACTGAGCTCAGAGAATATCCATAGGACTTCATCTCTGTCAGCTTCTAGGCATATCAACATCAACTTCTTCCTCAGTACATATAGTGAAGAATCTCTCTCTACTCTCCCATTCTCCCCAGTTCCGGTTCTTCATTATCTGGAAGTTTTTCCTAGTGTTTAACACAAATCTCTCTTTAAAATTGAGTCTTTTAAAACTTCTCATTTAAGAAAAGATGCTGTGGCTGGGAGTGGTGGTTCATGCTTGTAATCTTAGCACTTTGGGAGGCCGAGGTGAGAGGATCTCTTGAGCCCAGGAGTTTAAGACCAACCTCTGTTGCATGGCAAGACCTCATCTCTATTTTAAAATAATAATAATAAAATGTATTTTAAAAAAAGAAAAAATGTTGTGTGCTGTCATGCTTTCTATTTCTAGTATTTATAAGATTGCCAGACATCCTCTCTTTTTTTTTTTTTTTTTTAATGAGATGGAGTCTCGCTTTGTTGTCCAGGCTGGAGTGCAGTGGCTCAATCAAGCTCAGTTCACTGCAACCTCTGCCTCCAAGGTTCAAGCGATTTTCCTGCCTCAGCCTCCAGAGTAGCTGGAATTACAGACATGCACCACCATGCCCAGCTAATTTTTGTATTTTTGGTAGAGACGGGGTTTCACCATGTTAGACAGGCTGGTCTCAAACTCCTGACCTAAGGTGATCCTCCTGCCTCGGCCTCCCAAAATGTTGGGATTACAGGTGTGATCCACGGCTCCCAGCAGCAAACTACTATTGATTAATATTAAGCATAAAGCAAACTCGAAATAATGAAAAAAAAAGTATTTAAAGCTGAGCACAGTAGCTCATGCTTGGAATCCCAGCACTTTGGGAGGCCCAGGGAGGAGGATCACCTGAGCCCAGGAGTTTGACACCAGCCTGGGCAACATAGTGAGATTCCCTTCTCAACAAAAAATATAAACAACAACAAAAAATTAGGGCCGGGCGCTGTGGCTCACGCCTGTAATCCCAGCACTCTGGGAGGCCGAGGCGGGTGGATCATGAGGTCAGGAGTTCGAGACCAGCCTGACCAACGTGGTGAAACCCCGTCTCTTCTGAAAACACAAAAATTAGCTGGGCGTGGCGGCGCATGGCTGTAATCCTAGCTACTCAGGAGGCTAAGCCAAGAGAATCACTTGAACCCAGGAGGCGGAGATTGCAGTGATCTGAGATCGCGCCACTGCACTCCAGCCTGGGCGACAGAGCAAGACTCCATCTCAATAAATAAATAAATAAATAAATAAATAAATAAATAAATAAATAAATAAATAAAAATGGGCCGGTCGCAGTGGCTCACGCCTGTAATCCCAGCACTTTGGGAGGCCGAGGCGGGCGGATCACGAGGTCAGGAGACGGAGACCATCCTGGCTAACACGGTGAAACCCCGTCTCTATGAAAAATACAAAAAATTAGCCGGGCGTGGTGATGGGCGCCTGTAGTCCCAGCTACTCGGGAGGCTGAGGCAGGAGAATGGCGTGAACCTGGAAGGCGGAGCTTCCAGTGAGCCGAGATCGCGCCACTGCACTCTAGCCTGGGCGACAGAGCGACTCCGTCTCAAAAATAATAATAATAAATAAATAAAACTGATGTTCAACATTTTTTTTTTTGAGACCGAGTCTCACTCTGTCACCAGGCTGGAATGCAGTGGCCGCGATCTTGGTTCACTGCAACTTCTGCCTCTCGGGTTCAAGCAATTCTCCTGCCTCAGCCTACCGAGTAGCTGGGACTACAGGGGCATATCACAATGCCCAGCTAATTTGTTTGTTTGTTTTTGAGACAGAGTCTCGCTCTGTTGCCCAGGCTGGAGTGCAGTGGCATGATCTCGGCTCACTGCAGCCTCTGCCCCCTGGGTTCAAGCAATTCTCCTGCCTCAGCCTCCCAAGTAGCTGGGACTACAGGCTTGCGACTCCACGCCTGGCTAATTTTGGTATTTTTTTTAGTAGAGACGGGGTTTCACCATGTTGGCCAGGATGGTCTTGATCTCCTGACCTTGTGATTTGTCTGCCTCGGCCTCTCAAAGTGCTGGGATTACAAGCGTGAGCCACTGCGCCCGGTGTTTTTGTATTTTTAGTAGAGACAGGGTTTCACCATGTTGGCCAGGATGGTTTCAATCTCTTGACCTTGTGATCTGCCTGCCTCGGCATCCCAAAGTGCTGGGATTACAGGCGTGAGCCACCACGCCAGCCACAACATCTTTAATCATCAAGGAAATGCAAACCAAAACCACAAATATACCATTTCAAACTACTAAAATGGCTTAAAAAATGTTTTGGGACCTTCAAATACTTGTACAAAATGTTCGTAGCAGCTTTGTTCACAATAGCCAACAGGTAGAAACAACCCAAGTGTCTGTTAACAGATGAACGGATAAACAAATTGTGGTATATTCATACAAGGGAATACTATTCAACTCTAAAGCAAAATAAAGTATTAATACATGGTACAACATAGATGAACCTTGAAAACATTATGCTAAGTGAAACTATGCAGACAGAAAACCTCGACTATTGTGTGATTCCACTTATGTGAAATATAGCAAATTCATAGAAACAGAAAGGGTCCTGGAGATTAACAGGAGCTAGTAGGAGAGGTTAATGGGGAGTTATTGCTTACTGGGCAATGGATTCTGCTTGGGGTAATGAAAAATTTTGGAAATAGATAATGACGATGATTGCACGACACTGTGAATGTAATTAATGCCACTGAATTATACACATATTGTTAAAATGGAAATTTTTCTCATATATATTTGACTACAATTTTTAAAAAACGAGCTGACTATAGAGTGACTTTAAGTAGAGTGACTATAAACTCCAGAACAGTCCACATTTATGACTGTTGTGTGGATTGTAATTATTGATAGTATACCCCTAGACTCTCAAAGCTATCCCAGTTTGAACAATAAATTATATAGCCACCCAATCTCTAAGATCTCATTTTGAATGATTCTGCAATCCTAACATCGGGCATTAGGACCTTACAAAGGTTTTGCGATGACATCACCTCTGGAAAACTAGAACCCACAGGCCTCCAGGGAACCGGAGGCTGGGCGGAAGATGTGTGCACTTCACACAAACGCCCAGCTCCCAAGTGAGAATCATTTCAGTGGTAAATCATCTCTTTACTTGGGGTTCCAAGAGCCCACGACTAAAGGGAAACACTTGCAGAATGTGTCGGATGGAGTCAGCGACGCCAGAAACAGAGAATAGCCCCACCCTCCCCTGTCAAGCCACACTCAACATGGCCGCCAGCGTCCATGTGGAGGAGGGAGCGCGCCTCCTCTCGCAGCCCCAGAGGGGCGGGCCCTGGGAACCGAACGAGCTTCAGCAGACCAATGGGGAGAGGCAAGGGGCGGGGTTGGCCTGGGTCTTCGGCCAGAGGGCGGTGAGGTTGACTTGAACTGGCGGGTCTTGTTGTGCCGGGGCTGCCACGTTATTTCCAGCTTTTGAGGTGGATTTTGCCCGCTGGTGTGCCACCGTCAGCGCTTCCGGGTTGAACTCCAGCTGAGCTGAGCTGATCAGATCCCACCCTACCCAGTACTTGTCCCTCCTCTTCCAAGCCAGCCCTAATCAAAGCCTTGTTGGCCCCTCCCTCTCATTTGAGATGACTCATCTCTGTATCCCAACGACGCGGCACCAGGTGTGGCCTGACACGTTTGAGCTTAAAACCTTTTTTTCTGATTATAAAAATATATGCATATTTTAGGAAATTAAGAAAAGTGTAATGGAAACAAAAGTGATTTACTGTCCCATCGGCCAGAAACAATCATAATTAACCTTTGTCATTCTTTTTTTCCCTCTGTGTGTCTATTTTAACACAATTGGGACAATGCTGTATAACTTATGTATTATCGTTTGCATATTAAGTGTTTTTCTTTGTGATTTTAAATGCATGGATAGGATAAAGTATTCCATGGATGAATGACTGTGATTTTTATATTTTTCCGTTGAGCATTTAAACTTTGAGCCTGGGCACAGTGGCTCACACCTGTAATCCCAGCACTTTGGGAGGCCAAGGCGGGCGGATCACCTGAGGTCAGGAGTTCGAGACCAGCCTGACCAACATGGTGAAACTCCATCTCTACTAAAAATACAAAATTAGCTGGGCGTGGTGGCACACGCCTGTAATCCCAGCTACTTGGGAGGCTGAGGCAGGAGAATTGCTTGAACCTGGGAGGCAGAGGTTGCAGTGAGCCAAGATCACGCCACTGCACTCCAGCCCGGGAAACGAGCGAAACACCATTTCAAAAATAAATAAATAAATAAAAATAAAAAATAAACTTTGAGTGGATAGCCTCTTGGAGATGGGGCAGGTCGGGAAGGAGAGACAGCTAAGAACTGGCTATTCCACAGCTTCACCTTCTCTTTGCAAAGTTGTTCCACAAGAATTACAAGATTGTAGAGTCTTTCAACATTTTAGGATCTTAGGGTTCTAAAGTAGTACAATTGAGAAACTCAGAATCATAACATCTTGGGTGAGTAAGGACCCCAGAAAAAACAAGTCCAAGCCTCTACCAAATAGTTTCACTCTGTCTCAAAAACAAACAAACAAAACCTGTCTCTATGAAAAAAAAATAGAAAAATTAGGCAGGCATGGTGGTGGGTGCCTGTAGTCTCAGCTACTTGGGAGGCTGAGGCAGGAGAATCGCTTGAACCAGGGAGGCGGAAGTTGTAGTGAGCTGAGATCACACCACGGCACTCCAGCCTGGGAAACAGAGCAAAAAGTCAGAAAGAGAGGAGAGAGGAGAGAGAGAGGAGAGAAAGGAGAGAGAGAGAAGAGAGAGAGAGAGGAGAGAGAGAGAGAAAAAAAATTGTAGGAGGAGGTGTGGCAAAAGCCAAATGGTATATTAATTTCCATAGGCCTATATGGCAGAGCATATAGAATAGTCCTTCTTAAGGCCAGAAGAGTTTTTTATTCCAAAACAGCATTATCAACTCAGAGTGACTTGTTTTAAATGAAGAATTGAGTTATTTTGGTGGTAAGGAGCAGGTTACCTCAAGTGGTTTAGGGTAAAAGTTTGTTGCGCATTTCATCATAAAAATAGGCATGTTGGAGAGCCCTGAGATGCTAAGCAGCCCAGTTTCAGGAAGAGTTGGGATTCAAAAAGAGGGGGCTTCGGATTCAAGAAAGGGGTAGGGACCACAACAAAGTTGGAAGGTCTGGTTTCCTTGCAGCCAGACTTAATGGATAATGTATTCATTTGAACCGAGTCTCAGTTTCATCATCTGTAAAATGGAAATAACCATGTAATTGTTCTCTAACTAGACCGTTAACAATGTACGGCAGAACAATGAAATCTAAGACCATTATAGGACCCGTGACCGGCTGGGTGGTGTTGATTTTTGCTGTTGTTGTTTTTACTTTTCTGTATTTTCCAAATGTTTTATAGTTAATTATGCCTCCCTACTTTTTTTTTTCCTTTTAATTACATTTATTTTAATGCTGAATTTACTCCCGTGCCATAAGTTTTGGCCCCCACGCTGCACCGGCGTCATCCGCCATTTGGTGTTTTCTCAGAAAAGAAGCAACCTCCCTACTTTTTTGAAGAAAAGGCTCTCAAGGGCTAAAATAAGAGTTGCTAATCATGACAATCATCTCTACTTTGATCAAAAACTTAGAGTCAAAGTTCTTAGTATTCTTCAGCAAGCCCAATGTTCATCCACAAATTATTTCTGATACCTACAATGTGTAGATGCTAAAAATATGTTGAGAGAAACACAGAGTGGGATCAGACAAGGATCAGAACATCAAGGAGCACTGTCTGGTGGTTTGAAAAAACACATCTTCAAACAACTATAAAACAAATTAAAAAGTATATAAAGGAGGTATAGGAAAATGTGTTGAACAGTTATCAGTGTGGTATATGCAATGCACATGTGAATAGGAATGGCTGAATGGTAAACTGGAGACAGATCATGAAAGCTAAAATGCCAGGTTAAGGAGCGTATTGTTAAATTGGAGGGCTGTAAGTAGCTATTGAAGGGTTTTTAAACTTTTATTATTATTGGCCTGGCACGGTGGCTCACACCTGTAATCCCAGCACTTTTGGAGGCTGAGACGGGCAGATCATGAGGTCAGGAGATCGAGACCATCCTGGCTAACACGGTGAAACCCCGCCTCTACTAAAAATACAAAAAATTAGCCGGGCATGGTGGTGGGCGCCTGTAGTCCCAGCTACTCGGGAGGCTGAGGCAGGAGAATGGCATGAACACAGGAGGCAGAGCTTGCAGTGAGCCGAGATCATGCCACTGCACTCCAGCTTGGGGGACAGAGCGAGACTCCGTCTCAAAAAAAAAAAAAGCAACTTTTATTATTATTACTATTTTTTGAGACAGAGTTTCGCTTTTATTGCCCAGGCTGGAATGCAATGGTGTGATCTCGGCTCACTGCAACATCCACCTCCTGGGTTCAAGTGATTCTCTTGCCTCAGCCTCCTGAGCAGCTGGGATTACAGGCGCCCACCACCAAGCCCGGCTAACTTTTTTTTAGTAGAGACGGGGTTTCACCATGTTAGCCACACTGGTCTCAAACTCCTGACCTCAGGTGATGTACCAGCCTCAGTCTCCCAAAGTGCTGGGATTACAGGCGTGAGCCACCACCACACCTGGCCTATTATTATTATTAATTTTTTTTTTTGAGGATTCTTGCTCTGTTGCCCAGGCTGGGTGCAGTGGCACAATCAAGGCTCACTGCAACCTCCGCCTCCCAGGTTCA